>NC_000008.11:37132829-37435860 GCF_000001405.40 Homo sapiens
TTGCATTCTCACCAGCAATGAATGAGAGTTCCTGTAGCTCCACATCCTTACCAGTATTTGGTGTTGTCAGTTTTTGGATTTTAGCCATTCTAATAGGCGTGTAGTGGTATCTCATTGTGGTCTTAATTTGCAGTTCCCTATGATGCCTGATGCTGAGCATTTTTTTCCTATGCATACTTGCCATTGTTGTTGCTCATTTTATTATCATTTTCCAGGTTGCTACCCACTTTGTAACCAGGCCCTAAGACTTCCAATATCTCTAGAGAGCTAGTAAATGAAGCTACCCTGGGCAAAGGTGGTCATTTCAAGGGAGGATGTTGGTAGAAGTGGGGAAAGAAGAGGAAAAGTAAGATGTGTGAGATGACTAAAATGGCCAGGACGATTTCTAATGCTTTTTCCTTTTGCTTTTTAGTGCCATGACAATCCTGCTAGGTAGATGTTGCTATCACTATTTTATAATTAAGCAAGAGAAATTTCGAGTTAAGTAGTTTACCTAAATTATATAATACGTAAGTATGAGAGCTGGGTTTCAGACTCTTGCTTGTCTTATTCTAAAGTCCATCCACTTTCCACTCTGATATGCGCTTTTTCAGGAGTAAGAGGCCCAAGAAAGGAACACACTCTCAGCCCTGGCTTCCTTCTTCCCGACTTCTTTCAGGGTCCCAGAGGTGAAAGAGCCAAAAGGAGAAGGAGGCAGATATCTGGAGCAGAGCCTGGAACACACAGGGGATAAGAGATTCTGTGCTGGAATGGGGAGAGGGAAGGCAAGAAATCTTGTAACCAGAGCTCGTACAAGCTACAAACAATCTTGCCGCTTCTCTATTTCATTGCTGTACAATGAACCCCAAGATCTTAGCCTGAAAGGCTCTGTGCTGAGATGAGGGGGTAAACCAAGAAAGAGCCTGGCTTTGCCCCAAGCTCCCTCCCAGGAAAAGTTGATGCTCAGATGGAATCTATACCAGCCTCCATGGCCCAGGATACAGGCACATTCTCTCTCCTCCCGCCTCTTATCAGCCCTGAAGTCCCTGGTGAAAAAATATCCCATTGCCTAAGGAAGCCTCAGTGAATGCTGTCTTCCCATCTGCATACAGAGAGTCTGGAAGTACCTTTGGAGGGCTTCTGGGAACAGGAAGCCAGCCTGTTGGACTGGTTCAGGAACAGACCACAGCAAGGAATGACGCTGACTCCTCATGGACCAGCTCCCCACTTGCTCTGCTGCCCCACTGAGCCTGGAGCTCATCTGCTGGTTGTTTGAACATGACAGTCATCTGTCTCCCTAATTAGAAGATGTCAGATTTCTCCAATCTGTACTTGAGATTTCCTGAGGAATCACAGAGGTGCCCACCTGGAGGAAGCACCTCAGTATCTGAGGAGGGCAAAAGAGGCTCCAAGGCCCCATGTTCCAGTGACCTCCCCCCATGCATTCCAGAAGTTTGGCCATATAGCCCTTTGGCCCTTCTGTGCCTCAGTTTCCTGTCCTCTAAAAGACAAGAAAGTGGTGCTCCCTAATTCCCTCCCCACCCTCCCACCAGAACCAAATGTGTCACACTGCTTGCACTTCTCCGAGGTGACAAACAATTTCAGTGGAAACTGCTTCCTATAGGGGAGCAATTTCTGTTTACATATGTGGTGCCCACCCCCTGCAGAAATGCTGGCTGCCCGTGGCCTGGCTGCATTATCAGGAGAATGTCACAAGCCACGGCTTCCATCCTCTGCCAAGGGAACAGATTTGCTGCCTGCTTTGAGGACAAATCCTTTAGCAGAGGTAAGCCCTGGCATGGGTCCTATGAGGGAAAAAGAAAAGTGAGAGAGAGATAAAAAAGCTGCCCCTAAGTCAAGGCCTGAGCAATTAAAGTAAAAACAACTTGGCTTTGGAGTGATGGGCCAATATGACGGCTCAACATTCTCTTTAATCTCTGCCCCAGAAGGAGGCACAGGAATGGACTCATGTTCTAGTAGAAGCAGAAATAGGAAAGAACTTGTGATCAAATGTCCCTGGTCCACTGAAGCCACAAAATGAACTAAGCATCTAGGCATGAAATGGGTTTGCTGGTGAAGGTATAGTCAAAACCAGGACAAAACTGAGACAGCAAGTAGACACAGAGCCTTTCAGGCTAAGATCTTGGGGTTCATTGTACAGAGATGCAATAGAAAAGTGGCAAGATTGCTTGGTAGCTTGTACAAGCTCTGGCTACAAGATTTCTTGCCTTCCCACTCCCCATTCCAGCACAGAATCTCTTGTCCCTAGTGTGTTCCAAGCTCTGCCCCGGATAACTGCCCCCTTTGCCTTCTGGCCCTTTCATCTCTGGGACCCTGAAAGAAATCGAGAAGAAGGAAGGCAGGGCTGAGAGGGTGTTCCTTTCTCTGGCCTCTTACTCCTGGAAAAGCGCATGTCAGAGTGGAAAGTAGATGGACTTTAGAATAAGACAAGCAAGAGTCTGAAACCCAACTCTCGTACTTACACATTATGTAATTTAGGTAAGCTACTTAACTCGAACTTTCTATTGCTCATTTATAAAATAGTGATAGCAACATCTACCTAGCAGGATTGTCATGGAACTAAAAAGGAAAAGGAAAAAGCATTAAAAAATGTCCTGGCTGTTTTAGGCATCTCACACATCTTACTTTTCCTCTTTTTTCCCCACTTCTACCAACATCCTCCCTTGGGATAACCACCTTTGCCCAGGGTACTTTCATTTGCTAGCTCTCTGGATATACTTGAAGTCTTGGGGCCTGGTTACATGCTCATTCCACCTGTCTTCAAGCTAGCCAGAGCTGTCATTTTCCCTCAGAACCTCTCTGGATGACTAAGAGGAGAAAGGGGTGTGGCTATCAGGGGTCTGCAAACCCAGTTTGAAAATTCCTGGGCAGCTTATATCTCCAGGAGCCAGACAGCAGCTAGGATCTGGGCAATTGGCTGATAGGAGCTGCTGGCTGCCCCTCCCTCTAAGACACAGCCTTGGCCCCACCTCTGATATGCCAATCAGATAGGAGCCCTGTTACAAGGCACAGTTCAACTGACTTTTATGTCCCATCAAATTCAAGTTCATTTGTCTTCCCCCTTTACCACCCTATCCCCAAACCTCACCCTCAGGTGTATCAATAAAACACACACACACACACACACACACACACACACACACTGACCTTAGAAGAAGACGGGTGAAGTTTTAGGAAACCAAGGGCTTGGCCAGAGAATGGGAGTTTATAAATATGTTTTATATGACTTGAGAATGAGCTAGCCTCACTTAATTAGGGGCATACCAAATTTCCTCAGCAGGGAGCTAGACCTGGGAAGAATGTGAAGGAACACTGGGAGACTGAAATGAGGGCATAAAGTCCTACTGGAAGGTGCATGATTTTTAGTATATTTCCAAAAGAAGGAAGCAAATTCATCTACAAAATGAGCCACTTACCTTCAACCTGACAGGCTGTACTATTACCTTGATTGTGTGGTCCATCCAGCTCCACTTTAGCCCACAACATGGCATGCATGATACGTAAGAGATATTGACTACAACGTTGGAAACCGAAGAAAAATCACTCACCTCTGCTCCCTTGGCCCCCTTCTAGAGCATGTTTTCCAGACTCTGCACACATTTTCAGTTTATGTCTACATCAGAAAGCCTGGGCAAAATTATTCTCTGTGCACACCAGGTTCAAAACACTGATTCCAAATGTTCCTGGCTTAGTTCTGGGTCAGAACATTTTATGGTCAATTGGGCTTCTTTCTCCTTACAAATTCCCACACCTAAAAGTGTCCCAGTGGTATTTCTGCCATGTAGACTCAGTCTCAAGTAAAATGAATCGGGTCCCTGGATAGATGAAAATAGCACTGGGTTAAGTTACTCCAATACCCTCAAAAGTAAATAAATAAATATAATTAAATAATATTTGGGAGATCCTAAGACTAGAATTTTTTTTACAAAACTGTTCCATACATAAGCAGAATATGCATGTAAAGAAAATGTGGGAGAGGAATCTATTCCAGAAATCTATGCATGATAATAAAGGCAGGTATTGAAGGAAAAAAATCTATTCTGGCAACCTGAGGTTACAAAATGAACCAGGAATCTAAACTGGAAATGCAATCACCTCTGAGTGGTATATGTTTTACAAGCAAATACTTATTCTTGTCATCCATTCCTGTCCCTCAAATTGAGGCATACTTGTATTCTGGAAAGCTGGAATCCCGGAAGCTTTGAAACAAGGCTGACTTGGACTCTAATCCCAAATCTGATAGGTACTACTTGTGCTGCCTTGGGCAAAAACCTTGAAGATTTCCAGTTTCCACAATTGGGCAACAAGGATACTAACTTCTAAGATTAGGCTATAATTGCTTAATACAAGGAAACTGTTATGATGATAATAACAATAATAACATTGTAACATCATCATCATCATTAATAGCACCATTGTTAATTATAAGACAGTTATTCAAATAAAATAAAGGTCACAATTGAGGTTTTAAGGAAGTGAAGGAGAAGATAGAATCTGTTCCACAATTTTACACTTTCCTCAGGTCACTCTGATCTCTTGAAAATAAATTTCATGATTGGAGAAAAGAGCACCTCATAATGAATGTTAATAAACAGGACTGCAACTTCAAAATCCACATAAATTAGACCAAAAAATGCAAAAAGACATGGAAGTACAGAGGATCTCCCTTAGTCAATGCTGCCAAAAATGCTATTATGTATTCACCCAACTGGAGTTCCTTCTAACAAACTGCCACTGAGCATATGGCTACCTTGGGCATTTTTTCATTATCCCAGAGTGTGTCTGCAGTCCCATGTCGGTAAACTCCATCTGTATCTCTGTCAATGGAAGAAATTTCCATCAGGAAATATCAGCAGGCATCAGGGAAAGACCTTTCCAATTTACTGAGATCGAAGGAAGTAACTGCAGGGTTCCCCTCTCTCGCCTCCCTTTTTCTCCAACTCCAGCCAAAAAATGTCTTGTTTTCTTTCCCAAAGATTATCCCATCGCCCACCCCTGCCTGCTCAGGGGGAGTCTCTGGATGGTCCTTGGGCACATGGTGCTGCACGTGATGTACTAGTTGTATTCTGGGTCACCCAGCCCCTTCAACTCACCACTTAATAGGAATAAAGAGAAGAGCAGGCGAAAATGGACCTCCCACTTCTCTCAGATGCTGCACCAAGAGAATGCAAAGAGAAACAGCTCTGGGTGCTTTGTTGCTGTTGCTCTAGTTATTTTAATCTCTTCATGCTGCACAGCACCCATCAGGGACCAAGTTGCAGGCAGGTTTTAACATCAAAGGCAGTGATGAATGTAATGTACCCTTCTGGGCAGGGCAGGAGCCCTTGCTGGGCAGTGGGTTGGGTTGGGGGAAAGGAGGGTGCAGGGGTGAGGCAGGTAAGTGAGGGAAGCATGCACCAGTGATTAAATGTGGGAGCAAGAGCATTAAAAAATGTCAGTCCCAGGCTCCCTTCTGTGTATCTCACAGCCTGACCATTACATCTCAGTTGCATATTGAATGTGACCCTTACATTCACAATGCTTCCCTGATATTTTTCACTGTAGACTTAGACAACCATCGTGTCAATGTACTAGTTTAAAAGTTTAATATTGACTATGCTGCTTTTAGAAAATAGACTCAGGGTCAGAACAGCCCCATTTCTCTATTCTCTTCCCTCTCTATACCCCAAATAAGAGCAGATCAATGGCAGAGATGAAATAGATTGCATATTGACATTCCTGGGGATAATTTCTCCATATACAAATATGTCAATTTATCTCATGTATTTATTTTTTAATTTACTTACATGTAGATTTATATGAAGGATATACTTAAGCCTCCAATTACCCATGTCAACATTATAGCTCTCCATCGCCCTGAGAGGAATGCACTGGGAAAAAGGTTCACTATTTTGAAAATCCCATTAATAACACAGGCCCCATTTGGGTGTTATTTGCAATGAGAGTCTCATTGAAAAAAGAACCTCCAACCAATTATCTTTGGACTTTATAGAACTTTGGACTTCCTAGAACCTATGAAGTTCATAAAAACTAATTGTAATTATTCCTGAGTCCAAAACAATGGAAAGAAATACTTGGAGTAGGATTTTACAAGTTTATCTACTTAAAACAAAACAAAACAAAACAAAAATGGAGCACTGGGAAAATGTTAGCCAATTACAGTATGCATTTGTGTATTCATACCCATAAATATCCACCAGCAGAGGACGTCACAGGTCTAGCCCTCTGCCATGAATGTCTAAGTTCCTACCACGCATCTCAGGCCCATACACTGGAGAGAAGGGGAGGGGGAAACCAAGCCAAGCCCAGCAACGGAAGACACAGCACACTCTCATCCCAGCCTTCATAGACCCCTTTCTTACAGTACATCAGAAGTCACTAGTAAAATTAAAATTCTTTCTCAACAAGATATGCTATATTCTCACCTTCAGTTGGATATTCAGAGTGAAAACTAGAATAACAATTCACCATTGCCCTGGCCCAAAGCACATCCAATCTTTTTCCCCCAACTCCCATATCATTTTGGCAAAGTATCATAAAACTGCTACCAAAGCCGAATCTATTTCTATAGCTAGCTATCCATCTACATATCTTCATTGCCTACAAAATAGTAAATATAAATGCTTTTGCATTTTTATTTGTTCTAAACCTACCCTCTTTTTTTTGTTTGTTTGTTTTTTTTGTTTGAGACAGAGTCTCGCTCTGTCGCCCAGGCTGGAGTCTCACTCTGTCGCCCAGGCTGCAGTGCAGTGGCGCAATCTTGGCTCATTGCAAGCTCTGCCTCCCAGGTTCACGTCATTCTCCTGCCTCAGCCTCCCGAGTAGCTGGGACTACAGACGCCCGCCACCAAGCCCATTTTGTATTCTACTAAAAATACGGGGTTTCACAGTGTCAGCCAGGATGGTCTCGATCTCCTGACCTCGTGATCCACCTGCCTCGGCCTCCCAAAGTGCTGGGATTACAGGCATGAGCCACCGCGCCCGGCCAATCCTACCCTCTTTTTAAGGTCCAGCTCTCTCATTTTGGAAATAACTTCTTCCTCTGAACAAGTGCAGTGCTCACTGTTTATATCTCTAATTATTCTTATCTCTTTCCATCTCATGATACATTCACTTATATTCATGTCTCATTTCTCAAAGGGAAAATATTCCATTTCTTGAGTATAAAATCCATAGCTGTTCCTTCTCTGTACTTCTACAACACCTACTTTTCTTTAACATTTAGAAGGCCCCCAATAAATGTTGTTTGTATCAGTGAACAAATAAATAACTTTTAATTATGCTAAATAAATGCAAGGTATCATTTATAATATAGAAAAATGCATGTTCTATCCACGCAGGTGGATGTAAAATGACAACGTGACTCTAAAAAATAGAAAAAACTTGGCCTGGGCATGCACGGAAAAACAAATATAAGGGGCTCAACAGGAACAAACTGCAAAATCCCAAGCTCTCTTCTATCTGCAGCTGTCCCTTCTCTTGAAATTACTTCTTGCCACAGTGATATAGGACTCGCACTGCTCATTGGGATACACAATCCATCTTCAGGAGCCCATAGTCACAGGAAGAAGAGAAGAGGAAAAAAATTCCTAAGCACATTTCACCCATTGGTTTTGATCCTCAGCCAAGGCCGTCCACCTGCAAAAATTCCCCAACTATCACATTTCTACTGCTTTGGCTGATAACGAAGATAATTGTTTCATCCACTTTGTCAAAGCTGAAATGAAAAGAGGGCAAAGCAAAATGATGCCATCACAAATCACCAGGCTGAGACAGCAAAAGAGGGACAAGATAGCAACTTCATTAAGGGTTATGTATTGTGCCATTAAGTTGGCAGGGGGGTCACCTTTTCTGTCACACCCGGCCTCTGTGATGCATTGCCAGCTCTTCTTTCCAATAAAATTAAACGGAGATGTAAAACTGATTAGGGCCATGTTTGCTTCAGCCTGTGGCAAAGGGAATGGTACAGGGAATAATTGATATAAGATTGCAACTGATGCATAATGACAGCAATTTCTCTTCCTGGTCATTTCATTGCTGACCTTGCCCATTAAAATAAGCTCAGCTGCCTTGGAGAAAGAGACACTTCATTTCCCATCATCCTGTGGCCCCATGGCATCTCCCATTTCCCCCAATCACCAGCCTTCACCAAAACAACATAGCTAGAAATGCTGCAAGCTAGAGATTTGGAGAAGCAGCTGGTTCACATGGATATGCATTGCAGATCCTTCATGCCACTGATAGCATGAACTCCTTGACTCCCCAAATGGTGGCTTCAGACAATTCTATGCTTCACTAGTTTTTAAATCCTGCCATGCTGAACATCAGGTTATTGGCCCGTTTGGTCTGAGCCTCAGACTCACCACATGAGGACCTGTCTGTGTATTCTGTCATTGCTGAGGTATGGAAGCTACTGTAAGCATAGAAATGACTGACTTTATCCTCACAATAACAAATCATGTCTTCTAATGCTTTATGAACTCAACAATTTAGACAGTCTCCATCCAAAGCGTACCCATTATTCAATCAACAAATATTCATTAGAGGTCTATTAGGTACCAAGCACTGTGCTAAACATTGACAATAGACAGTTATGTCCCTGCCTTCATGGGGCTCACAGTTGAGTGGCATTTTCCACTGGAATAATATGGATGGCTCATGTGTGTTGAATGTTTATTATGTGCAAAGCACTATTCTATGCAATTTACATACATTAACTCATGTAATCTTCATAGTACCAATAAAGTATTATTATTATCCCCATTTTACAGATAAGAAAACAGAGAAGGAAGAGGCTAAGTACCCTGCCCTGGAAAATGGGGAGTAAGGAGAAGAACCAGTATTTCTTTTCTTTTCTTTTCTTTTCTTTTTTTTTTTTTGATATGGATTCTTGCTCTGTCACCAAGGCTGGAATGCGGTGGTACAATCTTGGCTCACTGCAACCTCTGCTTCCTGGGTTCAAGCCATTCTCCAGCCTCAGCCTCCCAAGTAGCTGGAATTACAGGTGACCAAAACCACACCTGGCTAATTTTTGTATTTTTTTGTAGAGATAGGGTTTCACCATGTTGGCCAAGCTGGTCTCAAAATCCTGACCTCAGGTGATCTGCCTGCCTCGATATCCCAAAATGCTGGGATTACAGGCATGAGCCACTGTGTTGGGCCAAGAACCATTATTTCAGATGCCATGAGCTGAAGCCAGGAACTAAACGTGAAAAAAAATATTTTATTAATTTTTTTTGTTTTTCTCTTAATTCATTCCCCAGCCTGGTCAAGTCACTGACATATTTTATCCAGCCTTCAAGAAGACAGAGTATGTATTCATCAAAGGGAATTCATGCTAGAATCCTGTACTTTCCTATGGGTCAGGACTGCCAACAACAACAACAACAACAAAAGTCATGTATATTCCAGTTAATAAACATTTAATTTCATATAATATAAAATCATATACTGTTTTCTTTCTCTTTATTTCACTTGATGTCTGAGATTGGTGTTTCCATGGTATATACAGATAAATGAGCAAAGCTTATGGGTTCATCTCACAAATGTCTAATTTCAGTGTTGAAATTAGACCCCATGATGTTGGGGGTCAAGATCATGGCAAACAGCAGTGAAAAAAATCTGGCCAACAAGGCATCCAGAAACAACTCCTGTCACCCGTATTCTCAACCTAGCTGAAGGGACGTGGACTATATGACTCCACGATTCTCTTGCCTTTGTCGGGAATCCCAGCAGTTGGGAACACGCAGATAAATATTAAATATGACCTAGTCGTCACAGTGACCTCTGTGGCAGTGAAGGGAGATCTATTACTTCAGCCTCTCTAACAGAAGCTTGCAACCTTGATCTGTTTGTCCGCCTGTCTGTCCAGCTGTCTGTCTCTGTCCCACCACTTTCTAGGCTGTGATTGGGTCCAGGGATTACAGCGGCTCTGGGTGGGAAGCTTGTAAATGACAAGTAACAGATGCTCTGCCAAAAAAGTGATCATACCAGAAATGGACTAAGTTAAACCAGACTACATCCACCCACCCCATCTCACCATGACCCCACACCTCAGGAAGGAGGAACGCCTTAGAAGGCTTTGTATAAACGAAGACAGGGCTGTGCACACTTCCCACTCAATGACTCATGCATCATGGAATTAGAGGCCCCAACCATGCACTCATAAACAGCAAATGGAAAACAAACACACTGAGCACGCCCACAAGTGTCGTTTCCTTCCTCCTCCCCGCCTCACCTACACACTCCCACCATCCAGGCCCCAGGCCTCTGTGCTGCAAAGTCCAACCGGGGGGACTCTGTGAATGCTGGGATGATTAACGCAAGCTGGCTGCAAGAAGGAGACCCCCAGGATGAGGGATGCCACTGGATCTGAGATTGCCCTGGGACTCAGGATTTTTCCCACACAGGGAGATCATCAGAGAGAAACCTCCTCTTTGCGTCAACTACAATCACAGACAACTTTTTCATTATATGACACATAGACATGGTATGCTTGCAGCCATAATGACATATAATCCCTAAAACATTTTTATGAGGTGAGTGGTATTAGCCTCACTTTACAGGAAATGAATGAAACCTAGGCTCAGAGATAGGCTGGAGGCCACACAGCACTGAGGGATGATCTGCCTCCAGAAGAAAAGAATTTCCACTACTCCATGGGAGAAAAGGCAAATTTGTCTGAGTGCAAACTCACATCATATCAGCCTCTCTGACCCACTCAGGACTGCTTCCCAGTCAATGGTCAAGGAAACAGGCAGGAGCCTCCACCTCCTACATCTACCCCACGCCTGCCTTAAATATTCTCAGGAAGCCAAGAATTCACTTCCCTTCCCTCCACCCAGGCAGGCAGGGCCTATATTGGGCTGGAATGCGAAGGTAGCCAGGGAAACAGAGCCCATGGCTAGACGTTATCAAGGGCCTGCGGCCTGCATGGCTCCTTAAGAGAAACAGGATGGGTGGAAGATGTTCATTATTCAGATCCTCATTAACAAAATTATACTTACCTTGAACCTGCTCCTGCAGAAAACAGACTGGGATGGAGTCCATTGCCTCACCTTTCCCCAAGCAATGATGCTCAAATGGAGGTGGCAGGCCTCCTCTCTGTCTCATTCCCCATCTCTCTATTCCAATCCCGCTCTTACTATGTGAATAAAAGATGGCCTCATCTAAAAAGAAAGAAAAGAACAAGCTTAGGGAAGAAAATATCTAAAATAAAAGGATTCATCCCAGCAAGAATACCTGGAAGCCTCATGGCTAGCAATGCTTTAAAGAGAAACAAACTTTTATTATTCAGTTAACAAATGAAAGCTTTAAGTCTTAGCAATGTACTGGCCAGGAGGGAATGTGAAGATGAAGAAGATACTTTGCTTGTCCTTAAAGAGTCCTACTGGGTGTTTCTCAGTGCCTTCCAGGGACAGTTGCTGCACACTCATCACACACTGACACGCGCCCTCTGCCTTGACTGTTAGAACTGGAGCCAGAAACACAAATATGTGGATTCTGGAACTGGAGTCAGAAAAAAATGTGGAATACAGAATTCTCACAAGGCCCCTTTTGGCGTTATTCTCTAAGCCAACATGGCACCAAATTCCTGGAAACTGCTCCAGAGTACCTTCTCCTACACCCTTACTTAATTTGCCAAAACCCTGTGGCACATCAGAATCTGCCATGGGGTTTTGCAGAGGCTGAGTAGTGGGCTGAACTCCCCATTGCACTCTGACCAGATAGTACAGCCCCTTCTTCATCTATCAGTTAGACTCAGAAAGCCGTCATGTTGAATTTGGAGGAACGGTTTTCCCCTGGCAAAATAGAAACCACTTTTGAAAACCACTGAAGAGGTTATCTGAGCTATTTTCCAGCTCTGATATTTAGTGACATAGGATTGTTTTCTGTGATTAAAAGTCCACTTGTGTAGGGTCAGTGCTCACCGACAGATTTTCCCAAAACTCTCCTTACCTCCTGCAGGAGATTGTCATCATTGAAGGAAAATAGCAGAGCCAAGCCCCTCAGTTGCCCGGACCCATGTAACTGACAGTGGCTGACTCATTCAACAAATATTTACTGAGAACTGCAGCATGACAGCAGTGTGCCAGCTGTTGACTTCGTGAGAATTGAGAATCGGCTCCATGGAAACTCCCCACAGCCCGGGGCTTAACAGCACTTTAGGTCAGGTTGACCTGGTCTCCAGCCTGGGCTCATTGTCTGTGCAACCACTGAAGGTTGCTCACTCATTCTGAGCCTCAGTCTCCTTGTCGGTAAGAATAATGTTGTGAAGATCCATGACAGTCTTACTGAGTAGCGTAGTGAGTGTGAAAACACATAGCACATACTAAATGCTCAAAAAAATGTCATGATGACTACTGTCATAAAGTTCAGTTGCTTACTATCTCTCCCCAGAACTATCTCAACTCTCTATAAACTGGTATCTCTGACTTCCGTTATCACCCTTCCCCTTCATCTTCTGATTGGGCCAGAGGGATGGCTCTTCATTCTTACTCATGCTTGAAGGCCAAATTCAAATGTCATCCCTTCTGCTAAGGCATTCTTAATTCTAAGACGCAAAATTAAACTTTGAGATTCCCAGTGCATACTTCTGTTTTTTCCGTTATAGCATTTGATACATTATATACATTGATTTATGCAGCAAATATTTATTGAGTGTCTGCCAGGTGCCAAGCCTTGCTCTAATCCCCAGGGGATACATCAGAGACACCTAGACAATTGCTTGTTTGTGTCTCAGTCTCTGATCTCCCAGTCCCCACAGGGTGAGAAAGAAGGAAGCGGCATTCCTCGGCTTAGCTACATGTCTCAACCAATGTGTTCAACGCGAGTTTTCTCAAATGGGCAAGCGAATCTGATAGCTATACCTGTGGTCACTGGATCTGCAAGAGTGGATGTACAAAAGCTGCCTTCCTACTGTGGTTTGAGAATCCACAGGCGGCTGGAAAAACCTTGAGTTGCTTCTCACAACCCATGGATTGCGTCATCCCAGCCTTCAGCTCCACACCCTGCATCTGCGGCTAGGAACTGAGGCAGGAGAGAAAATCAGGGAAGAAAAAAGAAGGCACGGTAGAGGTTAACACAAGTTTTAAACTTTAAAATTTGATGAACGGCTAGCGGCCTATGGAGACCTACAGGAATCCTAAGTTAACATCAGGTGCACACACCTGGGGCCTTGTGTTTGGTCCAGCCACTTGGATCATGCCCATGGACAAGCCCCTGGGAGAGACTGCAGCTCCAGACTCTTCCAAGAAGACATTAGCAAGGATTTATATTTCTGCTCCAGCCCCCTCTCACCTTCTGGCATTTGGAAAAGACGTCATAGGAGCCAGCCTGGCCACAGGGGAACAGCAGCAAAAGTGGGGGACAAACAGAACAAAGAGAGGTCAGCTGATGTGCAACAGCCCTCTCCCCAGAGGATTCCTCCTCTCACACTCCAATGCCATTTAAGGCAGAGCCAGGGAACAAAAGAATAACAGGGAATGAACTAAGTGGCTAAAATATTCCAATCCCCAAATCCCATTATCAGCTTGTTGCATTGCTGGGACACCTGTGGTTAAAGGCAGAGAAGCTGATGCAGCATCTACAGGAAACATGAGGCCAGCACAGGTCATGAGTCAAAAGCTTGAGGTGTGTGTTTGTGTGTGTGTGTGTGTGTGTGTGTGTGTTCTCATGTAGAGACACACAGTCAGGGAAGATGTTTCAGGTCTACTGTTTCCATTGTCCTTCTTCAGCTAAATAACAACTGATAGTAAGTTGGGGGTTGGCAAGAAAAAGGAAAAGGAATGAATAAAATATTGCCATGGGTGGCTTGAAGCAAAGCAAATCCAAGACCCCCCAAAGCAGCTCAGCTGCTCTCAGAGTTTTCTTAGAAAGGCAACCACCAAGAGTGGCATTCCAGCACCCTTCTGCTTGAGGGTAATAATGGGCACAGAGAGCTCTATCACCATTGCTTCCAAGGTGCAAGCGCTGCTCAGAAAAGATTCTTACCAAATCCTTCACGTTTCAGATAACATCTGTAATCTGATGTTACTTTTCACCTAGCTTTGTGCCTGATAGAGAGCAAGTACTTGGCACGGACTCATTGAATACGTGAATGAATGAATGAATGAGTGAGTGAGTGAATGAGATCAGGGGAAAGCTGTTTGCATCAGAAAACATTAAGGCTGAGTATGGAGGGGAGAAAGGGAGGTCATAAGGATAAGAGGCGCTGGAGCCACTGAGTTCTTAATCAAATAAATGGCATGGTATGGGTATGGCCCCTTTGTCATTTGCAAGTCACGAGGGGAGCTACAGATATATAAGACATCAGCCTGTCCTCAGGGAGCATATGATCCACAGCCAAGGGCCAACGTGTGCACAAATGATGGTGAACAAAAACAACAATGGTCACAAAAATCAGCACAGGGAAAGTGCCAGCAACAGAAGCCCCAGTAAGAAATAGTGCAGGACAAAATGTAGGTGTCAACAGCAAGGTCTTCTAAATTGCAAGGGCACTTTTATTTTGGACTCTGGCAGCAGGGCAGAGAGGCTCCAGGAAGTGCAGCACCCAAATATCCTTTCAGGTGGCAGGAGGACAGCTGGAACCCCTGGCACCACAAGGTACCTTTCCGTCCCCCATTTGCTTGCCAGTCCTGCCGACTCAAAGAGTCGGGCACTAATCGCAGAGGGATTTTTGTAATGTCTTTATATAGATGAGTTAATGTAAAGGCTTTCCAACATAAGCATGTTTTTCTGTTCCTTCTCTCTGACCTTGGCATTTTCTTTCTCCGTTCCAGGCTCAGCGCTGTCCTGTGGCCAGGTTTGCCTCTCATTTGTCAATGTTATTATTGAATTTTCAAATGCCAGTAGTACACATAAATCAATGGCTTTCTTCTCCCTACTGGCATATCCCTGCCACATGTGGTCATTCATTTTTTTAATAAGTCCTCCTCTCTTTTCACCCATTTATAAAAATGCATCTTGTTCCCCCACCACCGTCCATCACTCGGTGAGCCCAGCTATTTGTTGCCCCTGAGTGCTTATTCATCAACGTTTTCAAAAGCAAAATCACTCTTCGCCTCCTGCTCTTATTGTGCCATCAATCTTGACTGGAGGATCAATAAACTTCGCTTCTGCAATTTCCCCTCCACCCCTTCGGAGCTGACTCTCTCCAAAGTGCAGTCTTTTTATTTACATTTTTAACTGATCATCAGCAGAGCGGGGACGGCGGTGTCAGGGAAGCGAAGGGCTTTCATTTGCTCCCGAGGCAGCAATAACCATCCATGCATCGGTCATTTAACACGGTAACCCAGTGAAATTGATACTCGACTCTTCCCTGCCCAGGGTCCACCCGCGTAAATCATAACCAGAGGAAACAAAAGCCCTGCCTGAGCAGTGTGTCTTGCCGGCAGGCAGGCAAGGAACGAGGCTGAGTGACTCACTCTCTCCAAGTCTGGTTGGAGGAGAGGCACATGGTTTCCAGGAATTTCTTTGCATTGTTTTATATGTATTAAGGGAAAATTAAAATAAAAGGATCTGAAGTGTTGAGAAAGGAGAAGAAGGCTGAATTTAAAATGGGCAGACATATAAGGCCAGGCTGGCAAAGGGGCCTTGAATTGACTGGCTCATTAAATCTCCTCGAGGCTTGTAGACACATCGAGTTCACAGGGCTCTTGCCTGCTGTTAATGCTTGCAGAGAGATGGGCAATGTCCAAATTGCAAAGCTCCACGAAGCAAGTGAGTCGCCTATGAAGTCAGAGGGATTTTTGTTTAACCCGCCCTAAGAGCATTTCCTCAAGTCTGAACTAAAACACAAGTAAGATAATATGAATTTGACACCCCAACATCCACTGAGGATTAAAGCATGTTGTCTTTCTTGGTTTGGTTTTTCCATTACTATTTAAATTTTGAACTGCTTTAGGGCTTCCAGGTAGTGAGGTTGGCTAACCTAGTCAGGAAGCTTGCCAGCTGATCACTAAGTACTGTAAAGTGTTAATGGTACCCTCTCTCCCACCACTAGTGTTCTCAGCTTAATGAAGAATGATACAGATGAAGGGAAGCTGGGGAAAAGAACTCACCCCTTTTGCATACCTACCCTGCTCCAGGTGCTCTGCATCTGCCACCGTGCAGATTGTTACAGCAACTCACCAGGTAAGTTCTGTGCCCATGATTCAAGGCTGGGTAAATTGCCATACAGAGATTAAGCTATGGGCCCAAGCTATAAATTTTGAATACAGCTCTCTGATTCCGAAGTCTTTTCATTACCCAATACTATCTCAAGTCCTCAGGAGTCATCTGACTCGCACCAGGGAAGTCCCCAAAGGAGTTCTATGGAGAGTGCCTGTAACTGATCTAAGAGGACAGCCTCCTTTTCCACCCCCAGAGCCATCAAATTCCTGTCATAGGTTTTGGTGACAAAGGAAATTCAGGGTTCAAGAGTTAAAGCAGCCTCAGGAGTCTGGCATCCAAGACCCAGTAGGGCTGGAGGAAAGCAATGCATTGCATGATGGATGATCTATTCCAAAGTGGAGGTGGGGTGGCCACTGCTCTTGAGGAAGTTGCTTCCCTTTCCTGAGCCTCAGTTTTCTCACCTCTAAAATTACGGAGTTGGACTCCAGGATGCCTAAGGTCTCTCATAGATGTGAAATTGCTATAATCCCTTCAGTGTTTCCATTAGCATTTTCGGCAAAGGTACGTAGCTTGGAATACACAGAGCTGATCTGAGTATGGCATCTTTAGATATGAAGCCCTCACTGTCTTCAACTCTGTGGGGCCCAAGAGTGCCAAGATCAGAGAGAGTTTGCAGTGGCACTTTACAAATACATGCTGACTTCCCTCTTTAATCTCTTCAGTTATAATATGGGAGCAATCAGATTTGATGAAGACACTGCTTTGGGGGCTTTAGATATTTGGATTCATATTTTTGAATTTTAAGGAGAAGTAAAGTTTTGAAATAAAAATATAAGATGGGCCAGGCACGGTGGCTCACGCCTGCAATCCCAGCACTTTGGGGGGCCAAGGCGAGCAAATCACAAGGTCAGGAATTTGAGACCAGGCTGGCCAACATGGTGAAACCCCATCTCTACTGAAAATACAAAAAAATTAGCTAGGCGTGGTGGCAGACGCCTATAATCCCAGCTACTGGGGAGGCTGAGGCAGGAGAATTGCTTGAACTCAGGAGGCAGAGGTTGCAGTGAGCCAAGATGCACCACTACACTCCAGCCCAGGCGACAGTGCAAGACTCCATCTGAAAAAATATATATATCCACATATATATATAATATATATATACACATATATATCATATACATCCACATATACATGATATATATCATATACATCCACATATACATGATATATATCATATACATCCACATATATATGATATATATCATATACATCCACATATATATGATATATATCATATACATCCACATATATATGATATATATCATATACATCCACATATATATGATATATATCATATACATCCACATATATATGATATATATCATATACATCCACATATATATGATATATATCATATACATCCACATATATATGATAAATATCATATACATCCACATATATATCATATATATCATATACATCCACATATATATCATATATATCATATACATCCACATATATATCATATATATCATATATATCATATATGATAAATAAAATCTTTGGGGCCTAACATAGTGTTGTCAACTTTTTACTAGGCTACATGAGGGCAATAATAACTGATGACCTACTGTCACCATTTTATCACAATGAAAGAACATTTTAACTCCCCAACGTTAAAAAAGGAGGCAATCACTAGAGACACGTACCAGTCCACAGACTATCATTTAACAACTGGGCTAATCCCACTTACTTACCAAACTAAAAATGGTATGTTGTCCCAAGGAGCGAGACTGTGTAGTGAGGACCATGCTGATGATAATCTCATCTATGAGTTGCATGCTTAGTGCACAGCTCACTAATTAATACACACACATTACCTTGTTTTTATTATTAAGTACATAAATCTCTGTCCCTTCAAGGAGACTATACGTACCTTAAATACTGGGGCCATGTCTTCCCTTGGGTTTTTCATCACCAAGTAGAATTAATCTTGTTATTGGGTTGGACCTCTCTGAGATTGGAGGATGAGCTCATTTATGTGGCTAAACTGAGCAGATGGTAAGAGTGGGCTGAGGTGAAATGGAAAGGTTCCTGGAGGTCATGTCAGTTGAACCTATGAGATATACAAGCAGCCAGGTCCAGAGCTCTGGGCACAGCCCCTGGGCAGCTTGTCCAGCCACTTCCTAGTCCCCCTAGAGCCCACAGCTATCACTCGTCTAGACAGGGCTGCTGGGGGAATCACGGAACCGAGAGATAATAGAGATTCTGGCCAGGGAAATCTAGAAACACCACTGCCTGTGCCTTGCTTACCTTGTGAGAGTGATGTAAGGAGAAACAGGACCCTCAATCAATTACCGTCGGCTCCAAAATGGCTGACTTTAGCGAACACAGCAGAAGATGCTGGCTCATCAGCTCTGTGTTCTAAGTTAATCCCAGGAAAGCACTAGAAAATACACTACTTTGCCTGAACAGCAGCCAAGCTGTCAATCTTAGGGCTGCTTCAGTCCTGGGCACCAGGCTTATGTAACTTCAACTGTTTTGCTAATAGACCAGAAATAAACAATGAGTGACTGGTCATTTTTAAAAGCCAGCTCCCTTGCAAGGGAAAGAGAGAGAAAGCCAAGGGGCTGAGGGAGGAAGTGCCTGCCAAGGTAATAAATACAAACCAAAATCTCCAACATTTTGTGGTTTGACACTTAATTGATTAACTAATTTGAGGCAACAAGATTTAGTGTTCCTGCAGATTAGTGTCGAAGGGGTAATTATAGCAAAAGCTCCCATCTTCAAAGACCGTGGCTGCTGCAGCTCCTCACGGGCCAACGCTGCATTAAAGCCCACATATTATGACCCAGAGACACAAAAGGTTTTTTGGAACACGTCCCTTTTCAGCTCTGCGTGCTGGGCTTGCTCTGGAAAGGTCATTTGGTGCCTTATCAGCATAGACAAAATCCCCTGCCTATAATGTATGTGTTTATTCTCAAATTAAATATATTAATGTATTATTTGTTCTTAAAATGTCATGGAATAGATAGTGAGCTTAGCCGTCCTGGCAGACCTTTGAAGCTTAAAGAGTAATGTAATAATAGTACATTAATCCATAGGCCGTTCAGTCATCTCCCTGTGGAGGCCCCAGCCTCTGGTACATGCTCCAAAATGCTGGATTTTCTGCACATGTTCTTAAAAGTCTATTTCTTTAACAACAGCTGGCATGATAGAGCAGGTTTTACTGAAGCTAAGAAAAGGCAGGTACCTCTATTATTTAGGTGGAATAATCTTACCATGAACTTGAAAACAGGCAGTGACCTATGTGCTCCCGGGTAAAAAAAAAAAATTAGGGAAATTGGAAAGGGAGCCTAGAAGCAATAGAACTTTCTTTCTTTGCCAATCTCCTTTGGCCAAGTTTTCATAGGAAGCATGACTGAATGTGCTGTGTGATCCCAGCTTAGGGGCCTGGAGATCAGATTGGCCCAAGAGGTAGTAAATGCAACTGCAGTCAACACAAGCACACACAGGGCTTAGGTAGGGCCTTGGCTTGGTGCTGCCAGTCCCTCGATGTTGGGAGACACAGACATGAAGGAAAGTGGAGGCAGAAGATTTTAAACCCACACTTCCTTGCATCTGCTCCAGCAAAAAATAAACGGGTCTGCTTAGGTGTTATTGAAGTAATTCTACTTCTGTACTTGGACCACTCCATTATTCTTAGTTCTGGTTTTGTAGCCCCAATTCGATTGGACCTTGAACTGGATTCTAGTTGCATCTCCACTTCCTGCCTCATCCCAACCTGATATCTGTTGATGTGTCCACTTCCAGCTCTGACCTTGGGATCCAAGCCTATGTTTCATGAGTGTTCCAGGTTGAATGCTGGGCTACATCTTCACTCCTCTGGGTTTACTGTTGGGCTTCTCCATACCAAGTAGCTAAAAGTCTTAGGTAGGGTCCTCTGGAAGCTGACTCTAAGAGGTGCATGATTAATCAGAAAGCTATCTACCCCTAAGGAGGCAAGGAAAGCAGGATTGAACAGAGGGGAAGCTGATCTGAAATTAAGGCTTCAAACCAGTCCTGGAGCTTTGGATCTTGGAAGGCCCTTGAGAATTGTCCTAAACTAGGGAAAAGGGTCAGGTCTTTCTATCCCTGCACTTGTCAATCATTGGCCATCCCTCTGGGGAAGGTGCAACTTGGACGAAGCAGTTCCCTGGGCAGCGCAATTCCCAGCAACTATCCATCTGTCAGCAGCCAATGTTCCCAAGAGCCAATGTTCCCAGGAGCCAATGTTCCCAGCAGCTGGGGGAGAGGCATTGGCCCAGAAGAGGGGCTCTGCCCAGGAGAAACGTCACGGTATGCACTACTTGTAGCGCTCTCTCCTGTTGGATGCCTCCAGACTACCCTTCAGCCTTTTCCTGAGAAATTAACCAGCTTTCTATTCTAACCAACAGTTCTGTCCCTCTGCTGCCCTCTGGTGGCTACTGATACAACTACCCCCAACCAGTAAAGCCCCTTTGACCCCATGTGCCAAAGTGTGGGTCCATATTGCGCAATGTGCAGTGAGAATTGTTGACCACCAAGCTCTCCTTACAAGTCAGTGGGCACCAGCAAGATGCCGAGATGTCACTGACACTGAAGAGAGCCTTCTCTCCATGTTTTTCTTTCACTCTGTCAGCAAATGGAATTACATGCCCCTAGACCTTCATTTCTTTAAGTCTTGAAGGCTTTGGGGTCTTTAGGAGGTTCCTGATTAAGATAGATTACTCTTGGGATGGTGGCAACATTATTTCTTATTAAATAGTTTCCTGGTAGGATTCGTTGAGAGCACAACTTTCAGGGAATAGAATGTGAGATATGAGAATAGAGAGGAATCAGTTACAGATGTTCACTACTTGTGCATAGACAGAGCTGCCCGATGTTGATTGGATGGCATTCCCTGCTTTGCAAACTATGGGGAATATCTGTTTTTCAGGAGGCAAAATTAGGTATGATGTAAAGGGAGAAAGGATCGGAGTTACTGGATCTGTCTTCAATCCCCAGTTCTGCCACTTACTGAGTATGTAGTATTGCAATTAACACTACACAATCACTTATCCAGGGATCAGTTTCTGCATCTGCAAAATGTGATAATACCTACTCAACAAGTTGTTTGCAGGAGATTAAATTTGGTGCACATGTCAAATCACATTGCAAAGTGCTGTGTTATTCAATAACTACCAGAGCAATCAGAGACCAATTTTAAGACATTTTATGGTGAACCCCAAAATGTACTTCTTCAAAACACAAGGACCAAAGTGACTACTATATTTTTTTATGGAGTCTGGCTCTGTTGCCCAGGCCGGAATGCAGTGGCGTGATCTCAGCTCACTGCAACCTCCACCTCCCAGGTTCAATCGATTCTCCTGCCTCAGCCTCCTGAGTAGCTGGGACTACAGGTGTGTGCCACCATGTCCAGCTAGTTTTTTGTATTTTTAGTAGAGATGGGGTTTCACCATGTTAGCCAGAATGATCTCCATCTCCTGTCCTCGTGATCCGCCTGCCTCGGCCTTCCAAAGTGCTGGGATTACAGGCATAAGCCACCGCGCCCGGCCCTGAGTGCTGTTAATACAAACCTCAACCTGACATACCAAGTCTTCTGCGGATTCAGGTAAGTCCATCCAGAGAGGGAAAGGATTTCCCATAACAATCACTAAAAAACATGAATAACAGGCAGCTGTGAAGATAATTTAAGTGTAAAGATGCAAATGTTACTATGAACCTTGCTATACCTTTGTATATTCTCAAAGTTACTTACTGATGTGGAGGCAGGAGGAAATCTTTGGGGAATGGTGCACTCTTCCACCAGGCTTCAGGTAAAGCTGGGATGTGTGTCAGTTGGAACGCGGGCTGTGTGCTCACCCTAGAAAGGTCCACTGTCCTCAGCAAGTGCTTCCCAACTGGTGGGCAAACTGCAGTTTTGTTTTTTTTTTTTAATGTAGAAGATATCTCCGTGACAGAACTGAATCATCAGACTGTTGAGATGTATTGAGAAAATGTTTTCAATCAATAATGTACTTGAAACAGGTGAAGTTAGGGATGAAGTTATGTCCTTGGACTGGGTGTCTGGAAGTAAAATCATCACTGACAGTTCACAAGGATGCACCCAAAGCCCACCAGGTTATAGTGACATCACACCTCTCTAACACAGAATGGGATAGCAAGAGAAGGCTGTGTCCTCCCATACATAATCTTTATAAGAAATGTTGTAAATTAATTTTTAAAACTAACCCTCAAGTGTATATATGTACATATAACCACACATACCTATGTACAATATACAACCCCACATATGTCACATATATGCCCGATACTCAACTGACAACAACAAATATTAAGAATGCGAACAAGAATCAGGAAGAAGTAGGAAAATATGTCTGAAAATCTAAAATACATTATCACAAAATCGAGCTTCCAACGTGCTTATCTGATGCCTCACTCCAAATAGATGTCATTTTAAAAGTTAGAAGGAAAAGAAAATTTAAAACTGTCAGAAAAGTAACTGAAACTGAAAGATACTGAAAGAATAATGAAAACTGAAAGAAACTGAAAAATAATGCGTGTGTATAAGCGTGCATGCACATGTGTATGAAACAGTCATGGGAACTCAAAAGAAGCCATTTACAGTCAGGCCAAACACCTACAAGAGGTCCTGAAAACATCCTAACGTCACCATGCAGTAAAACAACTGTCCCATTAATGATGTTGAGGCAGTAGGAAGCACTTGACATATGTTTGGTGCAGGGTACTTTGTTTAGGCAGAAATGAAAGTGAATAATTTAGTTCAAAATTATATTCATTGATAATGCTTTTTTTAAGTTTGTATACAGAAGAGAGTAAAACTTCAGGTGTCATAAAAATCTACAAGTGTAGAGTATGTCATTTTCCCAAAGCTGGTGTGTGTGTGGGTGTGTGGGTGTGTGTATGTGTATATGTGTGTGTGTCAGAGAGAGAGAGAGAGAGAGAGAGAAACCTCCAAGAGCCCTACTTTTACCAAAGAGATGAAGAAATATCTTATGACTAGAACTGAAATGCATATTTCTGTAGATAAGTGAAAACAAGAGTAAATGCTGGTGCTACATCTGCTCCAGGGTCCACTCTGTTACCATCAGTGTTCTTAGAAAATTCCCAAATATAAGCAGTCACATGGAAATGACACTGTTTGTCAAGAGACAGGAAGCCGTTTTCATTGAATCCACAGACATCAGTGGATCAGATTCTTCCACAAACCATCTTCTGGATCTCAGTTTGTTTATATTTATTTATTTATTTATTTATTCAGCCAATAGGAAGATATGGGGGCAAATGTCAAATATTTAAATATTTTGACACTGACCATGGTGAGAGCTACAATTTTCATAGATTATTTCCTTTCTGAAGCAGCCAGCACAAGGACCCCAGGAAACAGCAGAGCTTTTGTCTCCATAGCAGTGACCAGACCTGCTTGTCTCAAAAGGGTATGGAAGGTATTAGTCCATATTCCTCACTTCTCCGCATCCACAGCCACTGGGGGGACTGAACTGAACTCCAGAGGAGCTGGGCCAACTAGAAAGTGGGGCCTATTAAAACACAGAGAATAGGGCAGCATTAGAGGGAAACTATTATCATCTTTTTCCCTTTTGCAGATTTTGCTGAACCTAGGCCTTGTATAATAATAGAGACTCCAGAATAATCTAAACCGAGGGCCATCCCCCAAGTCACTTTGCCAGCCAGGCTTGAAGAAGAGCTGTCCAGAAACAGCCAGGATTTCAACCCTGTAGCTGGCAGCAGGCACATCTACATGATGGCCGAGGGATAGGAGAGGAGTCTTTTCCCACATAACCCTTGTTCGTGGAACCATAAAGGTCACAGAAAAAAATACCAGGCTGAGATCCTTTCCTTCTGTTTCTGTAATGGTATTAGCAACGACTCTTTCTTACTCAATCGCACTCCCAAAGGATTTTCAATAAACTTTTTATGTGCCATAACTGTTACATTAAATAAAGCTGAAAGTATTGAGTAAACCGACTGTAAATCACTTTAGATGCCTTGGAATTACATTAAGTGTGAGAATTATAGATCTTTTGCTGCTTGCAGAAACAGAGAAACGACAGAGCCAGGGATTTTTGTGCTGCCAGCCTTTTGAAGATTTTTTAAATTATTTCTTTATGCTCCATGACAGCCATCTCTTGTAAATGACTTGTTCAGGGGCAAATGAGGGGCAGGGAGGGGAAGGAAGAGCAGTTGGGTTGGGGCTAGAAGGGAAAAGATGCCTGGCAAAGGGGAACACAGGAATAGCCTGGGATTTCTCTCCCTTTCAGACTCTGTTACTACGGGCTTGAACTTTTCGTTTTAAAAAACATTTTCAGGTTTGTACATTTTTAATGAAATGATGATGGATGTGGGCCAAACAGTGTTTTGCGGGGTGCGTGTGCATGTCCATGAACGTGTGCTTTTCCCTGGCTTCCGAAGCCTATTCCATTCCATTCTCTCCAGCTGTTATTTTTGTGAAGTTAAATCCCTTGCTTTTATGGTATTCCTGTTCAGTCATCTTCCCAAGGCCTTACAGGGTCAGGTCTGTGTTTTAAAGGGAATTGTCAGACTGCTGGAAATGGAGGAAGTTTGGAGGGAATGTTGATAAAAACGGAAATCTCTCAGACTGATGCTCCACAGTCCCTCCTTTGATGTCCAAGCAGGTTTGATTTTGTTTGGGGAAACAATTTAAGGCTGCTTTCCAACTGTCTGCATGGTTTTTCTCATCGTCCAGTCCCAGCAACAAACTAATAATCCGGGGCTGGTGACATCAAGGACTAATGCCACAGGAATCAAAGTGATGTCGGGAACTTACAGCCGGCTTCCCTTCAAGAAGAGCAGAGGCTAAAAGGAATCGACGTCATGCCAGACATGGGCGTGGCTGATGAATAATTCACAGAATTTCATAGAAAGGTCAGAGGCAGGGTTGTGGGGGGAGAAGAAGTCTCAATTTATGTGCCCCAATCTAACACTGGGAAGCATCAGAAGCCAGAGGATACCAGAACACTAAGCTAACCTGTGACCTATTAATTTATCTTATGTCAACTGCTAAAGACCATATTACTATGTTGTAATCTGTTATTTTTTAAAAAAATCAAAAAGTAAAAAGCTTTGCTTCAGCCAGTCCATGGATATGTAAGTACTGGGGACTAGTATGTCACTCCTGTGACCTGGGCTCATAATTGGAGCTGGGGAGACCAGATAACCTCACTGCAAATAGCAGAAAGCAGTCAAAGAGGCAGTGAAACACAGAGAGGATTTGATAGTATAAGTCATAATGCTGCAGGAACTTGGAGAGGGATATCGATCAGAGGGAGCAGAAGTATTCATGGAATAGGAGCTACCCAAGCCTGTGCTTATTGGATGGACTCTTCTATAGCTTATGGAGAAGTTTCAGAGGAAAGAAAGCAGCAGTGAGAAGTGAATGGCTGCAGGATGTTGAGGGATACAGAGGGGAAGGAGAAGGGAGCCACTGAAGCCAGCAAGGTGGGGTGGGGTGCAGGGATGCCTTGAACACCAGGCAGATCCTGTAGGCCCAAGGAAATAGAGCTTTCTCTAACAAGAAAAAGCAAAGAAATCAATGTTTATGTGAATTTCTACCAACATTCTGGCCACTGGCCATGGCACCAGTTATAGCAGCCTTGGCCAAGAATTGCATCTAAGCCAACAAGAGGCTAAGGTTGAAATGGAAAGGGCTCTTGCTGGAAAAGCCTGTGAGAGAGACCAGACCACAACACTGGGGAGGCAACAGAGGAAGAGGAGTAGGAGAGAAGGTGATGCTGCCTGTTCCCCAGCCCTTACCTCCCCTGGGAGGCCATGCAGTGACATCAAGTTAGACCATGGAGTGTCGCTTGCCCCAAAGCACTGGCCTGGGAACCCCAAGATCTAGGGTTTAGCTTTGACGCTGACACTGATTGGTTATATGACACGGAGCAAATTACTGTGCTGATCTAGGGGCCTCCACTAGAGGTTGGACGATCTGGGAAGTCATTTTCAACTTGAACTGTTCCAATTGCTGCAGCCACTTCGCCTTGCTCTGTTCCTAAATAACAGGCCAGAAAGAAGAGAGCAGAGCCCACTTCTTTGGCGGTGGGACCAAAGGCCACGATGAGATCTGCTATCCAAATCCATCCATATCGAGTCAGAGAAAGTGCTTCTTCATTGAGATTTCTCCACTGCCTACTAACTGAGCCTTTGTTTAAGCTGCCCCAGAGCCTTGATATCCACTTTGTAAAATGATGAAGCAATTAATAAATGGAAGTGCCTGCAGTTACGAGGGCTGGTTATCTCCTGGGGGTTGCCCTTATCCACTATGACCAGTTTATTCATCACCAGTGGCAGTGCAGGTGGGTTCACAGATCTCAGTCACCCTGTAATTTAGCTTGAGGAGCCAGAAAGCCCACGTCCCAGGTTCTCCCTGACTGTCCCCAGAGGCCACTCTCAAAATAACATCCATGTGCACTGCAAGGTTCATGGTGACATCAAGACTATAAGAAAGTGTAAATACATGTGTTAAATTTTTAGTGAACCAACAAATGAATGAATGAATAAGAGCAAATTCAGGATGGATCCTTAAACAGAGTGGATTCTGAATAAGACAGCCAGCACTATTCCATACCCAACACCTCTGCTTACTATACAGATATGGAGACAAAATATGTGAAAACTCAACAAATATTTATTGGGGCCTACTCTGAGCCAGAAACTGTCTGGGCTGGAATATAAAACAGTGAGTAAAAATGGGGAAAGTACTGGCTCCATGGCGTCACATCCCAGAGGGGTGACAGTAACTGAATCAGTTTAACACACAAATGCAACCATTTCAGAGAGTGAGGAAGACAATCCCTAATTTGGGGGATGGGAGTGGTAACGGGAAGGCAGGACAATGTAGGACAGGCAGCCAGGGAACTCCCCATGAAGGAGGTCACATCTGAGTTGAGGTCTTAATGGGGATCAGATACTCTACCTCCCAATTCTATCAATATTTAGGTCCAAATCTTCTTTTCCAGAAAGTCACTCCAAACACTTGCTTTCCAGTCTGGGCAACAAAGTGAAACTGATTCTACAAAATGTTTTAAAAATTAGTCAGGCATAGTGGCACATGCCTATAGTACCAGCTACTCCAGAGGCTGAGGTGGGAGGATCACTTGAGCCCAGGACATCAGGGCTGCCGTCAACTATGATTGCACCGCTGCATTCCAGCCTAGGCAACAGAGAAAGACCCTGTCTCTTAAAAAAAATAAATGCTTAGTGCAATTATTTCTGTATATGGATGATGGATGATGAATTTAACATTAGAATCTCAACTCAAATAAATGATGTACAATAATTATGAGAAACAAAAACAAAATACTATTTCCAGGAGAAGCACATCTCTGGGCATCCGCACATGCCCACGTGAGCAGGTCACATTCCAAACTCTTCAGCACCCCTGGAGAAACAGGACCAACAGCCCTGTCCCCTGCAGAAGTCCTGTGCAAACCACCACGCCTCCCAGAGTCACATTCTGATGAGGAAATCAGTAGCAGAAAATGCTCCCAACGGGAACCCCTTCTGTTTTGCTGATCTTGTAAATCATCTGAATTCAACGTGTCACAGGCATGTCTTACAATACACAAGATAATGCCCAGATTTTGTAGTGCAAAAGCATATTAACCTTTGTGGACTCTAGCAGGGTTCCGACAAAGAATGTCTGGTAAAAACTGCAGGGCTCATGGTAATTGCTTGCCATGCCGGTAAACGATCCAGAGCTGTGTGAAGATAACAAGAAACTGCTGAAGGCAAGTCACCTGGGTTTTATTATGCTCACCCTAAAAAATAATTAGCAATGCCTATGAAATCATACTGTGAGGAGTTTGTAGGGCTTTTTTTTCCAAGAAGGAAATTATAACCTACCTAGCTTTCCTTTGTACAAGGAGATTTAGGGGCTGTGTGTGTGTGCGTTTCCCTGACAAGCAAAGATAAATGGAAAAGTTGATGTTAAAAAAAATACCATGTCAGAAGCAACGAGAGGAGTGCTCATTGTAAACACAGCTGTTACCCCCACTCTGTCCAAGCCAGGACAAAGCCACACCCAGGAAGCTGACCCCCAAATCCTCTATGCTGCTGTGTGAAGGTGGCATCTTTGAGAAATATAACTTCTGTTTAGTTAATAAAATGTACGTTTATGCCCTAGTATATGCATATTCCATCCCCTTTTGACCGGGAAAAAAAAAAAACAATGAAAAATGTTTTCTAACTCTTCAGCGCCCACTTCCAAAATAAAGTGGGCCAGATGCTGAGACCTCACATTGCTTGGTGGCCTTGGCTTGCCCAAGGGGACTGGAAATTGTACCCAATCTTGCATAAGAGAGAAAGTTCTACCCGAAGCCTGAGCAAACCTCAAGACCAGAGGAGGCCACCAGAGCTTCTGCAAGAGGCCCGAGTGTCCCACAGGAGTCCTCAGCACTGCACACCTCAGTCCCCCTGAACTGTCCAAGGCCACCAAGCAACCCGAGGCCTCAGCATCTGGCCAGGTTCATTTTGGGAGTGGGCATTGGAGAGTTAGAAAATATTTTTCATTAGTTTTTTTCCCAGTCAAAGGGGGATGAAATACGCATATTCTAGAGCATAAACACACCTTGTATTAACTAAATGGAAGTAAAACACCACCTTCACAGAAACATGTTCATTTTCAGCACATAGACTAGATTGTCCTAGCAGTTCAGCAGGTTTTGAATCATGAGTTTGATGAGTAAAAGTCATGTTCAGATTGTTTATTCCCTGAAACTCCTGGACACTCAAATCTCCAGAGGAGAGGGTGGCTGCTTAGCACAGAAAGTGTCTGAACCTCATTGCTTTTTGCAAAGAAGGAAAGGAGCTGAGCTTTGGTTCCAGCACAGTAAGAGTGTGAGGCAGGAGAGGGCTGTCTCCTCCCTTGAGGTGGCCACAAGTTGCCTCTCTGTGGAAAGAGCTCACCCTCCAAACCAGGAGAATGGAGTGGTGTCTCATCTGCCAGGGCAGAGTTGGTCCACCTTAGGTAGTCCCTGTATTAGTCCGTTTTCATGCTGCTGATAAAGACATACCTGAGACTGGGCAATTTACAAAAGAAAGAGGTTTATTGGACTTACAGTTCCACATGGCTGGGGAGGCCTCACAATCATGATGGAAGGCAAGGAGGAACAAGTCACATCTTATGTGGATGGCAGCAGGCAAAGAGAGAGCTTGTGCAGAGAAACTCCATTTTTAAGACCATCAGATCTCATGAGACTCACTCATTATCACAAGAACAGTGCAGGAAAGACCGGCCCCCATAATTCAATCACCTCCCACCAGGTTTCTCCCGTGACATGTGGGAATCAGGGGAGTTACAGGATGAGATTTGGGTGGGGGCACAGCCAAACCGTATCAGTCCCTAACACCTCTTGGCCTCAGATCCTCATGCACTAAGTGAGAAGGCCGGGCTGCATGGCATCATGGTGTCTCACTTTGGTGAAGAGTGAGGACTTTGCAGTGACCCTCACCTACCTCCTCTGACTGTTTTTTTCGAGCACGTTAGGAGATTGTATGATCTGCCTGAGCTGCCATAACAGAGCACCACAGACTGGTGGCTTCAACAGCAGAAGCTGATTTTCTCCCAGTTCTGCAGGTTAGAAGTCCAAGATCAAGGTGCTGGCCAATTTGCCTCCTGGTGAGGACCCTCTTCCTGGCTCTTAGAAGGCCACCTTCTCATTGTGTCGTCACATGGCCTTTCTTCTGAGTTCATGAAGAGAGAGCAAAAGATCTTTCCCTCTTTCTCTTCTTATAAGGCCACCAGTACCATCAGAATGGGGCCCCACCCTTCTGACCTCATTGAACCGTTATTACTTCCTGAAAGCCCCATCTCCGAATACAGCCCCTCAAGGGGTTAGTGTTTCAATGTCTGAATTTGTGGAGAGGGACACTGTTCAGTCCATTGCAAACATAAATGTTATCATTTCTATTTCCCAGATAAAGCAAAGTTCAGAATAGCTCACTGACTGGAGATCAGCCAGCAAGAGGATGGCAGAGGAGGGCCTGAGAACCAGGGTTCCTGGCTCCAAACCCAGTGCCCGGCTGTCTAAACCACAGTGCTTTGTTTGAGCTCAACAACCGCAGGATTCTGAGCGGCCTGGGATGATCACCCTCTGCCCAGACTGTTTTTTGGGTCAGCACAAAGCAGCCCCAGGTCTTCTCCATTATAGCCCAGACCAGCAAGGGGAAGAGGGCAGCTCCATGTTCCTTCCAGCCTCTCCCCTGCTTGCCTCTTCCGTGTTGATGACTTCAGCTCTGAAAATTCCCTTTATGGCTTCAGACATCCCTGCATTACCCTGTGAGAGGCATTTCTGCATGGCCGGGGCTGATAATTTATTTACTTTTGCTAAGTGTTCCTTTACAGGGAAGGGGAGGAGGGTGGGGTGAAAGGAAGACGGGTCGCTGTCTTTGAAAAGCCAACTCATAAATGTTCAGGTACGTTCCTTTTTCTGTCGGCTAAGCAGCTTTCCCAGCCAAAAAAACAATCACACTGCTAGCATCTCCCAGGTCTTGAGAGAGCAGACGTATTTTATCTCTCCTTGGTGACGGCTCTGAGCAGCTAATGCTCTTGCATTTTAAGCTTGAATAGATTTTGGTCTCAGGCAGCTATACTTTGTTGCTCCTCCTGTAAAGGTCTTTGTGGCCCTGGAAAATAAAAGAAACAACCTTCGAGGAAGTTGAAGCCTTCCTCTGCCTCAAGGCACTTCCCTGGATGTGGCAGACACTATTGTTTGACTATCTAGAAGCCCTAATCTTTTCCTTTGCCCTCTCACATCTCCCCTTGTAGACAGGGGTGGCCCATGTCCCAGCTCTGACCAATGAGACGGAAGGGGATATCTGATGGGGAATTCTAGGAAAGGCAGGGTTTTCCTAATAGAGACTTTTGAGGAGAATGCCTGTTGCCCTGATCCATACTAATTTGGATGGATCAGGGTGACAGGCTTTTGAATATGGTTGAGATGCTTGACACCACAGCAGCAATTTTGCAGCCATGAGGCAACAAACACAAACAAACAGCCAATATTCTCAAGAGGGCAGAGTTGAAAGATGGAAAGAGGCTAGACTTTTAATGACAAATTTAAGCTGTTGAATTAACTGTGAGGTAGCTGCCTTTAGAATTTTTTGCTATGTAAACAATTTAGGTTTTTATATCATAAAATCACTATTTAATAGGATTCATGTTACTTGAGGCCAAAAGCACTCCAAACTGATACACTAGATCACAGGATTGGTACTGTTGCCAAAGAGAGTTCACCTCAACTTTTAAAAAATACTCTTAGGATTGATTCTTTTCATGATGAATCCAGTGCTGGCAAGTACCAGAAAGCAAAGCAGACCCCTGGTCACCCTTGCAAGACAAACCAGCAGAGCTCCTTCTCTCTGGAGCATCTTGTGACATCAGCTATAAAACTCTTGCATGGAATTGTATTATACCTTGGGATGACACCATACACTTACCTTGATGAATATTTTGAGGAAACTCTCTATGGCCTTCATCACCACATCCATTGTAGGGTTGTTGCTGAGGACATTGTATTACAATGTCTACCGTGTGAGGATCCTGGCATATATTTTTCTGGTTTTAGTAATAAGTCAGTCATTACCAGGCTGAAGAATATGTTTCACTGGGCCTTGAGTCATCAGAAAATTGTCCCCACTCTCCTGTTGGGATATAGCTGATACCCTGGACGAGGAAATTTCACCTAAATTGTTTTTTTTTTTTTTTGAGAGCCACCCTTTGCTGACTGAGTGTTCTTGAATTCCCTTCTTTCATAGCTGGACTGAGGATCTTCAACTCCTTTTATCCCAGACGTGACTGTCAGGGAGGGGCGATGGTGGTGATTGGAATCAAAGTGGCACCATGCCAACAAGGACTGATAGCGATTGCCCAAGTCTCTGTTTTGGGGAGCAGACAGGGGCCTGCCTCTCAGTGATAGGACACATGGAGGTTCTCATTGTTCTCAGGTGATGTCTGGGTAATGCGAAACTGATCAGATTCTGGACAGATGGACATCAGAACACCTTTACTCTGAGCCTGGGTCTAGTAACTCCTCTTATGTGATCTGACAGCAGAGAAATAATTTACAGGTGGCTGATTTGAATAGCAGTAATGCTTCATGTGTCATCAGTACAATTTCTTTGTTGTTTGCATTGGGTTCACCATGGAGACAAGGAAGAAGCAGAGAGTCTCTGGGCTCTGGAACTTCAAGAATACAATCATGTGACAGATAAGGAACCTGAAGCCCAAAACACAGGAGTACGTAGGGAGCCTGCAGTTGGCACAGAGCACTGGCCAGAGCCAGTGTTGCTTACTCCCAGTCCAGTGCTCTTCCACCATGAGGTCTCACCAGAAACAAATTCATGAAGTAAATCCTGTGTCTACTCACTTCTTGATAATGCCAGAGGCTTTAGGCAGTGAAGGGCACATTCCCCCTACGGAATGAAAGGTCTTCCTCTTCTGAGTCTTCCATACTCCCTGATGTCCTCATTTTCAGCAATCCTGACTCTTGTTAAGATGGTCTCAAAATCCCTTCATTAATCTTAACAACACTTCTCTGTTGCCCCCGTCTTGTTCCATTGTTTTCTTGGTGCATTATGTAAAGGTCATGGAGATTGATAAAAGTCACAAGATACCATATCTGAAGGATGACATTCCTGGGTAGGGATAGGAAGGTTAACATGATAGCAGAAGAGAGAGGTTTTGCAAATATGACAAGGACCCTGTGTTTTCAGAACAAATAAATGTTGCTGGAAGTAGCTTACTCAGAGACAATTTTTTCATGTGATCAGTAATTCTCATGGTAATTATCATAATAAGAGCAATATGTTTCCCTATGTCTCCTTTATTAATATGAATAAAAGGAACTCAGGAAGTGATGCAAATCAGGCCTCAGACTCTTTGTTAGAGACCTGGCCCATGTGGCCCCTGTCCTGCAATTCAAAGTCTCTTTCTGTTGAATCCTGTCTCAAAGAATATTGCCAACATTCTCCCGTTTACACAAGCCTAAAGCCAGGGAGTCATTATTTGTCTCCAATTTCCTTCATTTCTTCAACCAAGCCATTCTACCTCCTAAATTGTCCTTAAGTACTTCCCTTCCTTTTCTTCCCAATGTCGTCAGTCTGTTTCAGGTGTACTAACTCCCCTCCTGAGCTATTGCAGGTGTTTTCTGCTGGCCTCCCTGCTTCTGGGGGTATCCTTCTTTCCTTCTCATGTAGTGTCTCTGCTTGAAAAGCCGTTGGTGTCTTCCCATCGACTGTGAAACCAGGGTTTCCCAAACTTCTCCGCTGAGGCACCTTGAAAACAGAAGAGCGTACAGGGTCCTGTAGACAGAGTGGCACCCCATGTTGAGAGGGATGACACAAGTTGCAAACTGCTATTTTAAAACGGCACTTAAGGTTGGGCGAAGTGGCTTATGCCTATAATCCCAACATTTTGGGAGACTGAGGCGGGCAGATCACTTGAGGTTAGGAGTTCAAAACCAGTCTGACCAACATGGTGAAACCTCGTTTCTAATAAAAAATAATAATAAAAATAAAATAAAATGGTACTTAAAATCTGTCTTTCTTTCCAGATGGCATGTGTTTGGATCTGGTAGAAGGCATGAACATGAAGACACTATATTACATATTGTTATGAGGGAGGTTTTAGGACTGACATCATGGAAAGTGTAATAAATAAACATTGTTGGGTGAATAAGTGAAATAAAGATACAGCTACAACGTATTTTCCCAACTAAAGACACACAAAAAAGAAAGAAGTTGAAATCAGCACAATGGACTCAATGTAAGAAAAGACCCTCTGTGCAAGGCCAGGCAACATTGGCACAGGCTGCCTTGTCAACATGGACTGATTGAGAAATGTATTATTGGTCATGTAGTTTTATGCTGCAGACTCTAAGCTGAGTTAGAAACACATTTCCACATGGTAGAGTAGGACTTAAATACTCAACTTTCTCTGCCAGATTTCAGAATGCAAACACTGTGCCAATAAGCATAGCAGGGGGCCATCCCCAAACACCACAGATGATACCTGCAGATGCACACCTTTATTTTTCTCTGCTAACTCTCCTTTCCCTCATCCTTTTACAGACCACAACTTGCAGCTCACAACACAACAGGAAGCTTAAAGATGCTTTGCTTGCTAAAGTGGAAGGCTGAAAGGAGCAGAACCAGAAGAGTGCTGGAGAGATGGATGTGGGTGGCGTTTGTTTTATGTACTTACAAAAGAAGAGCTGCAAGTAGCATATGAATCTCCGGTTCAATTAGACAAACTTGTAGAGAAGAAAAAGAACTTCCTCAAGAAACTGACCACCACCCTGGAGTGGTTAAGAATTGACCACTCAACAACGCTGGATTATAGCAAATAAATTTTCACGTTAGATTGTTAAAAAAAAATAGTGAACCCTTACACAGCATTTGTTATGTGTCATGAGTTTTTCTGAGTTTTTCATATAATAGCACAGTTAATCTGTATCAAATCTTTGAGTTAGGTACTGTATATGATCTCTATTTTATAAATGCAGTAACGGTAACCCAGAGTTTGTTTGTTTTAATGGCATGGCCAAGATCACGCAGTAAGTGACAGAGTTAAGGTTTAAACCCAAAACATGTGTCTCCAGAATCTCTCCTCTAGTAGGGATTCCCTCCTAGAGGCGGGATTCTGGAGGCAAATGCACCTCCAGAACTAGTAGGTTTAAACCCAAACCATATGGCTCCAGAATCCCTCCTCTTAACTAGTAGGCAAATGCACCTCTGAAAATGAGGAGCCTAGACAGAGGTCAAGTACCCTCCATCCACCATGTCTGCTGGTAAGCAATGAACCCAAATGGATTCTACTCTCCTTTAGCTAATGATTCAAGTAAAAATAAAGAACTAAATAATCAGCCAATGCAAAGACAGTGGAACATGAGTGAAAAGAAGCAGTATTTGGAATATGAAAACGGAGAACATATTGTTAGCAAAACAACAGAGGTTCGACCTAGGTCCTGATGCCCGTAGCACAGAATACCAATCACTGAGATGACTATTTCCAGGGAAGAAGTTTTTAATCGGGTGCTGCATCTGAGGAGAATGAGAGATCACTCTCAAATGCATTTCTTTGACCAACTAAAACTGGAATTTGTATATCAGGGAAGAAATGTAACTGTGTATGGGAAAACAGAAATTAGGAAGGGGTAAGGAGTTGGTAAACAGGAATCATGATGAGTAAGGGGTCTGTCATGCCATTGACTGTACACATGATCTGGTGAGTTTCAGTCCCTGGATACCACCTGGGAGGCCTGAGCATGAGTTTCCTGAGGAATGAACTCAGATAAGGCAAAAGTAAGTTTCAAGCTTTAAGAACATGAGGGTCATTTTCTATGTTTATCCAAAAGAACAGTAAACATCAGTTCTATGGGACATTTGGGCCAGTTTCAATATAATTAAAAATGATTTTTCACAAGACTAAGTAAATTTAAAACTTAGAAGACATTAGCATGATAATCTGAGAGCTATGTAAAACAGAAAAGGAAAAATAAAGATATGGGTGCAAAAGAGAAAAGATAAAATAAAGATAGAAAAATTAAATGATAAAAATAGAGGGAAAATGTAAAGAAGTAAAACTCATTTCAGATGCACAATAGAGCCAGTGATGAGCAGAATGAGCATTGCAGAAAATGGAATCAATGAAACTGAGAAGAAACTAAAGACATACACCCTCAATACAGAGAGAAAAGAGAAAGAGGAGAGAGAAACTGACAACTAAGGAAGAAAGAGAACAGAGATCCAGCCTGAATTGATCTGGGGGAAAAGAAGAAAACCTGAATAACAGGAATAGAGGCAACAACCAAAGTAAAGTGGATCTTTAAATCAGCATCTTCATAAGAGAAGAGCTCATTGACTTCTGAAGAGAAGAGTCCCATAGATACATTGAATTTCAAGAAGAAAAAATCCAATAGGAATCCAGGGGGGACAATAGGTTTACTTCAGACTTTTCCTTCCAGTTATGAAGTAAAAAGTAAAGGAGTTGTATTTACACAGTTTAGAGGAAAGCAGTCTGTAGATCAAGAATTCTATATTCAATTAAGCTGTTACAAAATGGGAAAAGAAATGCCCCTGCTCAGAAAATATGTATCAGTTATAAAGTTTGAGAAATCTAACTTGAAAACTAAACTGAGAGATGACTCAAAACAAAGCACTTCTGAATAGAAAACTCATAGACTGAGAGACTTAGAGATAAATCTTAAAGTCAATTATATAGTATAAAAATAACTTGCAAATTTGGATTCAAATGTTAACTAAAAATGCAACAACTATTATTGATGTAGATTGATATACTGATAATCAATTTACAAATATGGGAAAGTGGAAAGAGGATGAGGGACGTAAAGCACTAAATTTCTTTTTATACTAGAAAGAGTCCAAAGATATTTTTAACTTTGATAATTAGAGAGCTACAAGCTTAAGTGTTAATGGATTAAATTAAAAACAATCAATATCAGAGATTGTGTTAAGAAAATAACAGTATACAGAATGTGAAAAAATAATGTACACGCAAAAGTTTGTGTGACCACAGAATCCACAGAAAGCCACATAAAGAGAAAGTAGGCCATTTTACCGAATTATTTGCCCAGAGAATTTTGCGAACAGTGAGGTGTGGAATCTTCTATCTGTAGCAATTTATTTCAAAGGCTGTCCTATGAAAACTCCCCAAATTAACTTCTTAAGAATTAGATTACAGGGGCATGCTATTTCCCATTCAACTGGACAGTTTGACTCCCTTGAGGAAAGTTCTACTTCTCACTGTACAAGTTTGCCCCACCCCCAAGAAGTCAAGGTCTTCTCTGTGCTCTCTGGGTACCACAGGAACGACCCTTTTCTGCTGTTCCCCTGCTTTCTGCTGGGTGAGTTTCCCACCAAAATACAAGCAGCTACACCGGTGAGAATGCTACCCCATTGTGAAGCAGATCACAACTAAGAAATCTTATTATTGAATAAACCCCCACCTTTCCCCTCTCCCCAATCTAATTTTAGGCTCTAAAAACAGTTTAAAGAAATTTGTGAAAAAGTGGAGGTAAACACCACCATCTGACTTCTCTCAAGCACACCTCTCACTCTGCTATTCTGGAACCAAGATCTATAGCAAACCTATTGGGTATCAGAAAATGATTTTACCTTCCACTGAGACAGGCTTCCAAATTACTAAGAAAAAACAAAAAACAAAAACAAAAACAAAAAAACCCTAAAACACAGTTTACATAACAAAAGAGAACAAACAGAGAAACTAGAAAAGCTGCACAAAGCAAAAAGCATAGAACTACATAATAGAGGTCAGGCACAGTGGCTCACGCCTGTAATCCCAGCACTTTGGGAGGCCAAGCTAGGCGGATCACTTGAGGTCAGGAGTTCGAGACCAGCTTGTCAGAAGCCTGTCTCTACTAAAAATACAAAATTAGCTGGGTGAGATGACATGCATCTGTAATCCCAGCTACTCAGGACGCTGAGGCAGGAGAATCACTTGAACCCGGGAGCAGGAGGTTGTAGTGAGCCAAGATCGTGTCATTGCACTCCAGCCTGGGCAACAGAGTGAAACCCTGTGTCAAAAAAATGAAAAATAATAATAATAGAATAAGAAAAAATATCATCTAAAAATGAAAAGCAAAACAACACAAACCCAAAGAACATAAAACTAGATAATACAATGAGGAAAAGCTGTGACTATAAAAATGAAAAGAACAGTTATCTGTTTTAAAGGAAAAGACTCTCAAATTTGTTTGAGTGACAAAACCTACATACTTTTGCATTACTCATTGAGTTCTTTGAGATCGCAAAGAAAATGCTTTTAACAAAGCAGTTCTCTTCAGTGATAGAGGGTCTATTTCAAAGACATAGAGGAATGTGATGTTGCCTCATCTGCTACAGAGTTACTCCGGATGCTAATGATTCCAGATTTCAGGAAAAAACAGGCCAGTAACCTTGTATCATCTGGGACAGAAATCTGAGATCTAGAGATCTAATTTACAATACATAACGAATTAATGAACAGTCAGGAAATTTTGTTTCCAAACGAAAAAGCAAACTACACAAATTAAAGCAACAACATCAACAAAATCTGTTAGAAATATCAGCAGAAATGAATGGAAATCCAATACTGATGTGAGCTGTTAAGACATTACCATGTATATATCATCCCATGATGAATAAAGAAGATAAGATATAAATATGCACAAAAAGAATTTTAATAGAAAAATTTCTAAGTATCATACCAATTTTATTGACAAAATGATTCTGAAGTTCATCTGAACAAAAAGAAACAATTTAAAATTTCTGCAAAATTCTGCCAGGCATGGTGGCTGACATCTGTAATCCTAGCACTTTTGAAGACCAAGGCAGGTGGATCACTGGAGCTCAGGAGTTGCCCAGCCTGGGCAACATAGCAAGACTCCGTCTCTACAAAAAATATAAAAATTAGCTGGACACAGTGGTGCGCACCTGTGGTGCTGAAACAGGAAAGGTCCCCTTGTCTTCCCCGCAGGGCGTGTGATGGGGATGTGGCTCACTTCTCCAGTGCCCGCTGCTCAAACCTCTAGGGGAGCACACGGACAGGCAGGCTGTGGGGCTCCAACCCCATGGCAGTGTCTAGGGGTGAATGTTTACAGCTGAAGCCCCAGTGGACGTGTGTTACAGGGTACTCTTTCAGTTTAGCCGTCCATAGGTGGCTTGTGTTAGCTCAGTTAGACCTTTGCCTTATAGCAAGGACAGAAGGTTTTCTGTATCCCTGGGTTCTTGCCTTGGTGCACCGGAGGAATCGGATCACCTGTGGGCTTGGAGAATGAGTGCAAGGTTTTATTGAGTGGAGGTAGCGCTCAGCAGATGGGGGAACTAGAAGGGAGATAGTTTTCCCCTGAAGTCTGGCGACTCAACGGCCTGGGCTCTCCTCCGACTGCCCCAGCCAAACTCCATGTCGTTCCGCTGTGTTAATGGCCTGCCGCTGTGCCTGTTGATGTGTTCTTCCACCGGCGTGCTGCTCTCGATGTCCTCTCAATGTCCAGGTTCTTGTGTCTTCTTCCACTGATCTACTTCTCACGACGTCCAGCCGCTTGTATGTCTGCCTGCTGGAATCTTGGGGGGTTTTATAGGAACAGGATGGGGGCGTGGCAGGCCAGGGTGGTTTTGGGAAATGCAACATTTGGGTACGAAAACAAAAATGCCTGCCCTCGCCTAGGTCCGTGGGCACAGGCCTGGGGATGGAGCCCTAGCCAGGGACCCACCCTTCTCCTCCCAGCACTTCCCTGCCCCACTTTCATATCAGTGCCAGCTACTCAGGAGACTGAGGCAGGAGGATGGCTTGAGCCTGGGAAGTGGAGGTTGCAGTGAGCTGAGATCACGCCATTGCACTCCAGCCAGGGTGATGAGAGTGAAACCCTATCTCAAAAAACAAAAACATTCTACAAAATTCTAAAAGAGTAATGAGAAGAAACAAATATTAAAATAAATCCTAAAGCTGCAGTTATTGAAAGTGTGTGGAATTGGTGGATGAATCAAAGAAAGATTAATGAAATACAAGAAACTGCACTGAAAATACCATATATGTAATACTTTTTAAATTTATTTACTATCAAATATATCCACTTTGTGTAACAATAAAATTTATTTGATATTTAATAAAAATATGTAAGTAGATATATTAATGAGACAAGCACACTAGTAGTATATTTTAATATTTAATGAATTTAATATAATTTAATAAAATATAATAAAGGAAGCAATCACCAATGCAACAAATGATAATGAAGAAAAATACCTAAGGCTGTGGAGGAAAATATCAATTTAAATTCCCACTTCACATTAAATGCCTGACACATAATAAGGGCACAATATATATTTGTTAAAAGAAGAAATGAATAAATGAGTGAATAATATATTAAGTTCTAGATGGATTAAATACTTGGCAAACCATAAAGCACTAGAAGAAATTACAAACATATATTGTATCAATCTCTAACTGGGAAAAGCCTTCCTAAACATAGAAATGATGGATGAGAAAACAAAAGAAACATTCACTAACACTGATTCTATGGTAGTTTAAATCTCTCTCTATCAAAAACCACCAAACTAGGAAAATAATTGCCACACAAATATGGCAAACAATGGATCAACATCTTTTATTTCTAAGAGGCTCTTGCAAATCCAAAAGACAGAGACAAATACTCCAGTGGAACTCAAGCAAGAACTTGAGATGATTCTCAGAAGTAGGAAGACAAATGAACAATAAATGTATGAAGATAAGTTCAACTTCATTTGTTATTTAAGAAATGAAAAATTAAACAAAAACACAAGAATAATTCAATGTTTAAACATTCTGTCAAGAACCCTCATCTCCAAAAAATGTACATATACATAAAATTTGACACACCATTGTAGGGTCTTAGACCTGTACATGTCATGCCAACAACCAGGGGAACCTAGATTCAGAATTTCTATAACTTCATGCTAACCGACGGATAGCGGAGATGCAGAAAGATGGACATTTTATATACTGCTGGTAGAAATATATATTTATACATTTTTGAAAACCTTTTGATAATATGTATTAAAGGCCTCAAAAAAATATATAATTTATTCTTGATATAAATACTTTTTAAGAAAGTCTCAAAATCTGTTAAGAGCACAGTGATATATATGCAAAGATGTTCATTATAGCATTATTTATATTAACAAAAAATGTTAGTTAGTTAAATTCCCAAAATAAGGAAGAGTTTAAATAAATTATGTTACATATTTAAGACAGGTTATTCCACCATAATAATGTTTTTCAAGAATATTTGACATGGGGAAATACAAAGGATGTATTATGTTGACACAAAAGTAATTGCAGTTTTTGCCATTACAAGTAATGGCAAAAACTGGAATTACTTTTGCACCAAACTGATAATATGTAAAAGGAAAATGACATATATTTTGCATAAGAATAACTGCATTAAATACACATACATGGGAAAAACTACGAAGAAATATACCAAAATGTTAATTATTTTGGTATGAAGAAAAATGTGTTTTCCTTATTCTTTTCTTTTCTTTTTTTTTTTTTTTAAACAGAATTTCTCTCTTTCGCCCAGGCTGGAGTGAAGTGGCGTGATCTTGGCTTGCTGCAACCTCTGTCCCCCAGGTTCAAGCAATTTTCCTGCTTCAGCCTCCCAAGTAGCTGGGATTATAGGCGCGCGCCACCATGCCTGGCTAATTTTTGTATTTTTAGTAGAGACATCGTTTCACCATGTTGGCCAGGCTGGTTTCTAACTCCTAACCTCAGGTGATCTACCCATCTCGACCTCCCAAAGTGCTAGGATTACAGGCGTGAGCCACCATGCCCAGCCCTTCCTTTTTCTTTTCTAAAATGAAAATACATTTTACATTTGACACACACAAAAAAAATATGAAAAATAGAAAGGACTATGGAAACATGGTTTCAGTAAGAAAATTCAGAACCAGACTTTGAAATAAAGAGCCATGGCTTCAGCAGACATCAGTGAAAGTGAACCAGCCCTCCAAGTCCTCCCTGGAGAGAATGTTTCACAAAGGATGTTCGGCGCTCCGTGCCCCTGAGAGACAATGCCACATCAGGCGCTCGGGAGTGACCGTCTACTTATATCCAGGGGCAAGAATGTCTGCCTATTTACTTTGAGATAATCTAATATATACTTCTTCTGTTTCTTTGTTTTTTCTTTGGCGAATTGCATATTTGTGGTGAAAGACATTCCTGTCTAGGTTTTCTTGGATTCAGATCTGAGACAGTAAACACAAAGCATTCAGTAAATCAAGAAACGTTTTTTGAGGTCTCTACCAAAGACAGTACTAGTCACTTGGGAAAAAAAGACACATATTTGCCCTCAGGGGGTTAAAATATTGTGGGAAGCCAAACCAAGCTAGAATCCTTGGTGACATAAAATATGGTGATTAAACACTCAGGCTTTCGAATAACATGCTCAGTGATTGGAGTCTCCGTTTTATCAATGTCTGCTTTGTGATTTGGGGAAATTTGCTTAAGTTCTCTGAACCTCAGTCTCCTTAGAGGTAATATAAGGTATAACAGTGCTTACTTCATAGGGATGTAGGTACAGCTGAGATAATGTGCATTGAGATAATGTCCAAGTGTTCATTTTGTCTTCTTGATCCTATCTGATCACCCTAATTTCAAACTAGTGTGTCCAATTAGGTACCTGGAACACATCACCCTTTTGGTGTCGAGTTCTTGTAATGGACTTATGTTTTGTGTAGGGTAATTAATGTTTATTGAGCATCTGCTTTTTACCATGCACTGTGTTACAACTTTAGAGCTGTTGTATGGATAAAACTTATCATTGCCAATAGACCATGTGTACTACTGGTATACTCACAGCAATTATAGTTGTTGTTGTCATGAGCAACTCAAAAATTTCAATGGCTTAACAAGTACATCTGTATTTTTCATTCACATTACAATCCAAGAGTTTAAGAATTCAGTAGAAATTATTCTATGTGGTGATTTGGGGATCCTCCTGTGTATGAGGCCGTTCTTGCATTGCTATAAAGAAATACCTGAGGCTGGGTAATTTATAAAGAAAATAGGTTTAATTGGTCACGATTCTGCAGGCTTTACAGGAAGCATGGTGCTGGCATCTGCTTGGCTTCTGGTGAAGCCCCAGGGAGCTTTCAATCATGGCAGAAGGTGAAAGGGGAAGCCGGCACCTCACATGGCCAGAGCAGGAGCAAGAGAGAGAATGAAGGGCATGGGCCACATTCTTAACCAGATTTCATGAGAACTCACTAATGCAAGGACAACACCAAACCATGAGGGATCCTCCCCATGACCCAGTCACCTGCCACCAGGTCCCACTTCCATCACTGGGGATTACAATTCAACATGAGACTTCACAGGGACATATATTCAAACTATATCACCATGCCACCCATTTTGTGGTTCCATCATCTTATAGGGCCTCCCTAAGTCCTCGGCTGAGACCTCTCTGCATTCAGCCAACCAACAGGCAAAGGAAAAAAAAAAGGAGGACAAGGAGTGCCTCACCTCCAGGCCTGAAGGAAGTGGTGTAGTGGTGTACCTCATTTTCATGGACATTCTGGAAAGAATGGGAGAAAGACAATTTAGCCTCCCTGCCTCCCTGCAAAAGAGCTTCCTGTTCCACAAGACATCATAACTGAATCAGGCTGAAAATAATAATTGGATGTAGTTTCACTCTGTCACCCAGGCTGGGGTGCAGTGGTGCGATCTGGGCTCACTGCAACCTTTGCCTCCCAGGTTCAAACAATTCTCCTGCCTCAGCCTCCTGAGTAGCTGGGACTATAGGCATGTGCCACCACACCCGGCTAATTTTTGCATTTCTTAGTAGAGACGGGGTTTCACCATATTGGACAGGCTGGTCTCAAACTCCTGACCTCATGATCCGCCCACCTTGGCCTCCCAAAGTGCTGGGATTACAGGTGTAAGCCATAGCGCCTGGCCTAGAATTCTTTATATGCTTTACCTTAACTGGGGGCTCATGAACAAATTTTAATTCAGTTACCAAAAATAAAGATTCACCCTTTTTGCATGTCTGAATCACAGTGTGGAAATTTTAACCCTCCGCACTGCACTATATCTCTAGAGCCTCAAAATGAACCTGTGAGGTATGTATTATTAGACACATGAGGACACTGGGTATCAAAAGTTTGGGAGAAAATTATACGGGTAATATTGGGCATGACCAGTACCAAACCCAAGAGAGTCTATCAACTGTCCATGTTTTTTCCAACTATTCCAAACTATTCTCAATTATTAAAAGTAATTTAAAAAATTAGGCTATTAATCAATGGTTCCCATTTGGTTTGCAAAAGCATCACCTTTATCATTTGAGTATATTAATTAGACTTTAGGAAGAAAGTTCCGCAATCTTTTTACCCAAATCCTCAAGCCTGATCCCTGACTCTCAGGCCCAAGACCCTGTAAAGCATCTACTGGTATCATCAATTTACCCATGGGCTGGGAGAGAGGGAAAGGCTCACATTGCTAACAATCTGAAGAATGAACTTCTAGGAAGATGAGGCCTCTGACCTAGGATTTCAAGAGAAGAGGAGCAGATGACAGATTAGAAGAACAAGCAGCTGGTATAGCTTTGGAGAGTGCTCATGACATAAAATGTACACCCATAAGCCACAAAATTGTAAGGCTGTCAAGATGTTAATTAGCTATGTTTATTTTAGTGAATATTATGTCCAAAAAAAGTTTATTGTTCAATCAGGACTGGGAAATGCTGGTTTAAACAAAATAAAACAGATTTCCAATACTGTAGCTTGTTAATAAATTGTGTACCCTGATAATATTCAAGAGGTAAATAACACAGTATTTTTCAAAACTATTTGGCTACTGAACCATTTTATCTACAGATCATCTCTTGGGGCTCATATACCACATATGCCCCCATGGTCTCCAGGCCGTGCTGTGATCCCAGCTTTTGCAGATGAGAGAGAGAAAAACTCAGAGATGTTTGCCCTGGTTGTGCCAGCAACCCAGACATGATGAAGCTCTCAGCTATAACCCTTAGAAAACACAAGCCAAGAAAACCTAGGTAAATACTTCAACATTTTCACATGAATCATAATACAGTACGGTTTTCACACTGATTAGGTCTGTACAAATTCAGAACTTGAAATGCTTTGAGTCGTGTATACTCAGCATTTCTTCCAAGCAACTTGCTGCTACTTCGGTGGGAAAACTAGTCACAATAATTCAGCTAATTAGTCACTAAGCTAATTATTCTGCACATTTTTTAAAACCTGCTTATTTTTCTCTCTTGTTAGAGAGAAAAAAATAGTGTACAGTTAGTTACAGAGCATTGTTGCATCTGTTTTAATCAGGAGGTAAAGTGACTTGAAAGTCTTATGATATAATGATGTAATTTCTAAGCTATAAATTTTTACTATCAAGTCAAAAACGGTCGTTTTGAACCTACATAGTTTGTTAGCTCTTGAGTTACAACTTCTATCCTATGGCAACTTATACCCTCTATGAATGCCAAATTTTTATATCCTAGGGTTGAATCTTACACATATAATTTGTCTTATGGATTCTATTCTATTTTCTCATTTACAAAACACACTACCACCTCCCCTCAACAGGGTCTAAAGTTAAAAACACACATGCAATGGTTTCCTCTAAAGAAGGGAGGCCTGCAATGAATGGGAGAAATTCAATTGTTTTCTTGGTTTTCCTCACACAAGACATGAGAGGTATGCAGAGATGGTTTTTTAATATTCATCAAAGGCCTTGGAACCACGATCCCCATTCCACAACGTCTAGAAGATTTACGGAACTGGAAGTTCTCTGCTCAAGTTTCCTGGAAGCCTCTGTTCTATGTGATCAGGAGAGAAGGAAATGTAAATTCTGTATATTCCTTTGATTATTAAGTGATGTGGGTGCGGTCTGGCAAATTGCATGCTAGTAGCATTCGCCTCTTTTTTTAAGACTGAGGCTAGAAAATCTTAAATTGAACTTCCAGGCCATGAGGTGGCAAAAGAACATTTGCAAATGATTTGTAAATAGCACTCTGATGAAGAAAAGTTTCTAAAGAGATTCAGTTCAATCTAACAAGTGTGTCTTTGTGCTCAAGTCTTTCTCAGGAGCTGTACTAGGGGCTGTAGGGGCTGCAAAAAGTGAAGGCGAGGGTGAGACATTGGCTTTGTAGTTGCAGCACTTAGAATCTAGTGGAGGGAACAGGACTTAGCATGAGGAATAATTGGAGCTTAGCACAAATGCTCAGGAGTGTGGAGTAGACCAGTGCTCAGTGAAGGAGGAGGGGGTCCACGCACACGGGGTCTGGGGAGGTTGATGGTGGGCAGAGCTTGGCAGAAAGGAGAGGTGAGGGCATCTCCCAGTGAGCACAGACTCACAGACAAGAAAGGGCACGATGTAACCCTCCCCTACCATTGATTGCTTCTGGAACTCTATCACTAATGCCCACTGTAGGCACAAATCACACAAAACACCATGTCAACACTCACTCATGCAGCTCATACTTTATCTGCAAAGGTTGACATGAAGAACTGTATTCTCCAGTCTCCTAAGAAAAGACACCTGTGGGTCCCCTGTAGAACACAGGGGGATGAGACGTCAGGCAGCCCAGTGGTCTCCACTTGTACTCATCTCTATAGTGTTGTTTTACCTGTATCACAGCACCTTAGGGAGGGGGTTCCAGGAACAGGAAAGCTAGCAAAGACTGTCTCCTATCCCAGGCACCTCCCTCCCATCTGATGACATGCAGAAGATACCCCCTTCCTTGAAGGGCCAACCAGCCTCTGCTTACCACGTTTGAGAATTAATTTTGTGACTGAGTGAATAAACCAAGGAACAAACAAAGAGACACAAAACTGTTCTTTTCTCTGCTGAGAGCGTAGGACTTGGCAGTCCTTTTGTTAGAGAGGGAAGCTTCGTCCCACGTGATTTCGCTAAGCCTTCGCCCCAAGATACTTCCTCTCCTGCCTCCAACACACAAAACCCCTTTTTCCTAGGGGAGCCAAACCAAAGAACCCCACATATTCTGAAGCCCCAGATGTGGTTTCACAGCCACACCAAACAAGGAGCCTTTGGAAGGGGTGGCCCTGAGAAACCAGACCAGGCTCTTCTCGAAGCATATTTGCCTCCTTTGGTCTCCAGAGATTGATTTCCACTTTGCAAGGAGTCATTATAAAAACCTCGGGATGGTCAAAAGGGGTTCTGACCTCCACTGGGTATGGGGACAACAGTGGGTGGGGTGGCCACAGAAAGGACGTAATATAGCTCCCTGGGGAGTGCTCACCCCTCTCCCTCCCCTTTCCCCCTCTGGCTTCTCTTCCCTCCTGTCTCCTCTCCCTCCCTCTTCTTTCTTCTTCTCTCTCCCCCTCCCCCCACTTGCCTATCCCCCCCAGCCTCTCTCTCTCTCTCTCTCTCTATTTCTCTCTCTCCCTCCCTCTCTCTCTCTCAGGCCTGCCATGCAGCAGCAGGGGTCACTGTGCACCAGCGGGAGGAGCCCAGCTCACAGCTCCATGCAGGACCAGCATCAGGATGAACTCCTGGCCCTGGCCCTGCCTGCAGACAGGAGGCCAAGGCCAGGCCATCATGCTGGTGCTGTCTGTCTCCCTATGCCTCCAGAAGTAATTACCTTTGCAGAAAAGGGACTGCAAAAATAATCCTGTAGACATCATGCGAGGACAGGTAAGACAGAGCGCTCTGCAACCTAAGCACACATCTGATCATAGAGGTAAACGAACCAGAGATAAATAAAACTCATCCTCAACCACTCACGAAGTACCCTCTGACCCCTGCTGTGGCATCTTAACCCACACCATGTCCTGAACATCCTTTCTCGAATGTTTGCTCTTGACCCAGTCAGCTCCTTCTAAGGCAAGGATTCCCTTTGATGAGGGTTCCAGCCCCCAAGGTCACGCACCACAAGGCTGGGAGGGTCCTCAGAGACCAGCACCCGCCCAGTAGTTTTAGTCCTGGATTCATGAGGGCTCCCAGGCCCTGGGTCTCAGAAGCTTCTGAGGTGGGAGAGATAGAACCCTGGGAGTGGGCCAGGTCTCTGCCAGAGATTGATTCAAGTGAATTTGGGTTTCCCAATATTTCATTTTTTAAGCCTCCTTCTGTTCATGCAAAACAAAACAAGCAAAAATTGAAAAACACTGTCCTAGCTCAACAATTTCCCATGTGGATAGAAGTTTCAGGGAGTTCAGCACCCTTCCCATTATCACACAGCCTGTGTTGGCCACCTGGTCCGTCAAGGTGGAGGGGAGCAGGGCAGGTGGAGTGAACTCAGGAGAGGAAAATCAAACAGAATGGCAGCCCAGGAGCCCCAGAGGGGCAGAGAGCCAGGTTAGAGGCATACACATGGGTGCTTCTGGGCTCCCTTGAAGCAGGCCACCCTCGGCCCCCAACCTGGCCCACACTCTCTCCGCACCTCCGTCTGTCCTCCTGCCCGCATCATGAGTGCCTGCCGTTATATTTGCCATCCACTGGGTGTCCTGCAAGCAGTGACTGTGGACACGGTGCAGAGATGTTCGTGGTGGGTTCTAAGTGATACAGGCTTCTGCCTGAGCAGGATCTCAGCTGCTGGAAGCCCCAGTAAGACTAATGGGCAAGGTAAATTATTTTCTCTTCTGCTGAAGCACAATTTTCTATCCATTTCCTCCTTTTGACGTGTACAGTAGGATAAAAAGAGAGGAGGAGGAAGGCAAGGGGGGAGAAGGGAATGGAAAACACTTAGACTTTCAATGGAGGCTCATTTTGGTAAAGTAACCCAGCGTCCCCATGGACCTAGAGAATTAAATGCTGTCACTCAGATCTGAAAGCAGAGTCATCCAGTTTGCAGACACCTGTCATAATTAAACTAATGGCTCTGAAAATGTGCCTTGATATTAAATCTATCTTCCACTGAGGAGCAGAGCTGATTAAAACCACCATTTGACAGTTAATGATGAACCTCTCACTGACTGGGCTCTGTGACTGGAACCGGCCAGTTGAGGCTGTCCTCTGCCCCTGCTTCTATCAGAGACCTGCCCCTTCCTTCTCCCTCCACCCAAAGGCAGCACAATCCCCAGGCCCTTCCTTCCCTCTCTTCTAGAAACTGGGGTTCCTCTCTATACTCTGACCTCACACCACCCCTTCTCCATTAGTGGGAAAACAGGGATTCTCAGTGGAGAGGTTGTGTTTTCAGTGAACACTGAGTTATTGTGTGGCCTTCAGGAGGCATTGCTGTGCAAATTGTCTGTAGGAGTAGGAGAGGCCCTGCCCTGACTTCTGGTACCTTCTCTAGAAAACTGAACTTCCAACCTTATCTATAGGAGAAGCTAAACTCTGCCCTGTCGTAGAGTCAGAGACTCAGAAGTTACAAGGTTGCAGGGTTGATTATCTTTCCCTGTAATTAGGTGTTGGGGCCTATGGTCAGACAAAGTCGTTTACAAGTAGAACTGTCTTTTGAGAAAGTGACATATTCCAAACAGATTATTTGGAAATGTAACGATGCTGCCTATTTATACACAGCTACTCTCTCTCACCAGTGAGAGACCTTTGATACCAGATTCCTCAGAGGGAGACGCTAGGAGAAAACAGTTCCAGGCCCTTCTGTCCTCTGGTCTTCAGTTTCTCTTACAAAAATGAGAACCTATGAAATTTCCTCAGACGGCTTTTCTGCAGGCCACAGTCCAGAATTTTGTCCCAAACAGTGGCTCTAACACTTCTTAACGAAGTGTTGTTCATATTTCAGATTATTTATCATCACCAGGGACACTGAGTTTATAACCTTCCTCCTCTCAACACAGGGTGGAGATTCTCAAGAACAACTAGTTGACCTCAGTATTTCCTCTCTTCTGGTACTCCAGAGCTTAATGGCCAAATAGAAATCCACAATATATCTTCCTGCTTTATCCTGGCATGACATTCAAGATCCTTTCAGAAGCGATTCATGCTCTGTGCCCTATCCTTGGCTCTTCCACACTCCCATTAAAACCCACATTTGCCTTCCCTGCAAAGGGCTTCCCTGCCTGGAGCCCTGCAAGTGCTTGCTATACCTCTGGGTCCACCAAGATCCAGAGGGTGGCTGGAGACATTACAAGGAAGAAGAGAGCTCCATCCTCTCCAGTCCTCTCTGTTCAAAATTGGAGCAACCCTAAAGCAGCAACTCCTAATTAATCCATCAGCAAATGATGATCTAAGTAATTACACTGAGTTGTGAGTCCCCCCAATTATCTGCACATTGTACATAAGTCTCTGTTGATGGTTTGCTTAATTGTTTGATTGACTGATTTATAGTGTTTTATTTTTTTCAGAACACTATTTTTTTTTTTTTTTTTTTTTTGTAGACGGAGTCTCACTGTGTCACCCAAGCTGGAGTGCAGTGGTGCGATCTCAGCTCGCTGCCACCTCCACCTCCCGTGTTCAAGTGATTCTTCTGCCTCAGCCTCCTGAGTAGCTGGGACTATAGGCGTGAGCCACCACGCTCAGCTAATTTTTGTATTTTTAGTAGAGACAGGGTTTCACCATGTTGCCCAGGCTGGTCTTGAACTCCTGACCTTGTGATTCGTCTGCCTCGGCCTCCCAAAGTGTTGGGATAACAGGCGTGAGCCACAGCGCCTGGCCCAGAGCACTCTTAAACATTTCCTTGGATTCTTACACCAACCCTGTGAGATAAATATTTCCCTATTTTATAAATGAAGAAGTGACTAGGTAAAGTGGCATCTTCAAACCCACAGGACCAGTGAGTGGAAGATCAGGGACTGGAACTCACGTTGTCTGACTCCCTATGGAGGGCTACTGTCAGGTCCCTGAGGCCCCAAATGAGCTTGAGCTGGGTACCCAGTTTTTTATTAGGAATTTACAGTATTAAAAAATTGTATGACCAGTTACTGATCTCCAAAAGACAGAGCAGATTTCTCACAATCTTTCCACCACAGATCCATATTCTGGAGATTTTTTTTTCCAACTTCTTTCTATGTGAATTTCCTTGTTGGACTTTTTAAAATTCCCATTTTTCCTCCATCCGCTACAGGCAGAGTTTGGAGGTATTGTTAAGAGTTTTATTTTCTCTTCCTTACCTGCCGCTTCATCACTATTTTCTGCTTCTATTAAAATTCATGATTGATTGAGGTAAATGCCTGTTAAATTGATCATTCAAATTATGTGTGTGTGTGAGAGAGAGAGAGAGAGAGCTGTAAAAGGCAGGCAAAGAACATGAAATCTACAAAGTGGAAGATACAGAGGGGGAGCAGAGATTCCGAAAGAAAGAAAATGAGGCTAAAGAGAGAAAATCAGGGAGAGAGGAGAGACTGGATGGCAGAAGGAAAGACAAAGACTGGTAAGAAGAAAGCTCTGCGTTCCTCTGGCTTCCCCCAGACACCCTGAGGTCAGATGCCTTCCTTGCACAACATCCACACGCGCACACGTATGCGCACGCACACACACACACCCCCGAGGCTGTCACATTTTAGAACACCATTAGGAAAGTGACACCTAGTTGAAGGAGTCCCCTGTCCAGCCACCCAGGCCAACACTCCTGTCTGACCCCTCCCCTCCAAAGGCCGATCCTCCGGTGTTGAGTGACAGAGGTTCCCTCTCCCTGATCGAAGTGGAGCCTCTAATTGTGCTGAGCAGCGATGCCAGGGATGCCCGGGCAGCCTCATGTCTCTCGCTATCATTAGCTTTCTTACCAGGCTCTGAAGCCTTCCACTGCCACAACAGTAATTACCAAGAGATTAGGCAGGCATTAAGCACTCCTTAATTTGACACATTGCAATGATCTCCATTCAGCCTTTCTGCTCGAATAACTCTCAACAAATATTTCAGAGGCTACCAAAATAAACAGAAGCACTGTGTTTGCACAGCTGAGGCCTCCTTCCTCCTTCTCTAAATGCCATCAATTCCAGGTAGGAGGCGAGGTGGGGGGCAGTGAGAGGATGGGTGGGTAGGGTGCAAGGGGAGGGTGGTGGAAGAGGGTGGCACCACCTGCTGGGCCCTAATATAGCCTGAAAAACCCAAGTCCATACAGCGGGAAGCAATCAGTAAAGCACTAACATATGGCCTGCTACAACTGATGGCAATTTAATAGGGCCCATTTTTTAAGCAAGTCGTTATACGAGAACCTAATAAAAAGACATCAGTATTTATATAAAAACCACCGCTTTAGGAAAAAATAATAATTACAGTGAAGGGAGTTGTGTTGTTGTTGCTGGAATTTTTTTAGTGGGTTATTAGCTCAGACATTATTCATTAGGTAATGCAATGGGAAAACCACTGTTAATATGGCAATAAATCCCAATGGGATCATCTCATGGAAGATAGGATCATTTGGCAATTACAATGCACTGGAAGTTCAATATTCCCTTTCATGCATTCGTTTCTTTTTCCTACTCCCTACCCAAACATTTATGCACACACCCCTTCCTCAACTAACCTAAACTGGGAGTCACTGGAAGGGCAGAGGAGGCTGGTTCAGCATCCAAGAATCTCCACGTCCCTCTGAGGCAAGACGCAGGACAGATAAAATGATATCCATGCAAAGTAGAGAGGAACTTGCAAAGAAAAGAGTAAACCTCAGTATTGCCAGAAATCCGGTTATGGATATAAATGTTTATGAGAGGGATGTGGGCTGATTAACAGTGTTATTAGATGAGAAAAGAAGTTCAAGAGCCACTAATAAAATAAAAGAGCCACTAATAAAATAATCAAGATTTTTTCATCATAGATAGATGAGAAAGGCGAGAGTCAGAAACTGGGATCAAAGTTATTTTAACTTGGCATTTCCCACCCCTGAGAGACATGTCTGCCACCCACATAGCCCTCAACAACAGCAGCCCTGCTCTTGGTAAGGTCAGGGATCTCTGGTCAGCAAGTGGGTCCAGGAGGCCATCGTGGACATATGGAGTTCTTGTCTTCCGTGCCAGGAGTTTGGCTGCTAACAAAAGAGAATTGTGACTCTGGGTGGCCTGGGTTCTTTTTTCCCTCTTGGATGGACATCAGCATTAAACTTCTTTATAGATGACAAGGAAAAGCCATAGGGTAGATAGGACGAGAGACTCCCATTTATATGGGGCATCTGGCTCTTACGTATGCCTCTTCCCCAGGGCTCTTCAACCAGGGACGATGGTTACTCAACACTCAAATACTGCTTAAATATAAAGAGTAATACCTTAGATAATGAGACAGCCAAGTGAAAAGGGCTGCCTGGCAGAACCTCTGACCGGCCTGTGCACTGGGAGGAATATGCACTGGGGTGGAGTCTGTGGAAGTTTAAGCCATTTGCAGAGGAGAGGAGCCTGGCCTCTCCTGCTCTGGGGTGGTACCTGGGATTCAATCTGTGAGGCAAGAAGCCAGCTAACAGGACTCTAGCTTTGCTGAGAGTCCCTGTTTCCCTTTTTTTCCTGTTCGACCTATCCTTCTCACCCATCAAAGTGTCTGCAAGCCTAATCTTTCATGGTTGTGTGACAAGGACCCCATTTTTAGCTGAACTAAGGAGAAAGTTCTACAACAAGAAGGAATCAGCAAACTATGGCTCATGGGCCAAATTCAGCTCATAGCCTGTTTTCAAATTAAGTTTTAACAGAACACAGCCACACTCACTAGTTTACATATTGTCTATGACTGCTTTCTTACAATAATATGATAGAGTTTAGTAGTCACAATAGAGATCGTATGGCTCCAAAACCTAAGATATTTGCTAACTGGCCCTTTACAGAAAAAGTTTGCTGACAGATGGATGAATGAGTAAGTGAATGAATAAATGAAAAGATGAACAATCTAGAATGAGATTCTACATTGAATGGGTTTATAATTGTGGGAATGATTTTACTCAATAGTGCCAGTGGCCTCTATAAACGTTTCTAAAGGGACATATCATATCATAGGGACCTGCTCTCGGTTCTGTCCATTTTAGTACTTTTTCAATGACTTTGGACAAGACATAGATGGAAAGTTTATTGGATTTTTAAATGATGGAAACACTAATATGGATAATAAGTATATTGGATGAGAGATCCAATATTCAAAATAACCTTGACAGGCTGGAACAAGGGACTAAGCCCAACCAAGTGAAATATAAGGGATAAATGCAAAATCTTATGGTTGGGTCCAAAATGTCAACCTCTCAAATGCAGAACTGGGTGAGAGTCGGGAGAGAAAAACATGCCTCAACAGCAGCATTCATGAAATGACTTTTGGGGTTTGATAGACATGTCAACACCATGGTGGATAAGGCTATCCCCAAAATAAACTTTATTCTCACGCTAAGATGTTTTTATACAGAACAGGTAAGATAAATTTTACTTGTGTACTCACTGGTAATATCTCCTCTGAGTACTCAGGCCATACTAAAAGTCTTTATTCCTATAGCAATAACAATAATATATTAAGTTAGTGAAAATTGTGGAGTGTTTACTTTAAGCATGATGGCATATTTAATTTGTATTATCTCTTTAAATTTTACATATTTTGGCTTCAAAATTTGAAGTGGGGGCTGTTATGTCCCCATTTTATAGTGGAGGAAAATTGTAGAAGTAAGGTCTCATAACTAGTATGCATGAGGCCAGGAATTAAACCTACACCATACAGCTCCAGGTCCCTAATGCTCAGGTGCTCCTAACTACTAGGGTGCCCAGGTGCTTCATATTCCCCTACTCTGAGGTTGCCTTTCCAGGTAGTCATTGGAAAACCAAAGTGCCTCCCAAGGTGAGTTACCAAAGTGGTAAAGAAAAATTGAAAACCTTTTGTAGGCAAAAGAAGGTTGAAAGAGGTGAGACACTTAGGGTGCAGGAGGGTTGGGTTGTCCTTCAGCTGAGTGCAAACGCAGTACTGAGCTAACTGCAGCCCCTCTCCCTAAGCCAGATCACACCGACCTGTGCCTTCCAGCTCCTCACACTCATCCACACACAGCCATTGCTAATGTGACTGGTCAGTGCAGCAGGCTAGACTAGCTGCTTTCTAAAAACCCCATCTAATTCTCTGTAGGTTATAGCATAAGGCATAAGTGTTTATTTCTCCCATAGGTCACTGGAGAGGTGGTGGAGGCCCTTCCACTCAAAGCCCTTCAGAGGCCCAGCATCCTTCTATCTGGAAGCTCCACTTTTCTCTTCAGAACCAGCACTTCTAGGGCCTTGGAGCTTTCTGCATTCAATATAGGAAAAGAAAGATTGGCTTACACAGGGAAGGTTTTCAGAGGGTAGGCCTGCAAGTGGGTTCATCACTTCCTCTCATGTCCTATTGGCATGTTCATAACCAGTAGGGAACCTGTTACCAAAGTGGTAAAGAAAAGTTATAAACAAACAACAACAACAAAAAAAAACAGTGGACCAGCTGTGTCTCCCCAAGGAAGAGGAGAATATGGGTGCTGCTGAGTGCTAGACTTTCTTCCTACAATTAGAGCTCTGGGATATTGACTGGCCACAATCAGTGGGCCATCAACCAGTGCCAGTACTATCCCTCAATTCCTAATGGTGGATACATATTGTGTGCAAGACACTCTCTTGAGATCCCCAGAGGTAAAATGACCAGTGAGTTACTGTCTTCATTTTCAGTGAAGTAGCAAAGATATGCAAAAACATTTAACTACAATATTCAGCAGGGTGAGTTAAATGCTCTAGGAGGATGAATTAAATGCTAATATTCAACAAGGTGAATTAAATGCTCTGGCATTGGAGCACAAAAGGCAGAGTTTATTCTGATGAGAGAAATCAGAAAATGTTTCAGGGCAGAGTCTTTGCTAATGACTAGGAATTTAACAGGCAAAAATGCAAAGAGAAGAGCTTGTCAAGGAGAGAAAATAGCAGGGAAAAAAACGCACAAAGCCATGGAAGTGCTTGGTGTGTTCAGGGCTGAGCAACTGGTTTAATGTGACTTCATCACAGGGTATATGAGTCATGTGGTGGATCACAGGCTGAACCATGCTGAATCATGAATGCCATGGTGAACTTTGGCTCTACTATTAATGCATTGGAGAATGAAGGAGAGGGGACATAATCCAATTCTGACATTATATGAAGGGCAGATGAAGGTCCGCTGAAAGTTTGAAAGGCAGCAAGACTCATTAGCTAGGTGTTGGAATCATTCTGGTGGATGGTGGTGATGGTCTAGCCTAAGGCATTGACCAGTGAACATCAGTCTTTGCCCTTGCCTAGCCCACTCAACAGTTTTCCAAAATGCACTCCAAACATTTGCAGTCAGTGGCACCCTTCACTTACCATTGATTTGGAAGGCAATGTGTCAATATAGCCACACATTCACAACAGCATTTAAGCCCCAGTTAGCTAACTTTGACCATGGTGATGCCATAATGCATTCATAGTCAGCATCTCCTAGGCCCTCACCTAGGAATAATTTAACCTCAAAATCTGCTTCTCTGCCACTTTCATTCATTAGCTCTGGTCCCACTCATTGCTTCTCTATTGTTCCAGTGGGGCTTCCACTCCGTGGCCAAGGATAGAGGTGTCAGCAGCTCCTTTCAAAATCACTTGGGTTGTGAGGATTCTCCATGCTCCTCTTCTGTCTTAAGACTACAACTATCTAGGGATTTTCTACCCTCCTCAGACCTCAAAGGCACAAGTGTTCAAAAGAGTCACCATGAATTTCCAGCCAAGCAGCTGGACTCCAGCCCTCATTCTATATAGAGGATCTGGTGTACTTGTGCAGCCTGACACATGGGTCTCACTTTAGTCTCCCTGCAGACCTCCCAAACTACATTCTTATTCTGTCCCTGACCCAAGAGTCTTTCCTAGATTCCCAGGGCTTGGCAGAGGCCTTAAGTGACCTGGGCATGGCCCTACTCTGCCTTTGCTTTAGAGGATTGGCCTACAGGAAGGGGTACAGATGATGTGTATCCCCATGAGCTACCCCAATCCCTCCTGCATGCTCTGCCTCCCTGTACTCTTCACAAACAGGATGGGTGAGCAGGTTGCACCAACCTCCTACAGCCAAGGAATTTAGAAGCGAGAGAGAATGGAGAGAGTGTGGGAACAGTTTGAATGGGCCTGATGGGGAGTGTCAGTGCTGCATGGGAAGATGGAAGGGCTGGCATTCCAAAGATTTCTCTGTAGAGAGAGTTAGAAAACTGTGATCCAGGGGCAAGTCAAGGGAAAAATAGCCAGGCATGGAGACACCTGTAACCTCAGCACTTTGGGAGGCCAAGGCAGGAGGATCACTTGAGGCCAGGAGTTCAAGACCAGCCTTGCAACATAGTGAGACCTCATCTCTACAAAAAGATTGTTAAAAATTAGTGAGATATGGTGGTTTGTGCTTGTAGTCCTAGCTACTTGGAAGGCTGAGATGGGAGGATTGCTTGAGTGCAGAAATTGGAGGGTACAGTGAGCTATGACTGTGCCACTGCACTCCAGCCTGGGTGAGAGAGTGAAAATCTGTCAAAGAAAGAAAGAAAAAAAAAGAAGAGCAAAGAAGAGAAGAGCAGAGAAGAGAAAGGAAAGGAAAAGAGAAGGGAAAGGGAGGGGACGGGAGGGGATAGAGGGGAGTGGAGGGAAGGGGAGGAGTACTTTTGAGAACAGAGAGGTCACAATACGAAAGAGGTATTTAGCTCTTTGGAAATGAATTCTATTGTTCAGGGAAATGATAAGGGAAGGAAGATCAGACCAGACCCACTATGCAGCAGGACACAAGACAAGGCTAGAGAAAGAACAAGGAATTCAGGCATGCCCAGATCCCAGCTCTGTGTTTTTGAGGAAATTACTTAAATTCTCAAATATTTAGTTTTCCCATCTGTAAAATGGGGAGAGACGTGGAGGTAAAGAGGATATCTTCTTTGAGGAGCTGTTAACAGGATAAGGGATGAAGAATGCTAAATGCCAGGCCAGCATCTTTAGTATATGTATGCAGCTACAGAGAATCAATCTTGGAACAAGGAGAAGCTATAGGAAGGCAGATTTCAGCCCCATAGAAGGGAGGCCTTTCCAACTACTGCAGCTCCTGAACAATAAAATGGGATATTTCTTCAGATAGTGAGTTCCACGTCACTGAAGGTAACCAAAGAAATGCTGGGTAGGCACATTCAGAGGATGTTGCTATAAGAATTTCTGCACTGAATAAAAAATTGGGGCAGATGAATCCCGAAATCCCTCCCTTCCTGGAGATTCTGTGAATCTTGACTTAGCACTTGCTCAGTAAGAGTGTAGGAGCCCAAACCCACTCAGACAGAAAAACTGCCATTATTGGTGCCTGGGAGCTGAGATCTGAGGAACAAGGACCAAAATGACAGGGGCCAAGGTCTCCCATTGTTCAGTTCTGTGTCCACTCCTTGCTCACATTCAATTCCGTCTCTGACGGTTCTTTTTTACGGGGGATGAGAGGGAGGGCAGATCACTCAGGGTTTATTTTGCCAGGCTCCGTAAGTGGAAAAGTCTTGATATAAGCAAGCCCCGTGGGCTGCCAGAAAAGCCTCTGCCCTTAAATAGTAATGAGATCTATCGGTCTCCTTAACAAATGCATCTTCCCTGAGTGCTAAGTAAACCGTCTCCATTTACAGTGTCAATATCAACGTGGGGCCTTCCCTGCCTCTCAAGCAGCTTGAACAGATTGCAATTGGTTGCCATTCCTGATTCCTGTGCTCAGTAAGAGCTGTCAATGGGCATGTCAATAAGATACCGGGACTATTGATCAGCATAGGCATTTAGGGGTCACTGGTCGATGAGAACTCTTGCCAAGAGATGTAGAAAATGATAGCTTTCAGATAAAGGCAGCAAAGCGAGGTTCCCGAAGGAGAAATAATATAGCTTAATTTCCCTTGTCCTGCTGCTTGTCAATTTCCCTTGGTTTTCTTGAGGCGGGAAGAGCCAGCGAGGAGAGACAGGGAGGGAGGGAGAGAAAGCGAGTGAGCAACTCAAGTGTTTGACTGAAAACATTCAGAGAATGAAAAATCAACATCCACGATAAACCACAGTGTCCCTTAGGCCACTGTCTGCATCTAAAGAGAAAGACCAAAAGAGACAATGTTTCTGAAAGAGGTGGGCTCAGATGGTGAAGATGAGGATAATTAGTCTTCTCCAGAAATTTCTATAGGATTCCCCAAACCAGCTGGATAACTCTTTGCTGGCTTCAAGCGTTCAGCCAAAGGGATCCAGTTCTTCACCCACAAGTCTTTTGGTGTCTCAGGCTGATCTTCATTTCGAGTGGAGGGGGAAGTTAGGTCCCCTTTGAAAGAATGCAACTTATAATAGTTAATCACAAAACAAAATGCGTGTTACGGGCTGAATTCACACAGAAGCCCCCGTAACCTCAGAATGTGACTGATTTTGAAAATAGGACCTTTACAGTCCCATCAACAGTGTAAAAATGTTCCTATTTCTCCACATCCTCTCCAGCACCTGTTGTTTCCTGACTTTTTAATGATCGCCATTCTAACTGGTGTGAGATGGTATCTCATTGTGGTTTTGAGTTCAATCATTGTGGAAGTCAGTGTGGCGATTCCTCAGGGATCTAGAACTACAAATACCATTTGACCCAGCCATCCCATTACTGGGTATATACCCAAAGGATTATAAATCATGCTGCTATAAAGACACATGCACACGTATGTTTATTGCGGCACTATTCACAATAGCAAAGACTTGGAACCAACCCAAATGTCCAACAATGATAGACTGGATTAAGAAAATGTGGCACATATACACCATGGAATACTATGCAGCCATAAAAAATGATGAGTTCATGTCCTTTGTAGGGACATGGATGAAGCTGGAAACCATCATTCTCAGCAAACTATCGCAAGGACAAAAAACCAAACACGGCATGTTCTCACTCATAGATGGGAATTGAACAATGAGAATACATGGACACAGGAAGGGGAACATCACACACGGGGGCCTGTTGTGGGGTGGGGGGAGGGGGGAAGGATAGCGTTAGGAGATATACCTAATGTTAAATGACGAGTTAATGGGTGCAGCACAACAGCATGGCACATGTATACCTATGTAACAAACCTGCACGTTGTGCACATGTACCCTAAAACTTAAAGTATAATTTTAAAAAAAGAAGAAGAAAATAGGACCTTTAAAATAAAAGTTAAAATGAGGCCATTAACATGGGCTGTGATCCATTCTGACCAGTATCCTTTAAGAGGAAATTTGGATATGCAAGGAGACACCAGGGATGTGTGTGCAGAGAACACACCATGTGGGGACTGGTGTGGTTTGGCTGCATCCCCACCCAAATCTCATCTTGAGTTGTAGCTCCCATAGTTCCCGTGTGTTGTGGGAGGGAACCATCGTGAGAGTGATTTCCCCCATACTATTCTCGTGGTAGTGAATAAGTCTCACAAGATCTGATGGTTTTATAAGGGGAAACCCCTTTCCCTTGGTTCTCATTCTCTGTTGCCACCACCGTGTAAGAAGAGCCTTTCACCTTCCACCATGATTGTGAGGCCTCCCCAGCCACGTGGAACTGTGAGTCCATGAAACCTCTTTTTCTTTATAATTACCCAGTCTCGGGTATATTGTTATCAGCACCGTGAAAACAGACTAATACAGGGACACAGCAAGAAGATGACCACAGGCAAGCCAAGGAGAAAGGGTTCAGAAGAAATCAAATCCACTGACACCTTGATCTTGGACTTCTAGCCTCCAGAACTTTGGGAAAATAAATTTCTCTTGGTGAAACCACCTGTCTGTGATATTATTTTATGGCAGCCCTAGCAAACTATCTCAATGTGTTAAAGCAGTATTCTATGTGAGGCTGGGAGAGATGGCAGAGAGATTAATTATTATTTTTGTCCATTCTGTGACCCAGAGTTTTTAGTATTTTCACATTATTAAAGCATTGTTCATTCTATCAGTTTCAACCGTGAACTGACTTAATTCAAATTAAATTACTGCATTTACAGATAATTGATTTTTGTAGGGGTGGGTTGCCCCTACACACCTGTGGGTGTTTCTCGTAAGGTGGGACGAGAGATTTGGAAAAGAAAAAGACACAGAGACAAAGTATAGAGAAAGAAATAAGGGGACCCGGGGAACCAGCGTTCAGCATATGGAGGATCCCGCCAGCCTCTGAGTTCCCTTAGTATTTATTGATCATCTGTGGGTGTTTCTCAAAGAGGGGGATGTGTCAGGGTCACAAGACAATTGTGGGGAGAGGGTCAGCAGACAAACACGTGAACAAAGGTCTTGGCATCATAGACAATGTAAAGGATTAAGTGCTGTGCTTTTAGATATGCATACACATAAACATCTCAGTGCTTTACAAAGCAGTATTGCTGCCCGCAGGTCCCACCTCCAGCCCTAAGGCGGTTTTTCCCTATCTCAGTAGATGGAGCATACAATCGGGTTTTATACCGAGACATTCCATTGCCCAGGGACAGGCAGGAGACAGATGCCTTCCTCTTGTCTCAACTGCAAGAGGCATTCCTTCCTCTTTTACTAATCCTCCTCAGCACAGACCCTTTACGGGTGTCGGGCTGGGGGACGGTCAGGTCTTTCCCTTCCCACGAGGCCATATTTCAGACTATCACATGGGGAGAAACCTTGGACAATACCTGGCTTTCCTAGGCAGAGGTCCCTGCGGCCTTCCGCAGTTTTTGTGTCCCTGGGTACTTGAGATTAGGGAGTGGTGATGACTCTTAAGGAGCATGCTGCCTTCAAGCATCTGTTTAACAAAGCACATCCTGCACCGCCCTTAATCCATTCAACTCTGAGTTGACACAGCACACGTTTCAGAGAGCACGGGGTTGGGGGTAAGGTCATAGATTAACAGAATCTCAAGGCAGAAGAATTTTTCTTAGTACATAACAAAATGGAGTCTCCTATGTCTACTTCTTTCTACACAGACACAGTAACAATCTGATCTCTCTTGCTTTTCCCCACAGATTTTCATGGAAATGTCCAGTGTTCATCAGCACGAAACTTTCTAACCGTTCTTTGGTTTACCTAGTTCTAGGCATGATAGATAATTCTAGATACCGAATATTATTCTTTCAAGTAATGAAATAGTCAACAAAGTGACAAAAATCAGTTTAGTGGCTACTTATCCATGGTCAAAGTCCTTATAAAGCCTTTCAACTTTTTAAATGGGAGATACCTGCACACAAAGAATAACTAACATGCCACACTTTGGCTTCCATCTTTGTCCATCCTTTCCTTCCTGAATGGAGCTCTTTTGTGACCTCATATACTACTTCTGGGAGAATTGTTTCAGCCCCTTAATTCAAAGCCACATCTCACTGCCTCTGAGACACTGAAATTTATCTCAAGTCCTGGCAGTCAGACCTTGTACTTTAATTACACCCTGAAAGTTGCTTAAAGCGATAATTCAGCATCTATGTCTGAAACTTTAAGAGATGTTACAGGAACAACAAGATGGAGATGCATTTCAATGAGGTTGAGCAGCATCACGTCTCATTCCCTCATGACTCTGTGTGTCAAAGGTCATTCATTCATCATTTCAAAAGATATTTATTGCCAGGTGAGAGATGGTGATGGCTTAAAAGTAAGGTAGAGGAAGAGCCAGTTGAATACATGCTTGATTCTGACTAATGACACTAAAATAACGGCCAACAAAAGGCAAAACAATTCAGCAGATCCACCAAGAGCTGGTGAAGAGGTCACAGCTGACAAGAAATAGCAATGAAATTTTGGAAGCAATTAGTAAACAGGTAAATGACAATAGAAATAGCAGACAAGAAAAAGCTAAACTACATTGGCAGCACGGGAGAGCCTCAAGAACCAGCCACTTCACAGCATAGTCCCAGAAGGCTCAGGAATTGGAGGTACCAAATGCCTCTGCAGCAAGGGTGCAGAGCAGGGCTATCCATATAAGGACTGGTTAAAAGTCTTTAAAAGAAGGAGTCAGGCTCACAGACGCCCTCTTCTACCCATGTAGCCAGGTGGCCCTCTTTGCTCCAGTAGGAGTCTAAAGGATTACTCCATAGCAGTGGTTTTCAAAGTGGGGACCTGAGACCAGCAGGGTTAGTATTACCTGGGAACTGGCTAGAAAGGTACATTTTCAGGCCTCACCCCAGACCTGCTGAATCGGACACTCTAAAATGGGGCTCACCAATCTGTGTTTCAATAAGCCCTCTCTAGATGATTCTGATGCAAGCTAAAGTCTGGGAACTACTGCTCTAAGTAGAGATTGAGCCAGACAGGGTCTGACACCGAGGACAACAGCAGTTGCTGAAAACATAATGAACCAATTATTAAAGAGAGGGGAAATTGACACACAGAACATTAAGCCCTCCAGTGCACATCTTCTCAGCTCCCAAAATGTTCACGGCTGTTGTGATTTCTATGGTTATGGTTTGTTCTAATTTGTCTTGAGGTGTCTCTCTCTTAAGAGTGGCCATAAGCCAAGATAGCCACTCTGCAGGAGACTGCTGACAGAGGGGAAAGTTAGGTTTATGTGTGTATCAGGTAAGACACAATAAGGAGGTGAAACTAAAATGCATGAAACAGAAGAAATGTATTATTCACAGGTCAGAGAGACTTGGTGCCCAAGGCAGGCCAGTGTGAAGTCTGGAGACAGCAGGGAGATCACCCACTGAGCAAGTCAGTGAGCCTGTCGGGGCCACCTTCATCAAAGCCCATGGGTATTACCCTTCAGGCTTCCCTAAGGGGGCTGTGAATTGGCTAGTTTATGGAAAACACTCCAGAGGGGAAAAACTTATTTACATGATCTGGTATTGACCATTAGGTTTTATTGTGATCAGCAGCTGAGGGGTGTGTTGGGTTTGGGGTCAATGAGATGAAGAACAAGAGGGTTATATCACAAACAACCACATAGGGAGGGGAAGCTTTAACTAGGCCAAAGGTGGCAGGGTAGAAATGGGTTTCAGATAACGTATGTCAGCCTAGAAATGGGTGCAGAGGCAGCAACTACATTAAACACATTTATGACAGCAGCTAAGCTGACATACCTGATGCAGGATACTTAAGGATTCTCCCCTGGGAAACTGATGGGCCTAAGAGAAAATATCTGTGGTTAGTGACATTAAGGGAGGGGAGGGGATCCCCACATGAAATGGCTGGGTCCTAGCCCAATCAGCCTGCAAGCAAAGCCCCAAACCAAGAGGCCTCCTTCTGGGAAACAAAGCTTCCAAGCAACCCCGCCTTCATTACAAACTGACATGCAGTGATTACTAGACCTGTGGGGAACTCCTAACACATGAAAGAAAAAGACCAAAACAAAAACAAGCAAGCAAAACAGAAACAAGAAACTTGTTATAAATGAAGGCAATGCAGACAAGAGGAGAAAATTTGAAAAGAAAATTTAAACTCTGGTTAATCATTTCAAAAGGATAAAAGAAGATGTGCCTTCATGAAACAGGATCAGGGAACTCTTCAAAAATGAGGATGTTGAAATCAGTCCTCAGATCTTGACCATATAGCAAACCAGTTCAGGCTGTTGGTTCCTCCCTTCAATATCAACCTGAGAAATGAAAAACCCAGTGGTTCTCATTACTTCACATGCATGGGAATTACTTGGAAGGCTTGTTAAGCTAAGTTGGCTGGGTCTCACCCTCCATCAGCAGGAGAATATCAGGAAAGTGCGAAAGTGTTGTTGGGGTGAAGAGTGAGGAAAATAGGGGTTGACCAAGCAACTATTTTGGGTATTTACTCTCCGCCCAGGAATTCCTTGTTCTGAGAATTTAAAGCAAAACCCTGGTCAGAGAAAGTACCTAATAAGAGTGGGGGCAATTTTGAGTGACCAGCAATAATTCTGTAGGGTTTAACTGTCTTTACCACCTGGGGTTCATCATCTACCATCTCTTTAAACCCAGTGAGTAAAACACAGTCTACATGACATCAGTTCTTCCCCAAAGGGAAATATCCCCAAAGGAACTTGAGCCTACATGCCAGAATAACCACTCAAGGAGTACAACCACTCAAGGAGTACAACCACTCAAAAGAAAGGCAACTAAATAAAAAATGTCGACCATCTAAAGCCAAATGATTAGCTTAAGCAGATCAATAATTTAAATAGGCTTACCAAATAAAGATATAAGGGATAATATAAGCATAAAGAAAGAACCAAGTGGAAATATTATAGATGATAATGGAAATAAAGAATCAAATATTCAGCAATTTACATGATGGATAGAGCAAAAAAAAAAAAAAGAAAAAGAATTAAGGAGTTGTAAAATGTAACAGAAGAGCTTTTCCTGAAAGGAGCAGGAGATGGAAAACAATTTTTTAAAGTTAAGAAACTTGTCTAAAAGAAGGGTCAATAACAGTAAATAAGAATGAGGGGATAACACAGGAAGAAAATAAATAAATAAATTTTTGAATTCTCTCTTTTTTTTCTTTTTTTTTTTTGAGACGGAGTTTTGCTCTGTCACCCAGGCTGGAGTGCAATGGCATGATCTTGGCTCACTGCAACCTCCACGTCCCGGGTACAAGCGATTCTCCTGCCTCAGCCTCCCAAGTAGCTGGGACTACAGGTGTGTGCAACCACATCCAGGTAATTTTGTATTTTTAGTAGAGATGGGATTTCACCATGTTGGCCAGGCTGGTCTTGAACTCCTGACCTTGTGATCTGCCTGCCTTGGCCTCCAAAGTGCTGGGATTATAGGCATGAGCCACCGCGCCCAGCTAGAAAATACATTTTTGAAGCAATAATAAAGATGTGAACCAAATTTAGTGTTCTCAACATGTCAAGCCTTACCGACAATGCAAAGCAATAGAAACTCAAAGCAATAGAAACTGCTGGTGAGATATAACCTGGTTCAACCCGGTGGAAATACTTTGGCATTAAACATGCCAAACTAAAGTTAAATACGCACATAATCTACATTCTAGCAATTCCACCACTAGGCATTTACCTTAGAAAAATTCTCAAACATATGCGCCAAAAGATATGTAAAAGAATGCTTATGGCAGCACTATCCTTCACAGGAAAAATCCAGGAACTAAATATCAATAGACAGTGCAATGAATAAATAAATTGTGGTATAATCATACACTCGCATATACAGCAATGAAAATAAATGAATTATAGATTTAATTATTGACATGGATAGACCTCAAACACATAGTGCTCTAAATACACAGATATTTTAAAGAAAAGACTATTCCATTCATATCAAGGTCAAAATCAAACAAAACTAAATAATATATTGTTGAGGAATACCTATTAGATGGTAAAAAACTAAAACTAAAAAACAAAATTCAAGACAATGCTCATTTGCAGGAGAAGAGCGAGTGGGATGTGACAGGGCAATGCACCCAGGGTGCTTCTGAGTAGTTGGTGACATTCTATTTTGCGATCCTGGAAGTGGGTCTCTGGGTGATTTTTTTAAAAATTGTATTCAAACTGTGCGTGCATGTTTTTCATAAACTCATACCTATGTATACTATATTTTATAATAAAAAATTAAAAATAATAAAGATACATTTTCTAAAATTAAAGAAAGATGAAAGACATTGAATTGAAAGCAGAAGAGGTGGGAGTGTTCAGCAGAGCAAGTGGGAAATATGAACTAAGATGTGATAAATCCTAATATAATAGGCACTACTATAAGTGTAAATGGGTTAAACTCACCAGTCTAAATATTAAGTTTCAGACTGGGTTTTAAAAGAGATCTAGCAACATAATGTCTACAAGAAATATACTTAGAACCAAAAGAATGGAAAGGTTAAAAATGTAAAAATTGAAAAAAAAACTCCAAAAATATAAACCCCCCCAAAAAAGTGGGTTAACACTGTTAATACCAGAAGAAGTTGAATTTAATATTGAAACAGAAAATCCTAAGGGCTTAAGTAAAATATCATTTGCTAACCATTTTGAACATTAACACTCCTAACAATACAGTCTCAAAATATTGACCTAAGCAACAACTGACATAAATTAGAGAGAGAAAAAGGTAAATCAAAAATACCAACTGAAGATTTCAACAGACCCTTCCCAGAAACAAATAGATCAAGGAGACAAAATAAATGAAGGGAAATGTAAAAGATCTGAACAACAAAACAGTGTTTCAGCACTTACAGAACTCTGCAAGTGCACCCAAAACGTTTGTAAATCTAAATTGTATATTGGGTCATAAAAGAAACCTCATCAATTTTATAAAATCAGTCTTATATCAACTAAGCTTTTAAACCATCATGCAGTAAAATTTGATATCAATGACCAAGCAATCTTTCTTAAAACTTTCAAATGCTTGGAAATGAAGTAGTATATTACTAAATAATTATTGAGTTAAAAATTGATATAATGAATAAAATAACTAGAGCTAAATAATAAGAAAATTATGTCAAATTTATTATACAAAACTAATAGTTTTGGGAAGGAAATTTATAAATTTGAATACATTTATTAGGAAACAAGAAGGATCAAAAACAAATAAGCCAAGGATTAAAAACTAATTAGAAATAAGGAGTGGATTAAATCCAAAGAAAAACAAGAAAGAAAGTAATAAAAGTAAGTGTATTAGTCATGGTCTAGTCAGGAGAAACAGAAAACTGAGTAGTTTGAACAAGAGATGTTTACTAAAAGTAATTATTAGCTTTTTGCAAGGAATTACCTATTGTGGTGGGGATAAGGAGACCTCTAAACAATGCTCCAGGTCTGAGGGAGAGTACCCGAGGAAGCAACAGAAATGCAAGGGGCTCCTCCACAAGGCTGGGATTCAGACCTCCTTAGAGTGGGGAGATAGCAGTCCACTAGACGCCAGAGTTCTCTGGGTTTCCCTAGACCAGAGCTTGTCTCAATCTGGCAGGCCAGGGTTGTCAGGCACAGAATCACGAGTCCAGATTGTAAAGCAGGAAATTCCTCATGAGGGAGCAAGAAAACTGAGGCTGGCTGGAAGGAAACTGGCCACTGAGATAACAACAAAACATGCAAAGATGCTGCCCGTGAGCATGCTGCTAAACCAACCTATAGTTTGCATATGACTTGCTGAGGCATCTAAAATACTTGGTACCCATCAACCATAGGTTGAATAAAGAAAGTGGGGTACATATACACGATGGAATACCATGCAGCCATAAAAGAGAATGAAATCATGTCCTTTGAGGCTACATGGAAGTAGCTGGAGAACACTATCCTAAGTGAATTAATCTGGTAACAACAACAACAACAACAACAACAACAACATCAACAACAAAAACCAGATACAAATGTTCTCACTTATAAGTGGGAGCTAAACCCTGGGTACACACAGACATAAAGATGGAAACAACAGACAGTGCGGACTCGAAATGGAGGGAAGGAGAGTGGATGGCAAGGGCTGAAAAACTTCCTCTTGGGTACTATGTTCACTGTCTGGGTGACAGGATCAGTAGAGGCTCAAACCTCAGCACCACACTATATACCCTTGAAACAAACATGCACATGTACTCCCTGAATCTAAAACTGAAATTAATATTTTAAAAAGAATTTTAAAGAAATACTAAATGAATTTTAAAAATAAAATACTTTCTACTTTCTTGCCCAAGATCTAGTCAGCATACTGCCATCAGTGAACGTTTTGTGGAATGCCAAGATAATCAAGAACTCTGCAGACTATCTGTGGCAGAGAGCAGGAGAATTGACACAGCTCTGAGGCCACACTGTGAAGATATACTATTGGCACTGCTGGGTAAAAGCAAACTGTGACTAGTGGTCCCTTCAAATTGGTATGCAGAAAAAAATAGCATGAGCCACATCAATTACTACATACCAAATGCCAGCAGTTTTGCTGATTTGCTCCAGTAAAGACACAACAGAGCCAACAGCTGCATTTGGGCCACCTGAACCAGTTTATGACAGTCCACATTCTCCAAAACCCATCCAACTGCTGCATGGGCCAAACAGGTGAATTAAACAGGAATGCAATAGGTACCACCACTCCTGTTTCTTTCAGTGCCTGGATGATGGTATAAATCTCTGAAATTTCCCCTAAAGATGCAATATTGCCTCTAATTTATTACCTTGGTATGGAGGAGAAGTTCCAAGGGTTTTTTATTTAGCCCTTCCAACCATGATGGCCCTCATCCGATGGGTCCAAGAGCCAACATGAGGATACTTCCAGTTTCTGAGTACAATCAGTCCTCACCATCCATAGGTTCTGCATCCATGTATTCAACCAACCACAGATCAAAAATATTCAGAAAAAAAAATTGTGCTGAACATAAACAGACTTTTCCTCTTGTCATTATTTCCTAGACATACAGTATAGCAACTATTTACATAGATTTTGCATAGTATTAGGTATTATAAGTAATCTAGAGATGGTTTAAAGTATATGGGAGGATGTGTATAGGTTATTTGCAAATGCTACATCAGTTTATATCAGGGACTTGAGCTTCCATGGATTTTGGTATCCCCAAGTGGTCCTGGAAAAAATCCTTCATAGATACTGAACAATGACTATATATATATATATATATATAGTCATATACATATTACAGTTATACATTTAACACCTGGGGAAATAACCCACCAGTTGGGTCTATAGATGAACTAGGCCCACTGTGAGTCAAGCTTTAGCTAAAGCTCCATCTATTACCTGATTACCATGACCCCACTTTGACTGGTGGGTTACAGTCACATTTTGGGTGCCCAAGAATTAGTTTCCATTTATAGCCAGTGTCTAATAACCTCTAAAAGTTTGTGTAATGCCTTTTTCCCAATGCATAGTCACTCTAGCCAATGGCCCTAGGTCCTTTTGGATTAGGCTTGGAAGAAGATTTACAGCACCTACCTGTGAAAATGCAGCAGGGTTCTTCTCAAGTGTGCCCTTCACTCAAGAGGCCCTGGGTCTGTGCATTGACTTAGGTCTGGAAACTGGTGATTTGAGTCAAGTTTTTGGCCAAAATTTTCTGCTATATAGATTAAAAAATATTTTAGGTGGCTGCCCATCGATTTCATTCTGCAGAACATCTCGATCAATTAGCTATCACCCAAGATCTCAGATGTGAAATTCAGACCTTGTTAAAGAGATTTTGAATACAACCCACTAGACTGTGGGGAAGTTTGCTGGGTTGCCCTGAGCCAGAAGTGGGTCCAGAGTTATTGGGCAAATTGGTGGTCAGGGATGTGCAGGAGAGAAGTAGCAAGCAGGAAAACTCACACCAGAGTGCCAGTGGCCAAACACGGTAGACAAGATTCTTCTCACTGGAATGTTCCAAATAGTGTCCTGGAAGCCACCCGTGGGGGCTGCTGCTGAACTCATCACATGGAAGGAAGGAAAAAAGAGTATCTATACAACTCACGGGTAAAGTGCCTACAGAAGTGCCACCAAAACTTGCTGGGGGTGAGCTTCACTGAGTGTCCTGTACAACAGCTGAGTGACACAGAAGCCAGCGGGAAGAAACTTACCATGAAACCAGGAGAGAAGCCCCTTCCTCCTGCAGTGTCTCTTTGGCACTCTCCACTGACAAAGCTTGCCATTGTGTCAGCTGGCAAGGAGGAAGTGCTCCAGTATCACAAGCAGGCCATCCAAGGGGGCTTTGTACAGGTGTTCAAGTTTGAACTTGAACTGCCAGATAAGGAAAGTAAGTAATAAAGAAAGAGAGAAAATTAACAAATCAAAAGATGATTGTTTGAAAAGATTAAATGATATAGAAATCTTAGACAAGATTAATTAAGACAGAGAGAGAGAAGACATGAAAGGGAATATTCAGAGAACAACAAAGATATTTTAGACATTTAAAATATAATTGTAGAAATTTTAAAAATTAACCGAAGTGTTGGAACAAAACTTGAGAAAACTTCCCAGAAAGTAGAACCAAAAAGCAACAATATAGAAAATGGCTAGAGGGGTTTAAGTTATTTCTAGCCCTGTGTGGGTTCCAGAAATTGTTCTGCCTGCTCTATCAGGGCTGTTCTCCCTGCATTGAATTGTTTTATTCCTCACATGTGTAGGCCAGTAGTAAGCCAGACATCCCCTTGACATCATTCTGTGAATTCTGTTTGTTCCTATAATCTGCTGGATTCCCAGTTTACTAGATGCCATTTCTTCTATTTCCTTGTTTTTGGTCAGTTGCATCTTCTTGTGGCCTTCTGTGGAATTGGATTTTTTATTTGCTTCATTTGGGGGTTGTTGTTTATTTGTTTTTTAGAATGTGAATGTCTCAGAGTTGATAGTTGTGTTGGGTATTTAATTTCATAATTGTTAAGACATTTTGCTATTGCTATTTCCTACTTTCTGACTTCCAAATCTTTGTGTATAACCTCTCTAGCTTGGGAGTTTCTCTTCATTCCAAGTGTCCTAACATTTTACCATATTAGATATAATTGAGCACTTGGTGGAAACTTTCACTCTGGAATGGCACATGCTTCCTTCCTGGGAACTTCTCTTGTATTATTTCTTTAATGATGTCTGTCTCTTCATTTTCTATTTTCTCTTCCTGAACTTCTTACAGAAGGTGGCAATCCTGGTGAGATGTCAAAAGTGAGGAAGTATAGGTAGGAGTGGAAAGTGCATTTCAGGTGGGGAAATAGCATAATTAAAGGCTCAGAGGCCAGAACAGTGAGAGATTGGGTTTAGCTACAGCTGAAGCTCCATGGAATACAGTAGTAAAAATTAAGATAAAGAAGTAGCTTAAAAATGGGAGGTTGAGACAGGAGAATCGCTTAAACCCAGGAAGTGGAGATTGCAGTGAGCCGAGATCATGTCATTGCACTCCAGTGAGACTCTGTCTCCAAAAAAAAAAAAAAAAAAAAAAAAAAAAGTAACATTACAGAGGGACTTAAATGACAAATCAAAGAACTGAAACGTTAATCTGAGGACAATGAGGAATTGTTAAACACTTTCAATAGGAGAGGGTAGCAGATGCTGTTGGTGCCTCACAGGAAGCCCCTTTACAAGGCCAGTACACCCTTCCCTGAGGCGATGTAGATAATGACTGCCGATGGCTTACACCGGACTCTCCTGCAAAGGACTTCCTGTGCTTCTGGAAGGGAAGGCTTGTGAACAGTGACGGATTGAAAGAAGTAGTAAATAGGCTGTCTTCCTGCCTCTGGATGGAACAACCTCTTTGGTGCCATTAATGCGCCAGAGCTCCCTATGCAATTAGGCTGAGGCTAGACTCTTCCTGCAGCCACATCTGTGCCTACCTTCTTCCCCTATGATCGCCTGCTTCCCTCATTCCCTGAGAGGCTTCTCCTGAGAGCACTTCCTCAGTAAATCACTTATACAAGAATCGCTGTCTCCACTTCTGCCTCTAGGAAACCCAACCTGAGGCAGAGACATGGCACAATGAAAGCCACATAAGGAAATGACCCTAATAGTGGTATTGAGAACTGATTAAAGCAAGGAGACTTTGGGGTAAGGGAAGACAGAGGAGAGGAGAGGTAAGAAGCAGAAAAAATGAAGGGGAGAAGGCTGATAAGGTATCATATCTGGATAGACTCCCCAGTTTTGGTATAACATGGCAGATGATGGAAAGGGAGGATGAAAGACGATGACACAGTGTCAAGTCTGGGTGGCTAGGAAGATGGCATGCATACAGACAGACATCAGGTAACCAGAGAATAATCACATTAGTAGAAAGTGTTCCTATGTAGAACTTTCACACAAGACCTAATATTTGCATGATACTTTGCAATTTACAGAGCTCTGAAATACATCATCTCCTTTTTTTCTTTTTTTTTTTTTTTTTTTTTTGAGACTGGCTCCATCACCCAGGCTGGAGTGCAATGGTGCTATCTCGGCTCACTGCAATCTCCACCTCCTGGGTTCAAGCAATTTTCCTGCCTCAGCTTCCCGAGTAGCTGGGATTACAGTCACCCGCCATCATGCCCTACTAGTTCTTGTATTTTTGTAGAGATGGGGTTTCCCCATGTTGACCAGACTGGTCTTGAACTCCTGACCCCAGGTGATCCACCCACTTGAGCCTCCCAAAGTGCTGGGATTACAGGCATGAGCCACCATGCCCAGCCATCATCTCCTTTTTAAAAAATGTCTATGTGAGGTGGTATGGTAGGTGTTCCCAATTCTTTCCTCCTTTTTTTCTTGTGACCTCCAAGTGCTTTCCATTAGAGTACAAGGAGAATTCATCCTCATGCCCTCATGTCGACATCCTCATGTCGACTTTGGGTTTAGCCATGTGACTTATTTTGTTCAATGCAATGTAAAGAAACATGACACCAGCAGAGGCACCTCTGTGTGCGTTTGTGATTTGTCTTGGCTCTCCTGCTTTCTCCATCCACCTTCAGAGGAACATGCTCCATGTAGCTGCTGATCCAAGGAGAGTGAGAAGACGTCTAGAACAGACTTAAATCCAACTCACAGCCTGGATCTACATGTGGCTGATCATATCTAAGCCCAGTAGAACCACAAGTACATGTAAATGATAAATAAATGCCTCTAAGTGTAAGCTACTGTTAGGGGAATGTTTATCATGCAGCACCATTGCAACAATGATACACTTAGGTAAACAGGCATTTTTAAGCTGAAGCAACTGAGATACAGACAGCTTAAAAATTTTCCCAAGTTCACAGCTCAAAGAAGAGAGTTGAGTATGTTCTTCTCTACCTACTCAACAGAAAGACTCTGTAAATGTTGACACATTTAACAGCTTAGAAGCCCACATTATTCAAAAGAATAATTTTTAAATGTTAAAAAAATAAAGTACTGAGTTTGCTAATAATCTAAGAAATGCATGTTTTCATATATGCTGCCTATTAAGTCTGTTCATATCATATCAGCAAACATGTCGTCTTGGAGAGTTTCCTAGTTTTTCCTGTGAAATGTTTTTCAACGCCTGAGTGAATCAAAATGAATGTAAATGAGGTTTATTAAGTCAACCCCACATGGTGCTGTATTGTCAGCATTTGTAGGGCTGTGACAGGTTAGTTATTGCAGTTTGAAGGAAATGTCACCAACACAGCAGTCTGCAGAATTAACTTAAAATATATATGTATAAAATTTCTCAGGATTTTCCACCCTTTCAAGAATCGTCTCCTTAGAAGGTGAAAGGGCATGAAGAGAAGCTGAGGTTTGCTCATTCTTTTCCATCAAGAGTCACTTTCTTGCTACGTGACACCTGAGGCCAAGGGTCAGGGACTGCAGGTAACCACGCGGGATTCTGAGAGCTGCTGTTAATGGACTGTGGAAAGGAATTAAAATGAGGGTGATTGGAGTTGACAAGGAGTGACAGGGGCCAGTGGCAGCAGCACCAAGTGCTCTCTGCACCCTGGATGAGCATCAGACTGTTTTGGGGGCAAAGGTGGACAAGAAGCAAGAGGAAAAGAAAGATAAGTGAGGCTCAGGGTGCTGAGCTGCGGAACAATGAATGTGATTAACTTCAAGGACGGGAGTCCAGAAGTAATGATGTCATTCCTTCACTAACATGTCTTGTGCTCGCCTAGGGTGGTCCTCGGGAACAGGTTGGATGGGTGGTCAGGCTGTTAGGTGACTTGGTTGGAGAAGAGTCAGGAGGGCTCTCCCTCTCAAAATCCTCATGTCCAATCAATGCATTTGAGTTCTGGGGGACTATTCTTTCAGGTCCAGGAGGCTTCTCATTTATAAGAGGTTACCTCTTAAATGTAATAACTCCTTGAGAAGGGTTAACATGTTGAACCTTTATTCATGAGCATTAGTGGGAAAAAACATATCTTTTCAATAGACCCTGAGGCCCTCATAGCAGGGATGACACTTGGCACCCAGCACTTGAGTGGAGCCAGCCAGCAGAAGAAAAAGGTGCTGAAAGAAAATATGAGGCTGGCTGGAAACAGATGTTTCTGACTTTGCAGTTTTCTCAACTAACATTGTTTAAACTTTGTGCCCCTGCCAGATAATCAGTCCCAACTTGGATCAGTGTAGGGTCTTTCTCCGTCCCAGGTTTGTGGCTTCATGTGGAAGAGCTATCTTCCCTCTTCCATCCTTCTTTATTCATATAAAGTACGAGAACCACAGGGTTTGGGGATCCCCTTGTTGATTTCTGCTTTTACATTAGAGAAAACGAATATTGGAAAAGTGAATTTCTAACCACACCCAATGAGGCAGGACTTGGACAAGTCTTCTTTTTCAAAATCCTATGTTATCTCTACCACTGTGAATTCTCCATATAGGCCCCTACATCCAAAGTCTGTTTATCTTGACCTCTGTGACAGTCAGAAAAGCATTTATTAAATGATATTGACAGGTGGCATGTGTCTATGTGCTTTTCTGTGCAAAATGAGCATAGATCATTAATGAATTAATTAATTAATTCAGCAAACATTTGTTGGCTACCTTTGTCCCTGACTCCTGGGACCTCACAGACTAAGAAGCCCAAATTGGGCAAAATCCTTGGAGACTTAAATGTGAATAACATCACAGAAATAAAAGGAACAAGCATTCATTCTGAGGATTCATTTTATTAGGTAAGGATGGGCAGTCAGTCCGTTAGGTCTGTTAGGTGGTTTGATTTGTGAAGAGTCAAATTTTTTTTGCAAATTTTATAGTAATTTTATATGTAAGTATACATGTCATATAAAAGTTTCATCTCATAATTTTAAAGATACATAATTACACACACACACACACATATATATGTTTATAATGTTTCAATCTAGTTTATCAATTATCATGATACTTTTGGTCCCCGAACCTGCCTTTTTTTCCTCTTCTAAGGCTTGATGCAGAATATAACAGCCCGTGGAGGGTGGGGGGCAAGAAATGATGGGTACTAGGGAGACCCAGTTTCAGTTATCTTTGATGATTTTGAGAGGCATTCAGCACCATGAACACGTTGTTCAAACATAAATGAGAAAATAAACTATATAAGCGATCTTCATGAGGTTTTTCCACACAAAGTGTATTTCATATCTGTATAGATTTAACTACTAACAAGCTACATCCAAGGAACTTCACTACTACAAGTCTTCGGAGGTATCATCAATATCCGGCTTCCAATTTCCAGTCTTTAAGATACTTCTACATTGTGCTCCTAGATTTCCAGGTGCCAACATGAAGGGAACATGGAGAACCTCCATGGACACAGCAGAGTCAGGGAGGAATCATCGCCCTCCTCAACAGGCAGGTGAAACCCAAACAACCCATTGAGCTTTGCTAAATGCTCTAGGAGACAGCCAACCCAGCACTGTATAAAGAAAACAAGTAAAGTAATTTAGAACTCTGGAAGGCCAAGAATCTATAAAAAGCTGTCAATTGTTGAAGTTTACTGGAGTGGAAAGAATGTGAACAGCCCCTGCTGAGAATAAGAAGATATGCTCCTGCGAGGACCAAATTCTGGATGAGACCCATCCATACTCAGTGTCTTGGAATTACTGGGTTCAAGGACAGAGCTGAACTGTAGCATCTCCCTGTAAGAATGGGTTTCCAAGTGAAAATGCCCAGCAAGCAAGATGTCCTTCAGGACTGAACTCAAGAGAGACCCTAAGACTAGACGTGTGATTGGAAGTGTTACAGGTGACCCTGAGAATCCAGAGGGAGATTCATTCTCTGGGAAAGAAGGTTAATGACAGAAAAGGATGGAGCTACGGGCTGAGGAACAACACACATAAACATTGACTAGAGAAGGAGCCAGCAGGGGTGTCCAAGAGTAGTGGATGATCCAGGAGAGTTTCTTATCACGAAGCTAAGGAAACCACAGATGGTGAAGAAAAACCTCACTTAACCCATCCATTTCAACTTCTTCCCCACCAAACATGTTTAGCAGCTCTCCTAATGGCATAAGATGATGCATTTGCATTTTATTCCTTTCTCAACAAAGACAGCCATGTTGTGGAAAGAGTCAGGAGCCTGAATCAGAAGCCTCAGGGCTGGCTCCTACTGTGACTGTGTCAGAGTCTAGTTGCAAAACCTTAAGAAGGCTCCCTAACATCTAGATGGCGACGTTTCCTCCTCTCAAATCACAGGTTGCTGTAGGTTTGACGAGGTAATGGATATAAAAGCATATAGAAAGTACTGTAGAAATAATATAGCTTTTTAAAGCTGTAATTCTTAGAGAACTGACAAGTAAAGGAGTAAACAATAAAAAAAAGCTCGTGCCCAAAGTGTTTCTGACTACAATACGCCTCTGATGCAAAATGCCTAGAGCTTATTCACCACTCACTACCAAAACACCTTTTTGCTTGTATTTATTGTAAATCCTCTGCTTGTTTAGCTTACTTAATCCATATTTTAACAATTGAAAGGCACAATATCAAGGGTAAAATGGGATGACATGGGCGGAAAGACCATCAGAAGAGTAGGAATTTGGGCATTGTAACTTGACCTGCTTTTGTCTCCCTCTTTCCCACTCTATATTGGTTTTGAAAACTAGCTGCCCTGTTACCACCCAGAGGTGGAGACTGGGTTTGGAGCTCTTCAACAAGTCCCATTCCCAGAGCATTGTCATTATTTTACCTGTCTATCAGCTCCCTGGACAAGTCCCATTCCCAATGCATTTTTATTTGCCCTGACTCAGAACTCACTCTGCAGAAAAGCACTTTCCCCAAAGTGTTTGTGGGGGGGGAAAAAAGAAGCAATTGTTCAGCATTTGCAGCTGCTTTAGGGTGCAATACAAGTTGGGGAAAACAAGAGCCTGGCCGAAAACTTAAAAGGAATATTTAGGAAATGAGATGTCCACAGTATTCTTTGAAAAGTGCTGACATATTCTTGGGGATCTACAGTGCCAAGTGCTGGGTTTTGCATATGCCCAGAAAAGATATAAGAGGTCTCCAATCTCCCCTCTGAAAGGATAGGAAGGAGGAAGTTAAGGTTGAGGTAAAGTTGTAAGCTCCCTGAGTATTTAGGGCATGTCCCAAACACAAAGAGATATTCAGCAAGGATAAGGGACATATTGGTTCAAAGCACTTAAGGAAATCTGTGGCCAATCATTGGTTGACCACTAAGATATGCTAACAGAAATTTTAGTGGCCTTATACCATACAGAATATATACTTCACATAATTAGTCCAGAAAAGTCATTTAACAAACAGCAGCAACAACAAAAACAAAATCAGTAAGAAAAACAAACACTGATGGGGTGAAATCTGATTTCCAGAATTGGCACATTATATTATGTTAAATTTCTAGTTTATGAGAAAAGAAAATAATAAGACATGCAAAGTAACAAAAAACCCATAGATAGTTAAAAAAAAAAAAAGCAGTCAATAGAAACTATCCCTGATGGGGGAACAGCTGTCGACAATGACTCTAAATCAGCTAATATACGTATGTTCAAAAGAATAAATGAAATCATCTAGGGAAGTAAAGTTTGACAATACTGTCATACCAGATAAGAAATATCAATAAAGAAATTTAGATGATCAGAAACAAAGAATCAAATAGAAATTCCATGGTTGAAAAGCACAAGTAAAATTCAAAATTCACTAGAGGAGCTCAACAGTAACTTTAAACTCACAGAAGAAAGATGCAGCAAACTTGAAGAGAGATAAAATAAAATTCTTCAGTCTGCTAAGAAAAAAGAATAAAACAAAAACAAAATGAAAAACCATAAACAGGACCTCAGAGACATGTAGGATACTGCAGAGCACATGGGTATGTGCATAGCACGAGCACAGAAGCAGAGGAGGGAAAGAGAGAGTCAAACAAACAAACAAACAAACAAAAAACAGAAGAAATAATGCCTAAAAGCTTACAAAATGTAATGAAAACCAATCTACACATTGAGAAGCTCAATAAAGTCTGAATTGGATAAGCTGGAAGAGATTCACACATAGGCATACGATAGTCAAACTGTTCTAAGATAGAGACAAAGAGAGGATCTCGAAAGCACCAAGAGAAAAATGACACTTCATATACAAGGAATCCTCAATTATATTAACAGTTTGTTCTCACTGCGGATGTTGAAGTGAAAAGGCCAAAGCCAGTGAGGACATATTGAAAGTGCTGAAAGAAAGAGCCATTAACCAAGAATTCTATATCCAGCAAAACTACTTTCAAAATAAATTGAAAAATTAAGAGATCCTCATATAAAACATGAGAAAATTGGTCAGCTGCAGATCTACCCTACAAGAAATGTTAAAGGGATTCCCTCAAGCTAAAATGAAGGACACTTGAGATGGAAACTCAAGTCCAAATAAAAACATAAAGAGCACCAGTAAATGTAACTTCATAGGTAAATATAAAAATAAAGTGTAAATGTATTTTTATAACACTCTACCATGGCATAACGCAACAATTACAAAAAAAATTGATTGGCTGATGATGGTAATTTGTATTACAATAATAGCACAAAGGAAGAGGGCAACAATGAAGCTATATTGAAGCAAACCTTCCCTATACTGTTGAAATTAACCCCAAGTTTGTATTAACCCCAAATATACGTATTGTATTGTATTAACCCCTGATACCAAAACCAGGCAAAGATGTCATGAGAAAAGAAAATTATAGGCCAGTATTCCTTATGAAAATAAATAGAAAAAATTCTCATCAAACACAGTAATATATAATAAAGACTGTACACCATAGTCAAGTGCCATTTATTTCAGGAATACAAGGTTGGTTTTGCATCTGAAAATCAATCAATGTAAAACACCATATTAATAGAATAAAGAACAAAAACCACATTATCACATCAATAAATAGAAAAAGTATTTGACAAAATCCAATATCGTTTTATGATAAAAAGGACTCAACAAACTAGGAATAAAAGTATTCTCTATGTGAAAAAGGGCATCTACCGAAAACCATCAGCTAACATCATATTAATAACAAAAAACTGAATACTTTCTCCCTAAGAACAGAAATGAGATGACTGTGTCAGCGCTTGCCATTTCTATTCAACATTGTTCTGGAGGCTCTAGCCAGGGTAATTAGCAAGGAAATGAAATAAATGCCACTCAGACTGAAAAAAAAGAAATAAAATTATTTTTATTTGCATATCACATAATCTTGTATATAGAAAGTTCTTTGGAATTCACTAAAAAACTATCAGAACTGATAAATGACTTCAGCAACATCGCAGAATACAAGATCAACGTACAAAAATTATTTTATTTCTATATACTCACAAGGAACAATCACAAAATGAAATTAAGCATGCCTGTAGTCCCAGCTACTCAAGAGGCTGAGGTGGGAGGATCACTTGAGCAGGGGAAATCAAGGCTGCTATAAACTATTATAATTCCACTGTACTCCAGCCTGGGTGACAGAGCAAAACCCTGTCTCAAAAAAAAGAAAAGAAAATACACAAAGGAAAGAAAGAGAAAGAGGAAAGAAAGAAAGAGAGAGAGAGAGAGGGAGGGAGGGAGGGAGGAAGGAAGGAAGAAAGAGAGAGAGAGAGAGAAAGAAAGAAAGAAAGAAAGAAAGAAAGAAAGAAAGAAAGAAAGAAAGGAGGGAAGGAAGGAAGGAAGGAAAAATTACATCTGCCAATAGTTTAGACATTCAAAAATAAAATTCCTAGAAATGAATTTAAGAAAAGAACTTCTAGACATATACTGAAACTACAGAAAATTTGAAATAAATTAAAGAAGCTCCAAGTTAATGGAAAGAGATCCTATTTTTATGGGTAGAAAAAAGACTATTGTTTGTTAACATGGCATTATTCTGCATATTGAGCTGTAGGTTCAGTGCAATCCCTGTGAAAATCTCAGCCTTTTTTGTGGAAATTGACAAGCGGATCCTTATATTTATATAAAATTTCAATGGACACAAAATAGCCAAAACCATCTTGAAAAAAAATTAACTCAAAATGGATTATGGATCTAAATGCAAGACTTGAAACTATAAAACTCTTGAAAGAAAATATAGGAATAAATCTTGATGATCTTGAATCAGGCAATAGTTTCTTGGACATGACAACAAAACACAAGCAACAAGAGAAAAAGTAGATATGTTGGATTTCATAAAAATTAAAGATTTTTTTGTTCTATGAATTGAAACCATCAAGTAAGTAACAAAAAAACATCTACACAATGAGAGAAAATATTTGCAAATCATATATCTGATAAGGGAATTGTATGCAGAATATATAAAGAACTGTCACAACTTCATATTAAATAAATAACACAATTTCAAATGAGCAAGTGATTTGAATAAACATTTCTCAAAGATATGCAAATAGTCAATAAACACATAAAAAGATGTTCAACGTTATTAGTTTAGAGAGATGCACATCAAAAGCACAATGATATACCACTTCGCACTCACTAGAATCATTATAATCAAAAGACAGATAATAACAAGTGCTGGTGATGTAGAGAAATCAGAACCTTCATACATTGCTGGTGGGAATAGAAAATGATGCAACACTTTGGAAAACAGTTTGGCACTTCCTGAATGTGTTAAACATAATTACTATATGACTCAGCAATTCTACCTCTACATATATACCCAAGAGAAATGAGAACATATGTCTGCACAAAGATTCTACATAAATGTTATAAGCAGCATTATTCCCCAATGTCCCTCAACTGATTAATGGATAAACAAAGAGTGGTATATAGATACAACAGAATAATGTATTCAACAATAAAAAGAAATGAATAATCCATTCTACAGCATAGATGAATCTTGGAAATATGCTAAGTGAAAGAAGCCAATCACAAAAGACCACTTACTCTCTGGTTCCATTTATAGAAAATGTCCAGAAATGGCACATCTATAGAGAAGAGACAGATTAGTGGCTGTCTAGGGCTGATGGAGTAGGAATGGAATAGGGAGCAATTGCTTATGGGTTGTAGATTTCTTTCGCAGGGTGATGAAATGTTCTAAATTTGATTGCTGTCATCATTTTAAAACTCTGTGAATATACTATATACCACTGTGTACACTTTAAATGGGTGAATTTTATGAAATGTGAAGTACATTTCAAAAAGCTGTTATAAGATAAATCCCCACCAAAACAATACATTAAAAGGGTCCATAAATTGATAAGGGGGAAAGGAAACTTGGGTGCCTAGGCTTTCAGAAAATCTGATTCCCAAAGTGGTTTATTAGGGTGTGATTTTTTTTCTATGAAAGAGAGTTTTTCTACTTTACAAAAACATTCACAGTAAAGTAATGTTCTCTACCTTTGCATACCTATGTGCAGGTGAACACCAGTTAGGCCACTGTCCTCCAGCCCAAGCCCTTAATTCACAGATGACTGCTTCTGCCTCTTCTGAAAGTCCTCCCACTGTACTACAAGAGCTCCATGTTGAATGGTCCAACTTCCCTATCCAGAACTTTTCCAACACTCAGATTGGGATCTAGAGAGGCTCCTGGGGTTGGCAGAGGAATGAGGGCACAGGGGGATGTGATCTGGGTGTTCCTGAAGATAAACATAACACGAGGCCCTGGGGAAGTTGAACAGGGTGTGAGGGGTGGCTGCGAAGCAACCAGTGGGAAAGTAGGACTGGCACAGGAGTGCAGTGATGAAGGCACAGCCTGAGGGGAGGAGTCAGAAGAGAAAGAATGTGGGCCCCATTGGTGACTCGTTGCTGGTAATTCCAAATTGCCTCATACTTTAATTTCATTAAGGAAGATGTCTTTTTCAAGCATCATTTTCCAGAATGGATGATCTGTTTGTAAAGTAGATAACCAATTCCCAGTGTAGTTGGTTTTTAATCTATCAATCAGGGTTGCTTTAAAAGAAATCTTATCTTTAGCCAAGAGAGCCCAGTATTTCCCCCATTTCGGAGGGGGAAAGTGATGCGCTGAGTGTTGTGTTTTCTCAGTTGCTGTAGGACAGGCAGGTGGTGCTCAGGGTGGGCACCTGCCTGCAGGAGAAACTCTGGTTATTGTAACTGAGCTGTTTGTGTGCCCAGTGGAAGCTGACATCTCAGGAAACCAGGCTGGGGACTGGCCTGTCTCCCTTAAGACACCAGCAGTAAGAATAACAGAGAAAGTGAAGGGGCATGACTCAGAAAGCCCTGAAACAGAAATGAACCTATGAGGTTGTCACTTTGTAGATGAGGAACTCAGCCCAGAGAGGATAAGTGACTTGTCCAAGGTCACTCAGCCAGATGGTGACAGATTTGAAATGAACAGCCTGGCTTCTATCTTCCTGAAGATGTGCGGCCCCCAGGGAGGCCAGGTTGTCAACTAACAGGCACATAAGCATGCCTGCACCTGCTCTGGCATGCCTCACACTCAAATCAGAAAACCTGCTGCTTCGACCCGGAAGAGGAAATTAAATTAGCTACTAATTGGTTAATTGGCGACAGGCTCTGTAAGGTGGTAAGGGACAAATTAAGTTGGAGCAAGAAGCATGCGCTAGGCCTGACCATCTTCATTATCGCCGGCAAGGCCATCAGCCAGGCTGTGCCCATCTTCCCCAGGGAAATCTCTTAGAAGGATCCTGTGATCTTTTGGCTGCCAGAGGAGTTATTCCTTTCTCTTCCTTTTTCTCTCTCACATTCGCCACCTTCTCCTTAGTTCCCATCATTTCACAAGCTGTGCTTCTCAGAAATCTAGTGTCAGTAATGTACTGATAAATGTTTAATGACTGGCTCTTTGGGGTGAAGAACTACGATTTGTCTGCTTTCCTTGGGACACCAGCAGTAAAAATAACAAAGAAAGTGATGCATTTAGCAATTCATTTGGTGTAAATACTTCCACTATGGGCCAATTTCAAGGTACCAACATGATATCTACTGGCTTGCAAAGTTCCTGAAAATTTTGACTCACACAAGCTGGCGCCAGCTGTCTCCAACCCACCACTGAGAGTGTGCACAGAGATGAACAGGGCCACAGGAAGGACCTCATGATCAAATGAACAAGTAGGAAATTCTGCATGTTATGTAGACTCTGAGAAGTCCTGCAGAAAAGAAACATATTTAATCTAACTTAGTGCTTTCCTAACATATTTTGCCAGAGAACCTGTGTTTCATAAAACACATATTGAAACCTCCTGGAATACTAAGGTTTCGCTGACTTGAAAATATTATCGTAATATCATTATAGTGCAATTTCTGGGCATGGGAAACATGCTAAGTGCATCAGATGAGACATGTAAGATATAGACCTTTTCCTCAAAGTAACCAAATCAAGATGGCGAATCTCAAGCACAGTCATGTGTTGCGTAAGAACAGGGCTATGTTCTGGGAAATGCTTCATTCGGTGATCTCATCATTGTGGGAACATCACAGAGTGAGCTTACACAAACCTGGATGGTCTAGCCTACTACACACCTAGGCTATGTGGAATAGCCTAGTGCTCCTAGCCTGCAAACCTGTACAGCACTGTACAGGTTGTCATTGTACTGAGTGCTGTAGGCAATGGTAACCCCATGGTAAGTATTTGTATATCTAAGCATATCTAAACATTTAAAAAGCACAGTAAAAATACAGTATCATAATCTTATGGGATCACCATAGTATATGCGGCTGGTTGCTGAGTCAAACATCATTATGCATCACATTACCGTATTAGGTGACTGGTACAGACCACGAGTACCACGAGATTCCAGAAGGTAAACACCACTGCAGGCTGAGACCCATGCAAGGGTGTGGCTCAGCCAGGATAAAGGGTTTCCCAGGCAGAAAGGACTGCTTTGGCAAAGGTGAAGAGGTGCAAATTCTTCTGTATGTTCAGAGCTAATTAGGAGACCAGTGTGACTAGCATCGAGGGGCCAGTGCAGAGAAGTGGGGATGAGGCTGGAAAGATGGGTGGAGACATGATTGGGAAAGGGGCTGAGATGTCTGGAGGAGGAGTGTGGGTATAGGGTCATGGCATGGCAAGGTGGTAACACAGAAGGTTTATATTTTTGGACAACACGATTTCTTGAGGCTTTCCAGTCATTCAGTTTCTTTTTATTTACCAGGTGGATAGAGGTGGTCTTTCTTGACTTGAAGCTTGAAGAATGCCAGAGAAGTCTATTTAGCTCTGCCTATGGGGTCAGGTGGTTCTATCTTCTGACTCTGCATTGGCTGACAAGGATGTGAGTGTCAATATAGGGCGTTTCCCTCCTCCCAGCCCTCTGTGCTGGGCATTTGCTTGAATGCACACAGGGTCACATGTGTCCCTCAAGAGTTTCCATTCATCCACCCTGTGAACATGTATTGGGATGGAAAGGTTAATACTGAATGAGCATTTATTGAACCCTTACTTTATCTCAGGTGCTGCCAAGTACTGGAAGATTTATTTAAGTTTCAAAAAGATCGTAACTGGCCCAGGAAATAGGAGGCTAAGCAAAATGGCACAGGCAAGATTTCTGTTTATGGCTCCCAAAGTGTCAATCCAGTGCTTGGATCCCAACCACACATCTACTGCACTATCTTCTTAGCTTCAGATGCGACGTATGATGTACGCACTTTCTAGTGTATCTTTTGATCTCTAACTTCATCATTGTCCCCAAACAGATTCCAGATGAAGCTGCAAGGGAATAAACTTGGACTTGGTGCCTCCAGCCTGCTGCTCTGTACCCCTTTTCGTCCCTCAGTGGACAATGTGAACATGTAGTACTCACACTTTCCCTGTGCTCCAGGAAAAAATCTGCTCTCAAGAAAATATTTGAAACTTGTTTACTCTAAGATGCACATAAGAGGAAGTATTATAGCTTAAAGTAGCACCTTTCCAGGGTTATTTATATCTTTTTACCTTGAAAAAAACCTCAAAGCCAAAGGATTCCAACTCTAATTTGAGGATTTCAGGCATCTCAGATGATATAAGCAGTAGTATATCCAGGGCACGAGTGACACGTCAGTCCCCCTGCATGCCACAGAGGTGGCCACCTGCCCCATCTATATGAAAAGCTGGCCTTGATCTCTGTTCTCCAGGGCCTGCCATCATCATAACAAGCTCCAAACTCCCATCTCCCTGTGATTCCTGAGAAAAGTTTAGGAGGTAAGAGCATTTGAGTAGACTGAGGATACAGAGAGCAGCAGCCAGGCCATGATCAGAGAGGAAGCAAGTTTGATGAATTTGTCCATAGTCCTGAGTTCTAATCTCAGCTCCATCGGTTTCCAGTTGCCTGACCTCAGGAAAGATACCTTATCTGTAAGCTCAGTTTTCAATCTTTAAAACAGAACTTATCATACCCTCCTCGTAGAACAGTGCCAACATAGTGTGATAATGGGTAATTCCTCATGATGGTGATGATACTCATGCCCCAAGCTTTGCTGGGACACTAAACATCCCAGAGCTGGATTCTCTAAAACCTGGAATATTCCCTGCAGATGATCTTAATTGCAGGCTATTAGTCTTCCCAGCAACATACTCAGGCTGCCAGCCCAAATGCTGTAACTTCACAAGACACCGAAATGTAGGTGAGGGCAATGCTCCTCTCAGGAGAATGCTATACTGGTGGTTGATCGACATTGACAGCAGGTGTGAGGAGACATTTTTGCTGGCCATCCAATATCTCTGGTCCTCTGGTAATTCAAATTACTTTCCAAATGTCACTGCATCTGTCTGAATCTGACAGGTCTTCAAACCAGGGCCCTGTCTCAGAGTTTGAAGACCTGGACATATTCCTGAAGGGGCTTTTGATCTTCATTTCTTTCCATGTGGGAGGGTCCTTTGTCAAACAAAGGCCAGACTCATGAAACCTGCAGACAAAAAACCTAGTGACAGGTAGTCTGGCAGGTGAAGACAGTAACACTTCCTCTGCAGGCATCCGGCTAGTTGGATAAGATACATGACATTCCTGAAAATGAACAGTTGGAAAAATACTTATACTGCTCTTCCAGCCCACTACAGCATCATCCCCACTTATTTTGAAACTTGACTTCTAGTAACTTCCAAGATGTGCAAGCAAAGAAAGCCCTGGATACCTGAAATAACTATTGCATGATCCTACACCAAATTCATGGACTGTATTGCTTGGAAGAAGAACCAAGAAACTCATTCAAGGCCTCCTCACTCCTGCTTAACATAAAAATCTAACAGTCTCACATATTTGATTTCCTAGTCACAGCAAATTGGATGTTGCATGTATAAGACCTACAGGAGGCGGAAGAGGAAAGCTTTAGATAAAGCTCAATAACAGCAATGCGAATTGACAACTGACAGCCCGATAGTAGAGGAAATAAACAAAGTTAAGTGAGAAGAGGCATTGTGGGTGCTGGGCGGTCATAAAAATTAGTCAAGGTCATGCAGAAAGAGTTAAATTCTGGTGTGTATCTAAGAAGGTGAGGAGGTGTAGAATGCATTTTAGAAAGTCTTCCATTCAGAATGGCTAAAATAAATGAAATTTTGGCTTTAGAAAGAACAAGCTTGGGATTTCAGGGAAATTCACTTAAGTGGAACACGGTACTCCCCTGACAGTGGAAGATAAATGAGGCTGCTCTGTACCTGCAAAGGCTGCCACGATGGGCTGGGAAAGTAAAATAGACACCTGTAAACTTTTCAGCAGCTCATAATGTTCTGAAATTTCCCCATATCCTCCCAACAGCAGGCTGGCCTGTGCCCTGCTGGAGGAGTTGCTGTGCGTGCATTGAACAGTAAGGCGAGAGCCTCTCCTTTAATGCCACCTGGCACAGAGACGTGCCAGGCCCCATGGGAACAGATGCCATGAGATACCTTGCTGGGCATGTGGCTTCTGCTTCTCCTCTGCTGTTCCTTCAGCCTTTCACCTCCTTCAGCACAGTGCCCCCAAAGCTGGAGTGTCCATGTTGCTGACAGCTATCGACCATCAGCAGACCCTCAGCATTTACTCATGAGGCAGCAGTTCTCCAGATTCTCAGAGGTTTAACCCAAACACACCCTACTCACACCACTCGCCTTGTAGAGCCACAGCCCCCCATCCAAGCTCCAGCGGTGGCCAGGAGCTATTTTAAGGACACTGACCTAGGCTGGTCTCTTTATGATAGTGGTTGTTCTCAGTGTTAGCTTACATATCAGATCCACCTGGAGAGTGCTTCCCAACCCACCACCACTACTCAAGAATCAGCTCCAGTTGATTTGGGGTGGCCCTAGCATTCGTCTTTTTGAAAAGCTCCCCCATGATTCAAACGTGCAGCCAGGGTTGAGAACCACCAGCCTACACTGGAGCCAGATAGGAACAGATGTGATCTGGGCCCTCCAAGAAAGGCCTCCATGCCCTGATGTGTCTGCCATGTGGGACCGCAACTGAGGTGGAGGCTGGCTTTATTGAGCTACATAAAGGCCTTTAAAATTCATATACTGGCCGGGCACAGTGGCTCACACCTGTGATGCTAGCACTTTGGAGGCCCAGGTGGGCAGATTGCTTGAGCCCAAGAGTTCGAGACCAGTGTGGGCAACATGGTGAAAACCCATCTCTACAAAAAAAAAAAAAAAAATTAGATACTGAGAAGAAGAGGGTAAAGAGGGGAAGAAAAGTGGGCTTGGTGTGTGGGAAAGGGAGTTGAGGCTCTAGAAAGCAGGAACCGTAGGGCAAGGGAAACCTGTAGATAAATGATCCATCAAAAAAGAATTGGCCTGGCAAAGTGACTCACGCCTATAAACTGGTACTATGGGAGGCCCACGAGGAGGATTGTTTGAGGCCAGGAGTTCAAGACCAGCCTGGCCAACATAACAAGACCCTGTCTCTACTAAAAAAAAAAAAAAAAAAAAAAAAAGACAGAGACTATTTGGAGGTGGAGTTTGGGGAGAAGAAGGTTCAGCAAGAGTCACTAAGAGCAGCTGCCTTTGCAAAATCAGGCAAGTATGAGCGGGAAGACATGGCGTCATGGACACTGCCAGGCTGGTAGGCTCAGAAGCTGAACTTGTCGTGCCTTCCCTGCAAGGGAAGGAAGCAGTATGAACCACCAAGTAAGACTTTGCCATCTATGTTACCTGGATCAGGTTGACCTGGCCAGGTCAAGTGGTGCGAGTGAGATGGGCTGAGACTCCCAGGGGCTCCCTCTGGTTACTGGATAGGTGACTAGTGTCATGTAGGCCTGGCCTTATGTGAATCATTTGCATTTTACTTAACAGGGACTTTGTAGGTATAAGGGTACTTTTTCAAAAACTCATATAGCAGAAAGCTCTGCTCTCATCCTAGATGCAACTGATGGCCTCCATGCTCAGACCTACCTGCCCCAGCACCCTGGTATCCAAGTCCAGGGTGTCTTGTAGTCCCACCCAGTCTTCTTGACTTATTTTCACTCCTATCTCCTATCAACAAATGGCTTACATGTCATTCTACATGATGAAATTAATTTAAAATAAGAAAACTGAGGCAAAAAGAAAATATGAGCAGTGAGTGAGATTAGTACCAAACATAGACACTTCTTGGAATTCAATACACCATCAGGGACGGGGCACCAATTTGGTTCAGTGTTTTCTAATCACCAAATGCAAATAAGGAAATGGGATCATGTACACCATTCAGTGTCCACAACATTAAATCTAAACAGTCATTCAAGATAAACATAACCGTTCCTGGAACTGAAACCAGGCAGAAATGCCTCCCCTAGATTCTCGCAAAAGGGACTCTGTGATGTAGTGACTATAACATCCTCAAAGCAGCCTTTTTATAAACATGGCAATGAGTTTCACAGGTCTGTTTTTAAAAACATCTCTCAGGGTAGACTGATGTCATAATATCGAATTGTTGGCCAATTATTAAAAAAAAAATTCTACAGGAGCCAAGCACAAATGTTCTAAGTACCAAAGTCTGGCTTAATTAAAAAGTAGATTTTGGAGAAAGTAGAATGGCTGGACTGGATGATCTTAGTTTTACATGTTAGAAAACTGAAGCTCAAAACATTGTCCAGATGGTTCATATGTCCGTGTCTCCCAATAAAGAAAAGAGTAAGAAAGCAGATGAAGGGGTTTTTGTCTGTACTTTGGTTTTTTCACCAGGCCTGTGTTCTCATCTAGACGATACAGTAGGAGGCAGTTTATTGGGATTAGAAGGCTTTGTTGATGATTGCTACAAGGTCACAAGAAGCCTAAAAGTTTATACCTAGCCAACACCTCCCTGGGACCTTAACCTCAGCCTACCCTTTAGTTAGGTGGTGCACCCCATCCCCTCTCCAACCCCATCCCTGAACTGCTATTCCACGATTGCACTTCACCATGGAGTCAGGTAGACAGCCACTGCCCGGTGGCTCTGGGGTGGCATTCTGCCTCCCCCTGCGTGGCACATTCTACACTCTACACGTGCCTGAAGGTGGCCCCCAGCATTCACCTCAACTGCCTCCCACTCCCTGACCCTTGTTCCCCCTGTGGGCCCAGGAACTCAGAATGTGTCATGGGCTCAGGTGTGGGAGGAGAGTGGCAGTAGGGAATCTGTCTGGGGAAGAGGAAGAAAGAGAAGAAAAACGGCCCCCTCTGAAAGCTTTCCAATCATTCCAGCAGCCACCATCTCTAATTCTTTTCTTAAAGTATAAAATCATTCTTTCACTGATCTCACTCGTGGCCAGAGCTTAGTACAGGCCCATCCGTCACGGGGCTGATTTGGTTCAGCAGGTGTTGGCTGGGCCATCGCTCATTTCAGGCTAATCTGCTAGCGGCTGTCAGGGGTTATGGAGTATTTATTGAGTTTGTGTCAGGTCCGGATGACCAATAGCCAACAGCCGGTGGATACGCACTGACATTGATGATATTGCTGAATTAAACGAGGTGATGTATGCTCAACTTGCCTAGAGCCAGAAATGGACCTTGGGATCATTTTATAACCTGATGCAGATGATCCCAGGGCTTTCCTTTTCAAAGAAAACATGACACACATGGTGTTTCTAGTCAAAGAAAAAATACACGGTCCCCAGTGAAGGGAGCCATGTCTGTATGGAAATGAACAAAAGCATTTCCTGGGGAGACCTGAAGGAACAAATAAGACCCTCACATTTGGCAAACACCCCTCCATGCACTGCCAAGGCCTGTGGGGTTCACAATATTTAGATCTCAGACTTCACCAGAAAAAGACATTAATTGGTGACCCAGGCTCAGGACCATGAACATAAATCTGGTCAGAGTCTGCCTTTGGTGGCCACAAGATGTCACAGACTAGAGCACTTGAGTTGAAGTCAAGCACTGCATTTAAAGCCCACCTCTGCCATTTCCTAGCTGTGGCTTTGAGCAAGTACATACACTCCTCAGAGTCTTAGGTTTTTTAATGCAAATAGGATAGTGATACTAACAAAAGAGCCAACATGAGGTCGTGTGGGACGCTGCGTGCGCTAATACCCACAGATGGTTTCTTACATTTGTTCTCTCTTTCCTTTTCTTCTCCTAGAACCACGCCTCTCTCCCCGACCTCAACCATCTCCAAAGCAAGACATTACCTTCTCTACCCTTGCTGCCTATGCCAACAGTGATGGGGGTATTGCCCCAAAAGCCCATGGGGGCACCACATTCGCATGAGCAGAATTTGGCATAAAGTGTCTGGCTTAGACCTCCTCCAAGAGGAAGGATCTCAGGAGTTAGCAATTCCACAGTCAGTCCTGTGGCCTGGCCCCAACATCAAGTCTCTAATGCCCTCATAGGAAGCGAGTAGGGGCAGTTGCTCCTTGCTGAGAATCCGAGCAAGAGGATATGTGATCGATGCTTGGTGTCTGCCACTCTGAGATATTGAGCAGTTCACTTGCACTGTCTGGGCCTCAGCATCTTGTCCTGGTAAATGCCCCCATGAGAGTGGCTGATCTCCAAGCTCCCATTGGTCTTACTATCCAGGATTTGTGACTAATTTGGGAGAAGCTCCTCTCCAAGGCCACCACTTCCTCCTTTAGGAGAGGCTCTGGGCTCTGGCAATGAGGTGGTCCCTGCCTCTCAAAAGGTATATCAACAGGGGAGGCTTTCCAAAGGGCCAAGGTGTGGAGGAAATCAGGATTCAACATGTTCTCACTGCCATGACTAGCAATAGCTGCCATTTATTGAACACCTACTCTGGGTGCCAGGCACCAAGAGAATGGTTTTCTCCATTTTGCAAACAGAGATACTGAGGCTTCAAGAGATGAAGTGAGGCAATGAGGCCACACATCTGGAAAGAGACACAGCCAGGATTTGACTCTCAATTCCTCGTCTCTGCGGGTGGCAGGCTGCCCACTGATCTACCCTACCCAAGAGACACAGGTGACCCACATCACACTGAAGTATCAGCCGGTCTCAGATTTGGCATTAGAGCAATGCCTCCCTTCATCCCCAGGCATTCTGGAAAACTGCTAAGAAGCATAATGGAGTGTTTTACACTTCCCCTCCCACTCCAACACTCCTCCCCTCCCGTCTGCCCCTCACCACAGAAAAGGAGAGAATTAAACACAGGCAGTGAGGGAGGAAAGAAAGGACAGGACCCTGCACAATCGTCCCCCAAATAATCGATGACTGCATCCACAAGTACATATTAATCTATCACATATTAATAGAAATGACTGATGCACAGTGTGTGTGTGTATATATATCTACAAATCTACCACACACACACATGCACGCAAACACACGCACGCACGCACATGCATGCATACCCCTTAGATTGCTAGGTGCTCTTGGCAAGTAGGTGACTAGCTCTCTGATGCTTCCCTGTGATGGAAATTGAATTTAGGTTACAGAACATCATCTGGCCCAATTGCCACTGAATTATTCCACACAAAATATCAAAGTTAATTTTTGGGCCTGTCAGCCCAGTTGATGAGTTGGGCGGCTGTCAGCCCGGCTGCGCCTGCCTTCAGTGCCAGAGAAGAGTCTGAAAGTCATGCAATCCAAAACAGCGACCTTGGCGGGGGACGGGGGTTAGATTACCAGGATGATTAAACGCCAAGGAGAAGGTTCCGGAGTCAGGATTTGAATACCTGTTTACATGTAGGATAACAGATAGCCGCCCACTGACGGCAAGGTTGTAACTCACTCCCGGGAGGGCCGCCGCCACCATAAAACATGAAGGCCCCGCTCGGGAAGTCTGTGCCCTGGCAGCCAGGCCTGGGAGTGATTTAGGGCCCCGGATCCATTCTGAGACTATCTAATCTATTGTCTTTTATTACATGCACTACTCAGTCTCTCTCTCTCCTTCTTGCAACTTTTTTTTTCCTCCAAGAAGCATCAGCAATCTCATCTCCCTTAAAAAGAATGCTACTGGAAAGTGCTAGCTTAATTCAAAGATAGTGAGGGTTCTTTATGCCATAGTCCCATTAAAAAAAAATCCTAACTGTTCCCACTGTATAAATATGTATATTCCCTCCCAACCCCGCAGATCAACCAGGCCTTCTCCCCTGCCTGTCCATCCCAATGAGCAAACCCATCCTTGCTTCCACCTTTACCTCCGCCTGAAAATTCCCCTTCACCAAAAGCCAGCAGGGCCACTTCTTTGCTTCTTCTCTGACTAATTGTCTTGGGCCATCTGATGTTGAAATAATCCATAATTGCTTAATCTATCCGCGTCTGTGTGGCAAGAAACGGAAAAGCACTTTAGAAAGATCAATCATCTAAAATCATTGAGCAGCATATTGGAAGCAGGGTCGTCGCCTGCTCCCAGCTGAGAAAATGATGGTGGTAAGAGATAAAGGCTCGGAGAAGAGGCTGTCTCTGTCTCCATAGCTTTTTGATTCCGAGATAGATTACCAGGAGCACTAACTGCTCTCCGTTTGTGCTAAACAAAGATAATGGCATTGGAAGTCACAGCCACATAAATGATACGACAATCAAATAAGTGACCCCCTGCCCCCTCATCTCCTGCCGGCACTAGCACACTAATAGATGAGGCAGCACCGTGGGAGGAAAAATCTTTGCCATTGGGACCTTGATCACCAGGGACCAAGTGGAATAGAGAAATCTGAGTTCCTAAACAGCAGGAAAAAAAAATGCAAAAGGCTCTGTATACTCTCTATACATAAGAGAAATTCAGGCTGGAGAAAGCTTGGTGGAATAAGGTCAAATCTCTTATGTGAATCAAATTAGTGGCCGTTCAACTAGTATTACAGCACATTAGCCTGTGGGGACTAGGGAAACGCAACTACGTATTTTCAAGATTATGCATCTCTGCCAGGTCCTACCTCCTTTGCATGCACTGTGCCCTCCTTGCATGCACAGTTGATGTACTGTTCTTTTTTGCTACTGTGGTGGTGGCAGCTAAAACCGTAGCTGCTTCCCAGAGCCCTGGCCTTACAGAAAACTTACCCCTAATTGTCGGGTACTTCCCTTCCTCTGCAGAAGAAAAGCTGCCAGAAAGAGCCACATTGTCAAGGTAAGAAAGAAAAACCAGCACACTAAGTCTCCTCTCACACATTCCTGCTGCTGGCCTGACCACAGAAAGGCGGTTTCAGGCTCAGTGAATGGAGACAGATTCCCAGAGGCTAAGAAACACATCAGAAGTCACCAGAATCAGACAGTGTAGATGTGCAGCAAAGTTGAAAGAGCAGAGGCTTAGATATCGGAAGAACCCAGTCCACACCCTACCTGTACCCCTTCACAGCTGCTTGAGTAATTTATTTATTTATGTATTTATGCATTTATTTTGAGACAGATTCTCCCTCACCCAGGCTAGAGTGCAGTGGCGCAATCTCGACTCACTGCAAACTCTGCCTGCTGGGTTCAAGCAATTCTCTTACCTCAGCCTCCCAAGTAGTTGTAATCACATGCACGCGCCACATGCCCAGCTATTTTTTGTATTTTTAGTAGAGACGAGGTTTTGCCTTGTTGGCCAGGCTGGTCTCAAACTCCTGACCTAAGGTGATTCCCCTGCCTCGGCCTCCCAAAGTGCCGGGATTACAGGCATGAGCCGTGGCGCCCAGCCTGCATGAGTAATTTAACTTCTCTGAACCTCAATCTTTGAGATACTTCCCAATGACATTGTGAATTTCAGATCTTGTATTTTAAATAGATGACAAATTATAGGCACTTCTGAAAGTAGTTATTGTAATTAAATTATTTCATCCCTGAAAAGAACCATATGGGGCAAATATGATTATTCTCCCCAACCTACAGATGAGAACACTGAGGTATGGAGAAGCTTAGTAACTTGTCCAAGGACACACGAGTCTGCTTTTATGTGCTACAATTACCATAATCATTCATGATAAGGGCTAGCCTCCTTCTCTCGTCCAATAAGACTGACTTGATTGGGAAGGGAATGAGCAATCAAGGCTGATTCTCAAGATTCCCTGGTGAAGGGAAACCTCACATTTGCTGTCTTTGTCAGGGGCTGCTCCAGCCACATGAGGTATGAAAGTAGATTCCAGAGGAGTCCCAGCTGCTCCCAGGCTCTGAGCCATGGTGCAATGGGCACAATCAGAGCCCAACTGTTTTCTACTTAGCACTTTGCCCCACCTCTCCCTCTCTCTGTGGTAGCACAACTCCAGCTTCCCCATCTCCCAGGCCCACAATCCCAAATAGGTGGAAGATGTTTGCCAGGCAAAGTCCATTGTCTAAGGAAGGATATTTGACTTGCCTCAGGACTGGCAGTGGGCTAAGAGTGGCAGTGACTGAAATTATTTATGACACGCTCTCCCTCCATGGCCCTCGCCCCCATCCTGGGGTGAAGAGGAATTAGATGTAGTGAAGGGGCACAAACACAGCCGAAGAACTTGCTGACTTGCCACGAAGGGTTTGTAGACAGCCCGCAAGGTGGGGAGAAAGGAATGACGTGGAATGGCAGAACAAGCTGGAATTCCACTTTGGGACTAAAAGGTAGCAAAGTCAGAGCAGCAGAGCAGTGGGCTATGCTCTGTCCCCAGTGCTTCAGCTCTAGGTAGAATCTAAGCTGAGAACTGAAGTCATAGGTTCATGGTGTGCACATCCCTTCCCCCTGCACCTTCCTCTCCCTCCATAACACACACACTGCCCACACTATACGCCTGCTGGAATCAAAACCAGCAAGCCAGCCAGGCGCGGTGGCTCACTCCTATAATCCCAGCACTTTGGGAGGCGAAGGCAGGAGGATCACCTAAGGTCAGGAGTTCGAGGCCAGCCTGTCTAACATGGTGAAACTTTGTCTCTACCAAAAAATGAAAAAAAAAAAAATTAGCTGGGCATGGTGGTGCATGCCTGTAATCCCAACTACTAGGGAGGCTGAGGCAAGAGAATCGCTTCAACTCGGGAGGTGGAGGTTGCAGTGAGCCGAGATTGCGCCCCTGCACTCCAGCCTGGTGACAGAGGAAGACTCCATCTCAAAACAATAATAATAATAATAATAATAATAATAATGATAATAATAACCCTGCAAGCCTATCAAGCAGTCAGACTCAATGTGCATTTACTTGAGGGGTGGCGAGCTCATCGCCTGGCAGCTTTCTGAAATAGCCCTTCTCTCCTGAGACCAGTCAACAAAGGCGATTTAGAACCTGAGTTGCCTGGGTGCACAGTGGGTGCACCGTGCCTGTCGCCTAACAGGCACTTCATAAGTATTTTATGAAGGATGTAAATGCATGAGGTATCTAAGACAGACACCACTTCTTGGTATCAAGAAAGCAGTAAGGGAAACAAAGCGTGGCAGAGGTGACTGAGCCTAGGGGGGCCAGTGATAAGAAGATGGCAAGATGGACACTGGAAAGAGGAAGTCAGGAAGTAGAGTGACTATGAATGCGCATTGTCAGCACATCAGGATGAGGGTCCAGGTGAGGGTGGCAGGTGATGGAAGCAGGTGAGACACCCCTGGGGGGAATAGAACAGTGGATGGGAGCTGAAGAACCAAGCACTTCACGGCCCAGGGGGATGTGTCCTGGAAAAGATATAAAGATGTACAGGAGGGAAGCCCAAGGGATGAGGAAAGGGGTTGGGGAGGAATGAGTTTTCAAAGCCCACGGAAATACAATAGGTTGGGGAAAGACACCGTGGCAGCAGCTCCCACTTTGACTTGGCTCTGGCCAAAGAATAGAGAGGCAGCAACCACAAAACATCACCCCAGAGTCCTATTAACTCTTGACAAGGTGTAACATCTTCTCAAATTCTTTGAATGTGAGAAAAGACAAACAGAAAAATGGAGACCAACCTATCTTGCTTTCAAGGGAATGTGAATTCCGTGTTATCTCATAACATTTTTTATTAAGCAGACAATGAAAAGTTTGCATTTAAATGAAAGTTGTTTTCTAGAATGATGCAAAGTTGCACAGCAGGGGGAACCTCTCACTTCCCTTTGCTCTGGAAATTCTGTCTCACTTGATGGGATCTTGGGTTAGTGACTAATGAAGTTCATTCTCTGAAGAGGTTCTTGCCTTTCAAGCCTATCAAATATTCTTATTTGCTTAGGCTGACCACAGCACTATGAAATTCCAAATAGGAAGAGATCTGCAGCAGCAACAGAAATAACAAAATATCTAGGAGACATCAACAAAAGCTGTACATGATCTTACAAAGAAAAACTTTATAAGCTTTGTTAAGGAAAAGAAAAGGATTATTGGGAACATGAGAAAAGGGAAAAGGCATCCCATTTTTCATGGATAGAGTGATTAATATTATAACAATACCAGTTTTAACCAAATTAATCTAAATTCAAAGCAACCTCAAATAATATTTCAGCAGAACTGTTGTCAAAGAAATAGCCTTATTTTTAAACTCTGTAGAAAAATAAGAGTTCATAGATAGCTAAGTCAGTTTTGATAACAAAAAGAACATTTAAAATATGTGTTACAATAGAAACAATAGGCCAATAGAATCCTGGGAAGCAATAAAGGGTTCAAAAAAATGCTTATGTGCACACAGAAACACAGTATATCCGAGAATGTTACCGCAAACCAGTGGGAAAAAATGGATTTTTAAATAGATGTTATTGGGAAATTACTACACTCTATGCATGGAAAGAAGCTGTTAGATACAATAAAATATCTATATAAAGTAAAGATCTAAATAGGAAAGATGGAACTACAAATATAATTTTTAAATAAAAGAGAACATTGTTTGCGATGTGGGGTGAGCCTTATTTTAAAATAAGGCTCCAAACACACAAATCATAATGTAAAAATATTTTCTGAATTCAAGTGCAATATTTCTATTTCATGAAAAATGTTATAGACAAAATAAGAAATAGGGAGGGGAAAGGATAAATGTTCGATGTTAAAAGCTAGGAAACAAGTTATTCCCTAGAATATACCAGCAATTTTCACAAATCAACTAGAATATAGGAACCCAATATGCAAATGGAAAAGGGTTTAAGTAGGCAATTCACAGAGGGGAACTCCCAATGGCTGGCATATACAGAGATAGTCAGATAACTGTGTCGGATAACAATCAGATGACTGTAAACTAAAATAACAGCGAGAGACCACTTTTTGACCACCCAAATGTCCAAAATTTAAAAATTGGGTAATCAATGTTGGAAAGATATGGAGACACACAAACCCTCGTGCATTTTTGGTGGACATGTAACACTGGCATCTATTATGGAGAACAATATGGCAGTATTTAGCAAAAGTAAAAATGCATGTACCCTAAAATCCGGTAGTTCTTCTGCATTTTAATCATATAAGTAAAAAGCAGCAGGAAATTTCGGACAACTTAAAGAGTTCACCGTTCGGGAATTGGACTGAAGTGATGAATGTATACCTACTGTGGAATACTGTGCATCAGTTAAGAGCAATGGACTTTAGGTACACAGTAATACAAACAAATCTTTTAATACAAAGTGTTGACTCTCACTTCTGGATGGAATAGAGCAGTTAGGGACAGGGCACACTCCTGCAGAGAACAACTGGATCAACCAAAATGATCAACACAGACAATGCCAAGTTCTGGTGGTATCACTTTGAAAACATTTTGGTGATATTTAACAACAATTGCACTCCCAGGTATGTACTCAACATGTGTGTCCACCACAAGAATCTGTAACATTGTTCATAGCAACACTCATTATAATTGCCCTAAACTAGAAACAACTCACATACTTATCAAGAATAGAATGAATAAATACATTTTGGTATATTCATACAATTGAATACTACACTGCAATGAGAATAAATAAACAGTTTGAATTAATCTCACAAATATAATGTTCAGTGAGATACGTCAAATAGCAAAGATAGCAAAAGCAAAATTTTATTTCTGTGGAATTCAAAAGCAGGCAAAATTAATCTATAATGTTAAAACCTAGAATCATGGTTTCCGTTGGCAGGCGAAAGTCTCCAATTAGAAGGGGATGGAGGAGTGGTCTGGGGTTCAGATCATACTCTGGTTCTTTATCTAGTTGCTGGTGAACTTTCTTAACTTTGTGAAAATTCACTGAGCTGTGCCCTTTGAATTTGGGCAATTTTCTTTATGTGTATTATATTACAATAACAATTTACATAATAAAAAACACAGTGCTGAGTGGCATACTAAGAAACAGAATTAATTCAACTCTATAAACCTAAAGCTATTTAAAGAAACAAAAATGAAAGACCAAGGAATAAGAGAGGAAGGAAGGAAGAGAGGAAAGAAGAGAGGAAGAGAGGAAGGGAAGAAAGGAGGAAAGAAGGAAGGAAGGGAGGAAGGAGGTGGGGGGGAGAAAGGAGAGGAGAGGAGAGGAGGAAAGGGAGGGAGAGAGGAAGGGAAGGAGAAAGGAGAGAGGGAGGAAGAAAGGAAAGAAAGAAGGGAGGGAGGGTGAGAGAAAGGAGAGAGGAAGGAAGAAAGGGAGGGAGGGAAGGAGGGAAGGAGAAAAAAGGAAAGGAAGAGAAAGAAGAAAGAAAAAAAGGGGGAACAGAAAAAGACCCCAGCACATTTGACTTACAATGGCTATTTTAGTCTGCAGAGTCTTCTATCCAAGAGTTATTTGACTACATCTTTTAAAAAGCTGGGGATGGGAGGAAGGTCAGAAGGGGAGTGTTGCTTGGTTTTTCTACAATTGATACAGCAATGTAGGCCTTGTGGACTCATTGCTGGATGCAGGCATGTCATTTTTCATCACAAACCTCATATCCCTTTCTTAGTGCATAGTGGGAAACAGAGTCTCATTTAGCATGAAATGGCCTGCCGCAGGCTAAAGAGTCATTGATTCCCAGAAAATACACTTCGTTTTGGGTGTTCTGATTTTTGGTCATGGTTCTGTTTTATTCCCTTTGACCTGGAAGACTTAATGGATATCAAAAAGCTTCCCAGACAGGCCAAAGCTGCATTTTGAGCAGGTTTTTTGGAGTGTGGGCTTTTAAGACTGGGGGCCGTATTAATATCCATCAGCTTTGGCTCTTCCACTTTGAAATCATTGTCTATTTCCAGTCAATGCCCAGCCCCTTCAGACCACTTCAGTAAAGTCACAAATATGAAGATAAATGTGCCCTGAAAGTCTCACACGTGAAGATGGAAAACTCAAGCTTTGGAAACCATAAATATGAACTGCAGTATATCTAAACCGGATCATAATTCTTCTTGTTTTCTATTTATAAGGAAGTCTTAAAAGTGCCAAATTTATCAAATCATGTTTTGCTTCAGATATTTCCAACTATTTTCCTAGAAAGTAATTGCTCACCTGATAAATTTCCTGTCTCTTCTTTAAAACCCTTTTAGCCACCTCCTCGCCTTCACTCCCTGGCCAAAATGAGTTGTACTTCTGTACCACGCTGTCTGCACACGTCTAACATCTATCATTCTGCACACATCTCACTATATTAAAACAATGTGTGGTTGGATGACTGTCTCACCCACTGGACTATGAAATTTCTGAGGGCAAGACTCCATCATATTCATTTTTGTAACATCTAGCACCCAACAAAATAACTAGTATTTGATAAGGACTCATGAATATTTGCAACATCTTCACTTGCTGAACTGATTGTGAAAGTGACTATCATTCGTGTGGCTTAATTCAGATTTTAAGAATGGAGTTCAGGCTGGAGGTTAAAATAGTATGAAGGTTCTTTATGCTAAGGTTATGAAAGCAGATACCACACTCCCACTACAGGAACTGTTCTGTAAACACAGAACAGATCTCTCTCTCTCTCTCTCTCTCTCTCTCTCTCTCTCTCTCTGTCCCCCCACCCCTCTCCCCACTCCAAAGTCTCATCTCTCTTCTCCTCTTGATCTCCAGATACTTCTTCAATTCTTTTTTACTTATTTAATTTCCAAAACTTTTTTGAGAAAAAAAGTTATGCCATTGCCAAGAATTTTACTCTCATTAAATCCCCTGTCACTCAGCAAATTGCTTTACACAGCCTTGGTTTATATATCAAATTTGCCTCCTTTTAGAATGCCTTCCTTACTGTATCCAGTTTCATGGCAACAGAGCTAGATGGTGCAATAAAGTGCTATTAGTTGATCTAATGACTTGAGCAGTTCAAGATTTGCATAAAAGTACTTTTATGTGTTACAGTACGATATTGTTAGCAGAAGACTTGGGCTGCAGAAGTCCTGACTCTGATACTCACCAGCTCCATGATCTTGAGCAATTGCTGAGGCTTTCTGAGTCTCAATTACTGATTTGTAAACTTGGAGTAAAAATGAGTAAAATGAGGTACAGCATTGTATCTAATAATAACTATGCTTCTGATAACAGCCATCATTCATTCACATGACTTTGCATGCCTAGCCTCGACAAAGGAATTTGTATGACAATAATACCATAATGTTATAGTATCGAAGTACACTCCATAAACTCTATGGTGTAACTAACAAGTGTAAAAACCTGTTCCCTTGTGGTTGGATCCAACAACACACTCAATTACACCAGTCAGGGATTCTGGTGGTCAATGGGAGGGAGTTCTCTCTTCCACCTCATTCAGTCGGAGGAGAAACAGATGCACCATTGACCACCTGTCCTTCTGGTGAAAAACTTCATCGTGCTCTTGAGTGATCATTTAGCCAAAATGATTTAACCATATGCTTCTCTGGAAGTAGCCCCCATATTTGCAAGTCAGAATGGCACATAAGCTTCCCTGTGAGACACAAGGATTTTCCAGCTCCTCTCTCACTGGACTATGCAGACACGCATCCTACCAAAAATACAGTTTTCAGATGCCAGTCTCAACAGGCGTGGGCGTGTTTGCTTGGAGCAGATGCTGAACACCATGTGACAGAGAGAGGAAAGACCAGGCTAATCATGCTCCTGACATGATGTTTGCAGAGATCTAAATTCACTTCTCAGTCCTCTGCAATTGGCCTGGGCATTCTTACGGCTGCTTTGCTTTTAGCCGCAGCTAGAGGCATGGGTGACTTCCAGCCAACCAGCCCGGGGAGAAGATTTAAGTCACTTGACAGCAGCCTGACCTACAGCCAGAACATGCTCCACTATTAGGCCCACTCTTTAATTTAATTGGTGACCATACCAAATAGAGATCCCAGAATCACCAGCCACCCAATGATACAATGTTACAGCGTTTATGAGCTCCTACTATGAAACAGTTACCAAGAGAGGCACTAGGGGATACTGACAAAGTCAGCCCTGTTTTCTCCCTTCCAAAAATATGTCTAAAAATCCGGGGGCCAGGCATGGTGGCCCACACCTCTAATCCCAGAACTCTGGGAGGTCGAGGCAGGTGGATTGCTTGAGGTCAGGAGTTCGAGACCAGCCTGGCCAACATAGTGAAACCGCATCTCTACTAAAAATACAAAAATTAACCAGGAGTGGTAGCGCGTGCCTGTAATCTCAGCTACTCCGAAGGCTGAGGCAAGAGAATAGCTTGAATCCAGGAGGTGGAGGTTGCAATAAGCCAAGATCACGCCACTGCACCATCATTCTTTTGAGTGCCTCCTGTAATCATCAGTCTACTGGGTATTTTGCATTCATGATCTTATTAATTCTCCCAACAACTCTTTAAAGCTGAACATTATTGGCCACATTTTGGAGGTTAAAAAAAATCTAGGGTTCAGATAGACAAAGAAATCCGTCCAAGTTAACACAATAAGTAAGTGGCAGAACTAGGATTCAACCCAGAGCTGTCCTGCTCAAAAGCACGCTGGGTTAGAGGGAAATCACATACATTATTTGAGAAAGGGCATGATGATGGGGGCCTGTGGATGTGCCTATAAAACCAAGAACTCACCCATCACTTAGGCAAAAGGAAACCAGTTTTCACTTGAGGATTCACAAGGAAAAAATACAAATGGGCAGATTGTTAATCCTGGATGAAAAAGAAATTGAATAACTCACAGCCTTGATGATTCCTGAACTCACTGGGATGAGTAAGGAGAGTTCTTCCTCTCCCCAGGACTGACAGTGACAAGAGGGGTGAGGATTTTCTTTTAAATTCAACATTTTCTGAATCATCTTTCTATTCCCCACTGCACCTTGCAGCAGGCTTTGCAAATGTTAGGTGCTCAATACATATTTGTGGAAGGAAGAAAGGAGGGGAGGAATAGAGAAAATTATTTATGGAATGGCAAGAAAGAGCAGCAGGAAAAACAGAAAACAGCGTGGGCTCCAAGGGTTCATCACCCTTTCTCCAGGAAGCCTTCATCTGCAGCTCCAGTCCTCAACTTTTCTTCTTCTAATCTGCTCATAACTTTATTTCAGCAACATCCAGTTGTTTATTAGCACACACCAACTTATGTCTATTCCAGTATTTAACAAACAATAATTCACTGTCTATAGAGGATACTGTTATGTGATATCCTTTTATGCAGCTCTCTGCCTGTGTCTGCCCAATTAAAATGTAAAGTGATAATGGAAGGGAAATCTATTTTATTCTGCTCTATATTCTTCCTGTGCCCTTAGGGTAATCCTCCATTTATAAAAAGGGCTTAGCAAACATTGGCTTACAAAACCAGCTTCCTTCTATGGGGCACTCTGTAAATCCTCCTAAAGACCAAGTGTTCTATTATCCACTGCTTGCTTTGGACATCAGAAATGAATCAACCCCACCTGACCCAGGCCCAGATGATGCTCACCTGGCAGAATATGGAAGCTCCCCTTTAAAGTGCTCTTGAGCGTGGCAAGGTAACCACAGGAACATGCTTCCTAATCATTACCCAAATGCCTCAATAAAGCGTCCTCAGGAGGGGCCCAAACTGGAGCTCTAGCCTGTTTCCTTTAAGTGAGAGTGAAGCCTGGCTTTGAATGCAACAAGAGTTCCTTGAAGCTTGAAGTGTTCAATTTTACTCTGCCATGCCCCCAGTATAATCCATTGAAAGGGCACTGTCCTTCAGGCCTTTCAGCTGGGCTGACAGCTGCCCGCTGATTAATTGACAGGTTAAAAAGATTGATTCCACATGTCAGAGCTGTAACCCTGCCAGAACAATACAGCTGTCACTTGGGCTGTAAAACAGACGCTTACATTAGCAGTCCTGACAGAGCCGCGCATGGACACATGCACCTGCCTTTACGGAGAGCCTAAACACACAGCCACGCTGAGATTAATCATCTTGAAAGCAACCCTGGAAGACCAAATAAATGTTTCCATGATGGAAATAGTGGTAGCAATGTCGCCTTGTCATGTTCTTGATCTGCAGATGGTGCCCAGTGGGCTCGCCAAGAATGTGGGAGGCAAGGTGGGGCTTCAACAGTTGTTTGTTGTCACCGCCGGCACCTCTAAGCCCCAGTCCTTTCAACATGCACTTGCATGCAGTTCCCCATAGCCATAGACAGAGCCCCACCACTTGCCTAGAATTCTATCTCTCAGCACAGGGCTCAGTCTGTCCAGGCCAGTAATACACAAACCCCAACCCTAACCCTAACCCTAACCTCAGGCCACCATCATGCCAACATGTTTGTGGAATGATTATTAAAAACTTGCTTTCATGAATGCGTGCCCCTAACACACCAAAAGACTGAAACGTGGGCCTGTCAAAAACAGGGAGAGACCCCAGCAGCCTGGAGACAATGATCTTCCAACCAGGAAACATCTGGGGATACAGAGGACATCTGAACACACAAAAGTTTTTCCAAAGCCTTTGCACACATTTGAATTGCCTGTGAGCAATTTCAAAAGAGAAATACCCCAACATCCTTCTTCTCTATTTTAAATCTGAATAGCTTGAAATTGTCACTAGATAATTCAAGTAGTTGGACTAGACAGTACCCAGGGAGAATTCCTCAGGACAATGCTGGGTCAGCAGGTCTCTGGAGTTAAACACGAAACCAGATCTCACATTCCTCTCAGAGCCTGGTGCCATCAATCTCTACCCATCTCCCTCCAAACCTGTGCTGACTGTCACAAAGATGCCCAGTGTGGATAAGGGAGCTGCTCTCCAGGTGACCGTCCTGCCCTAGGGCAGCAGTAACAGCCCATGGTCAGACTGATATCCCCACCTGGGTCTGGTCAGAGCCCCCAATCTAGGGTATTGTAATTTACAAATTTCATATACTCTAAATACCCTATAATTTTCCACTCTGAAAATGGTGTTTCTAGAATAAAGGGAAGATTCCTGTTAAAGGTTTCAATGAAAATTCTCTGAGTCCCAGAGAGTAGTGGTCCCAGACTTAGCTGCATACCACAATCTTCTAAGAAATCTTTGAAAAATTCAGATACTAGACCTCATGCTAGGGCTAGTGAATCAGAATTTCCAGGTATAGGTTCTAAAAATCTATATTTTTAATAAGTTTCCTAGTTGATTCACAGCAGACATGCATTCGATAACTACAGCTCACAAGTCCACTCAAACTAAAGACAAGGTCTCACCTGGCAACCTCTCTTCTACAAGAGGACAAGCCTCTGTCAAAAGGACTCTGGGAACATTTTTGTTGCCAAAAGTCCCAGGGAACTTTCATGCTATGAAACACAGGGTGGAAAATTATCAGTATCATGGAAGTACTGCAAGGTAGATAATAGAGAATACCTATATACTATCTATTAGTAATTTAAAATAGAATGCTTTCACAGCTTTTGGACAATTTTCTAAAATATGAAAATTCAGTTTTGATAAATAGTTTTCTAAATTAGGTCATGTACATTGCAAAGGTAATATATGTTCATCATAACACATCAAAACATATGAAAGTTACGTTTAAAATATTAATATTCCCTCTCCCCATTCCCTAATCCAACCCATTCGGGTAAGCAATATTAATCCCCTGGTGTGTGTTCTTCTGTATCTCTCTGCCTGCTCATATATGCACATACAAACACATACAGACCTATATAGGATATGGTGGTTAATTTTTTGTGTCAATTTGACTGGGCTTAGGGATGCCCAGATAGCTGGTAAAATTTCTGGGTGTGTCTGTGAGGATGTTTCTAGAAGAGATCACGTTTGACCCAGTAGACTCAGTCAAGAAGATCTGCCCTCGCCAAGGTAGCGGGGGCATCATCCGGTCCTTTGAGGTTCGGGATAGAACCAGAAGGCAAGGGAAGGGTGAATTCACTTGCTCTTCCTAAGGTGGAACGTCCATTTTTCCTGCCCTTGGACATCCAGGTTGTGGGTTTTGGGACCTTCAGACTCATGGACTTTCACTGGCAGTCCCCCAGACGCTCTGGCCTTCAGACTCAGAATGAAATACACCAGCAGCTTTGCTGGTGCCTCCACCTGCAAATGGCATTGGGTGGAACCTCTCAGCTTCCATATTCACAGGAGCCAGTTCCTGTACTGATTCTCTTCTTCTATATGGAAATATGTCATGTTTGTTCTGTTTCTCTGAAGAACACTAACTCGTATGCATGGTTTGGGGTCTCTTTCTTTTTGTTTTTTTTTAATATGGTCATAGTGTACATATTACCCTGCCACTTCTTTCGGGAGAATGCATTTTAAAATACACCAAAAAGTCATAAAAAGCTCTTGTCATTGCTTCCTTCCATCCTCCAGAAACATCTCCCTACTCTTTCTTGTTCCAGCATGTTAAAGGACCACAGCTACTTTCCAGTGGGCTCTGCAGATGTCCTTCCACGTGGCATCCACTTTTCCCACCGCAAAGTCACAGAATTGGAGAAGCTGTAGATAGATCATAAGCCAGGAACACAGTTACTGCTTCCCCTTTGTGTGAAGGCAAGCAGAAGATGATAAAAAAAAAAAGGAGAAAACCTACCCATTTAGTCTTCAAAAATAACCAGTCAATAACTACATTGAAATAGAGAGGTAGGTTGGTAATCGACAGAAAAAAAAAATGCCTGTCTTTAAAAAAAAAAAAAATTTATTGAGATATAATTGACTTACGACAACACATCACATATATTTAAAGTATACAATTTGATCAGTTTTGACATATGCACACATTCACAAAACCATCATCACAATCAAGATAGTGAATATGTCCGTCACCCAAAAAAGTTTCCTCAATCCCCTCTGTAATTTTAAAGTCCAGATCCCCAGGAAACAGCTGATCTGATATCTGCCACCCTGGATTTGTTTGCATTTTCTATAATTTTAAATAAATGGAATCATACAGTGTGTGTTCTTTTTTGATCTTTTACATTTTACTCGGCATAATTGTTTTGAGATTCATTCTGCTATAGCATATATCACCAATTCATTCTGTTTTATTGCTGAGTAGTATTCTATTATATAAATATAACACAGTTTGTTTATCTATTCATCTGTTTATAGACACTTGGGTTGTTTTCAGTTTTTAGCTCTTACAAATAAAGCCACCATGAACTTTATTATATACAAGTGTTTGTGTGATGTTATGAACCAAAAAAACTTAGAAACTGTTTTCTAAAGTGGTTGTGTCATTATACGTTCTCACCAGCAGTGTGTATCTTTAATATTATTAGTCATCAAAGACATGCAAATTAAAACCACAATGGATATGAGCTAGTGAACGTTCTGCAAGTTACAAAAGAAATTATTTTCCTGACTTTGTAGCCCCATCTGATGTGTAGCCACATCCTGGAGAGTTAGTATGAGCAGGGCACTGTGCCATGGGCTGGAATAAGAGAAGTACAATCTACTGTTTACAGAACACACACAAAGCAGATGCTACTCAGTTCTGCTATTGATCTTTCTAAGTGATACATGAATGATGCAGATGATACCATCAGGATGACTTGTCTATCACTGGCATCTCTACAAAAGGAAATGGGGATGCCACGTTCATCTCCAATTAACACCGACTGAGTGCTAATGACAGTACTGGTGCCACAGGACAATTAAACTGACACTTGAATCTCTGGTTTAAAGGGACACAAAATGTGGATAAGTCAGCCGCATAGGAGAAATGGTCCCCGTGGAGAAGAGAAGGTCAGAAAACAGCCCTGGCTCTCCACCATCATTTTTCCAGCACTGGCTGCCCTTGAGCTCAGGTGCAGTCAGGTGGACTTTCTTGTGATTTCTTCCCTTGGATTCTCCCATGTGGTATCTGCTTTTCCCACCCCAAAGTCACAGAATTATAGAACCTATAGATAGGTTATGTCATCTGGTCTCTAAATCTCCTCATCAACAAAGATTGTCCAGGCACTGCTCAGAGGTCTTCAGGGATGGGGCATTTGCTACCCAGGCAGCACAGTCTATCTGGTCTTAACTTTTGAGTGTGGTGTGTAATAACATCTTCATATTTTACCTCATGTGGCTTACAGTCCCAGAAGCTTCTGTTACCTTGCCACCCTTACCTCTGGTAGACAGCAGCCAAGGCTTTTTTTAAGTTCCTTCGCTTCAGGGAAGGAACAGCAGAATCAAAGAGTCAAATTTATGGCTGAAGTTTCAAAAGCCAAGGTCTAAACAATGAGGCAAAGATTGAAAAGACTCTGAGATTAGTCTAAGCCAGGTTTCCCCCCATCAAAAAAAAAAAAACACGTAAATAAATGATTCTATATTCTTAAACTGAGAGGAAGGAAACCATGGGTCCAAGAGAAAAGGAAGGAAATGTAGGTGCTGGGAAGTCCCCAAGAAGAGACTGTCACCTGGGCCAACTCTGGCTGGGATGACAGACTTTCCAGATTAGAGCAAAGGCAGAAAGATGCCTTTCCCCGCCCCACTCCAATACCTTCCAACTCTGTGATAGAGCCAAAGGGCCCAGCAAGACTCCCCTCAAAATCCCCCCAACTTCTGTCAACACAGAACCCTGTGCTGGAAGCAGGAGGGAAGGGAGGAGGGGAGGGCACAGGCAGACGGGCCTGGACAACCTCACAGAGAACCTCACGTGTTCTCCACACAGCCACAAGTGGCATGAATGTGGCACAGACAGCCAGCAAACGGGACAAGCTGGGAACAAAGAAGACCTTGCAGAGAACTTCTTGGACTGAAGACCGAAGGCCGATGGGAATGAGGACACCCCTAATGGATGCCAACACAGAGGGATGATGGCAATCCAGACAGAGGCCCCCACCCCTTCCAGCCTCTGCTCTCTGTTAAAATCCCTGCAACTTATACACTACCTGGGGGAAGGTGAATGTGTTAGGCTTCAAACTGCGATTTGGGTGTTTTTAGCCCAAGCACTGTGATATCATCATAGAATTAAGTTTTGCTCAATGCAGAGATTCCCTAAAGAAATAAAAGTAGAAGTATCATTTGATTCAGCAATCCCACTACTGGGTATCCACCCAGAGGAAAAGAAATCATTATATGAAAAAGATACTTGCACACACATGTTTATAGCAGCACAATTCACAACTGCAAAAACATGGAACCAACCCAAATGCCCATCAATCATCCAGTGGATAAAGAAACAGTGGTATACATATACAATGGAATATTACTCAGTCATAAAAAGGAATGAACTAATGGCATTTGCAGTGACCTGGATGAGATTGGAGACTATTGTTCTAAGTGAAGTAACTCAGGAGTGGAAAACCAAACATCATATGTTTACACTCATAAGTGGGAGCTAAGCTATGAGGGTGCAAAGGCATAAGAATGACACAGTGGACTTTGGGGACTCGGGGGAAAGGGTGGGAAGGGGATGAGGGATAAAAGACTACAAATAGGGCACAGTGTATACTGCTCAGGTGATGGGTGCATCAAAATCTCACAAATCCCCACTAAAGGACTTACTCATGTTACCAAATACCACCTGTACCCCAATAACCTACAGAAATAAAAAATTTTTTTAAAGTGACACTTGTGACTATTAGCAATTCATATATATATATATAATCATAATTTTTCATTTAAAAATTAAGTTTTGCTATAGAAAATTTTAAAAATTGTATTTCTTAAAAAAAATTAGCCAGGTATAGTGGCAGGCACCTGTAGTCCCAGCTACTTAGGAGGCTGAGGCAGGAGAATGGCATGAACCCGGGAGGTGGAGCTTGCAGTGAGCAGAGATCATGCTACTGCACTCCAGCCTGGGCAACAGAGCAAGACTCCATCTCAAAAAAAAAAATTGTATTTCTTGTCCATCTGGGTTTGTGGATTGAGGTTTGTGTCTGCTATGACTATTAGGAAATATTGTCCTTTTAGGATAACATAGGTCTCCTTCTACTCCATCGATTGCTCCTAATTCTCTCCCTACCATCTGAAGACAAAGAGAACAAACCTTCTACATCAGCACTAACAAACAGTGGTGCATGGATAGATGTGAGTTCATACACTGTTTGCTATCTGGCCTCCGTGAGCACAAAGATGAAAGGAACAGTTTCCAAAATGTTATAGCAACTGGACATTGGTCACCAAGCACGTGACCAGTGGACATGCCTTGTGGAACACAATATAGACACAATCAGATGTCAAACTTACGTGATAAGCGGATTGTGATGTGAGCTCCATGCTAGTTATAAACAGTAAAACCGTGTATCAAAGGATGAGAAGTTTTTTTTTTTAACCGTTCCTTTGCCATGAATAATTGAAAATTGAGATGCACTATTTTACCTAAAATTGCTGGAAATCCTCAAAGAAAGCAACTGAGAGCCTCCCAGCCACCTCACTCTTTTCTCCCACAAACTAAAGAACCAAGGTTCCTTTCATGATCCTGCTTGTCATAGTTTCAGCCCCCTAAGAGGCTGGTCATTTAGTTCTAGCTGTTATCCAGGAAATTGGCATGGGGGCAGTGGAGGGGTGGGCCTAGAGCTACAAGACTCCTGTTTCTCCTCAGTTTTTTTCAGTTTCCCAGCTCTAGAGTTTCTCTTTGGAGAGACTCTAACCCTGGTTGGGTGGCCCCAGAGAAATGTGATTTGGGTCTGAACAGGCTCTTCCACAAGTCTCTTCAAAGCTTTTATGGTGAGATTCAATACAGATATACAGATCAATTATCTTAAAAGCAGCAAGGAGGCCCATCAAATATTTCTAGCTTTAAACAGGTTTATTTCCATCTGCACTTATCTCTGCTATTTAAACTCCATTGCTTGCAGTTAATCTTATGTAATGCAGCATAAGAGGGCTTATTTACTTTCTAATGACATCAATTGGCCATAAATATTAGATATCCAAGGTTCGTTGAGGCTGTGGGGACAGTTTTCCATTCTTCCTTGACATTTGACTATTTGCAGAGCTTTCTCTTCTGTTTGTTCTTGTGTGACTCACTTATCGGCTGTCATAGGCCCATGTTCGATTTATTTAAATTGAATGAATAAGTACATTAGGCGAGGCTGTCAGGAGGAGAGAGAATGGGAACTTATTGGGATGACTGATAAGTCAACACTCTGCAATAGAGATTCTCAGCAAAACTGCACAAATCAAAACGCTAAATGGAGGCAAGGAGACAGCCCAGGGCCTCCAAAGGCAGGTGTGTGAAAAGACGAGGCCCCTTTCCTCTGGGACAGAAGATCCCCGGGTCTGGGATTACTATGGACCTCATTAGAGCAGTGGTAAAATACTTCCAGCAGAGAGGGTGTTCAATCTCCAGATGATTTTGAACCTCTAAAAAAATTAAACTAGCTAATATCTGAATAGTTTTAGAGCCAAACATTCCATTTCACATCATCTATTAAATGCTTATAACTCTCCCTGCTCTTTTTCCTCATTTTTTACTCCAGGATCCTAAGGCTCAGAGATCCTACAGCTCACCTGAGGCCACAGAACCCTGGAAGCTGCAGCCCCCTGACCCCACTCCCTCAACTCTCTCCTCTCCTCTGCCACCTGGAAAGCAGAGTCCCAAGGCCAGCCATTCTGCTGGTGCATCTCTAAATACAGGGTAGTGCATCTCTTCCCAATGAGATTTCTCCCTCCCACAGATTTATCAACCAGCTACCTTGGTGAATTCACAGAGAGGATGGTGGCCCTTTAACACAGAACTGCTAGATGGATGCTGATATGGTTTGGCTGTGTCCCCACCCAAATCTCATCTTGAACTGTAGCTCCCATAATTCCCACGTGTTGTGGGAGACACCCAGTGGGAGATAATAGAATCATGGGGTGGTTTCCCCCATACTATTCTCCTGGTTGTAAATAAATCTCACAAGATCTGATGGTTTTATAAGGGGTTTCCCATTTTGCTTGGCTCTCATTCTCTCTCGCCTGCCACCATGTAAGATGTGTGTTTTGCCTTTCGCCATGAGTGTGAGGCCTCCCCAGCCACATAGAACTGTGAGTCCATTAAATCTCTTTTTCCTTATAAATTAACCAGTTTGGGGTATGTCATTATCATCAGCGTTAAACTGGACTGAAATAGATGCCTATGATTGGAGTTTTCTTCTCACTGCCCCCGCCCCCTGCCCATTTTTTAATACAGAATTCTTTGTTCTTTGGAGACCTCAATACCTAAGGCAGATTTATCCCTCAGTAAACTCTCAGCCTCAGCAAACACTTTTTGGGGATGTTAGAATGTCTTCACATTTAGAAAGCTCACAACCTAGTAGGAGAGACCTACATGAATCCAATGACTATACTCATGAATGGATACTTACAAACCACTCCTATTCTGTGGAATCACATGGTAAAGGGGAGAAGTGGAAAAGGGGCAGTAGCAGGGCATATTTCCCCCTTTAGCTGAGATGCAATTAACTATATGAAGAACGGGAGAGTGCTTAATATATGAAGAGAGGGAGAACAATCCCAGATGGAGCAAAAGGCTTGTGCAAGCACCCTGAGGAGTGACATGAACACAGCCCAGAGAACAAGCACAATGGCACAAGGTGAGGCTGGCCAGCTAAGCAGGGACTGGGCTGCAAAAAGCCTTCTAAGCTGTTCGATCTTCTGGCCTTTATCTTCAGATCAACAGGAAAGCACTCAAGTTTAAAGCAGTGGTGCCAATGTGATCAGATTTGCATCTTGAATAAAAGAAAATCACTCTGGCTGCAGTGTGGACAAGGAACAAATGAAAGACAAAGTGGATTTGCAAAAATCAGTTAGGAAGATGTGTAGCTGCTGAGCTGAGAGTGCTGGTAGCTCAGGCTCGGTGGTGGTGGAGATGGAGAGCAGCAGGCAGATTCAGGAGCTCTTTAGTAGGTGGGACAGATACGACTTGGTGATGTATTAGGTTCGTGGGGTGAGGGAAAGGGATATCTCAATAGGAGCTGACTAGATACTGGTAATCAATGAGATCCTTCCTGAAATAGGCACTAGGAAACTCTCAAGACCTGTAGTAAAGTCTCCAAACAACATAATCCTACTACTCCAAATGATCCCATGAGGGCTGAGATCTCTCTCTCTCTTTTTTACATCAATGTATTTAAGTATCCAAAAGAATGCCTAGCTTGTAGTAGGTGCTCAGTAAATACTTGCAGAATCTCAGCTACTTCCATTCCTCTCTGCTCTGTACAGATCTTTGAAGCTGAAGGAACGTCCTCTTGTGGAGCTACAATCTATTAATAGAAACATCTGCAAAAATGTCTATCTCAAAATGTTTGTCAATGCCTCCAGTTGCCTGGGGGAAACTCTTCCTTGTCTAGGGTGGATGGGGTTCATAGCTTCCTACTGGATACCTCTCAGGGGAGCCACTTGGCCAACAGGAATCTTCCTTCTCTGGCGAATACTACATACCCCAAGCTATTGTTTATTGACGGTTGGGGGCAGGGGGTAGACAAAAGACTCAGGCTGATGCAGTACAATTCTCTCTTCCAAGACTTTGAAATTTGGGAGACAGACATAAAAACTAGAAATAGTTGGAATCTAGTCCCTTTAATGATACCAATTTGTATAGAAGTCCTTTGAACTCATCTTGCAAGTTTCCAAAACTGGTTGTTCAAGTCTTTCCGTTATATCACATTAACTTCCAAACATTCCATTTTTGGCTTAAACTAGCAAAATTTGGGGGGTTTTTTCTCCCCAAAATCAGGATAGGAAAATTTAAAAAACAAAAAATGTTAGGGAAATGGTGTCCAGAAGACTTACCTAGAAGCTCCTCCTTTATTCTTTGTGTTTGTTTGTTTCTTGTTATCAACTATTCCCTTGACTTTAGTTGTCTTGATGAGGTTTTGCTGTGTAACTGTTTATTCCCCAATAAGTGGGCATTATAGAGAGACTGTCTGCTGTGACTAGAGATCTCGTGAATAGTTTCTGGAGGGTTTTTGTGGGTGGACTTTGAGAACCTCTGAGCTAGGGCTATGATTTACCTGGTTCATGTTAAGGGAATGAACCTGTATTGTCCAAATCATGAGAACACTCTGTCTTAGCAACAGAGCAGTAACTTGAGCCTAAACAAAATGCTTTGCTCAACTTATGTTTCCCACCTTTTGCCACATCCATCAGCATTTAAGTCCCATCAGCTGATTGACACAGTTTCATTTCCTTCTTAAGAGATCACAGTCACATGAGAGCCTTGGTACCAGATGTAGACAGGGAGGCTCAAATTAGATCTCAGAGCCAGAGTTGACAGCCATCATTGTGCATGAGGATTATTTTAGAAGGAGACACAAGCCAAATATTTATCAGCTAATAATGGCTGGGGCCAGTCTCCTCCCAGCCTCAGGAGGAGAGAGAGCAGTGCTGTCACTTTGAAGATGCAACACTGATGGCTGCACTTCTGGGCTCTGACTCCAGGACAGACAAAAGCCAGTGCCTCCCAGCTAGTAACCAAGCAGCCACCACAGTGGAGAAGTGCTGGCAACCTGAGGCCCCGATAAACATGGTCCATGGGGCTGTGCAAGAATCAAAAGCACAACACCTAGTACCCCATATTCATGGGGGAGAAGAGTGGGAGAGGGGAGCACAAAAAGAGAAACAATCTGAAAAATTAGCTTAGAGAGGAAGGAATATGGAGGACTGCAGGGTCTCACAACACCATTCGCAGATGGATTGGGCATCGAACATTCTTTGCAGACTGGGGTAAATGTACAGAATAGAGTACCACGGAGGGCTGGCCAGGGAGGGGGCTGACCCCTCTGACCATGTGCTTCCCTGTCTCTTCCCCACTAAGGTGGGCATTGTAGGGTATAGACAGCCATGCCCCATGTCCTAATGGGAGAGTGGAACAAGACCCAGAGGGCATGCAGGACGGATGTGGTAAGTTTCATGTGCGTGCGTGTCAATCCTAAGTGACAAGGGATCTTATCTTCTCTGCTCCTTCCTATCAACCCTTTGTCTCACCAGATGCTCAAACTTCCCTTCTCTAAACTGCAGGTCCCAGTTTTCACCTTCAGTAGCTGGTGACATTAGCTGCTGGGAAGTCCACCAAAGCCAGGAATTCCTCCACCCCTTCCTCACAGGGGGATTTGGAGACAGGAAGCAAAGGAATCCATGTGTCTTGGGCAGCCCTCCCCACACCACCTGGAAATGCTGGCGCCTCCCCAAAGGGCTGCCTTTCCAAGAGCCAAGGAAATCCCAAAAGCTGTGGCTTCAGGCCACAAACAAGGCAGGAGATCTGGCTCTCCTCCCTCTGTCACTGGCTGAAATGCCCACCCGTGGCCTTGGGACTGCCTAAGCCAGGCTCGGAAGCGACCCTGAGCATCCCCCAGAGCACTCCTTCACCCACCTGCTTCCCTGCAGAGCAACCCTACTGACAAGGGACTCTTTCCTTCTCGCCCCCTGGAAGCAGCCAGGCCGTGCAAGGACGGGCACCCCAGCAAGGGGGGCTCAGGATCCGAGCCAGTCAAGTGCAGACAATCTCGGGAGACAGATGGCCAGGCGGATGGGCCGGCAGATAGAGGCTCCTGCTCCTTGTCAAGATGACACTCAAAAGTACATCCCCGTCATCGCGGGTTGTCAGTGGTGTGTCAGCGCGAGATGCCGTGTGTGTTTTTGGGCACTCTGTGAGTTTGGAAGGCTGAGCTGGTTCCCACTTCCATAGCAACGACAAAATTCCAGCCCCAGACGCAAGTCTCTGAGTTAGTGTCAGACATGGGTGGGGGGGCAGCAGGCAGAGAGGGGTGTCACTCCCAGCAGAGAGCAGCGCCGGAGTGGCGAGCATGGGCAGGAGGCAGTTTTCTGGAAGTCTGTGGGGAGACCGTGTGTGGGCACAGAGTAACAGAAGGCAGGAGCTAATGGCTGAGCTAACGGGAAATGCAATCTGTCGGTTTGAGTAAGCTGGGGAGTCGGGGTTTCCTGAGCCCTGGTACCTTCCAAGACCCCTGAAGGGACCTCTGGGTGTTTAGAAGAAAATCCAGGTGGGTTCAAACTTTGTGAAGTCTGGAGTAACTGATGTGATGTTCTCATGGAATGGAATATGGAAGGGGAAAAACATAATCTCCAAAGCTAGTAATAAGAAAAAACATAATCTCCAAAGCTAGTAATAAGACACACACAAATTACCAGATAGATTTGTCCCTCCTTGACTGAGGGAGGTAAATTTCTCCTGACTCTCTGAAAATAAGTTCATTCACTTGTGAATGGCTGAGATGTTGTATATCTAGAGAAAGAAGATTGGGGTAACGGCCCTTTCCCAATTTCTACTTCTCCTGTCCCTCTTTCTCTGGTCAATCACGAAATCTCTGAATCTTGGCATTGAATAGATTAGAGAGCCTCTTTCTAGGCTCAGTTCTGTCGACCACTAGCTATGCAATCCAAGTTAAGCTACTTTCTCTCCCCAGGCATCTGTTTCCTCCTCTGTAAAGCGAAGAAGCCCTGGGCTGGGAGGATGACTTGCTACATGAACTTGAACATGGGAGTGATAGCAAGGGATCTGCTCCAGTCACTGAAAGATCAAGCTGTCCATAGTCCTTGGGGTAGGCTGAATAATGGCCCACATCCTGAAGATGTTCATGTTCTAATCTCCACAACCTTACATGGCAAAAAGAACTTTGCAGGTGTGATTAAATTAAAGGTCTTGAGATGGGGAGATAAGCCTGCTTTATCCAGGAGAGCCCAGTGTAATCACAAGAGTCTTTGTAAGTAAAAGAAGGAAGCATGAGAAGCAGAGGCACAGAAGTTATGATGATCAAAGCAGAGGTTGGAGTAACAGCATTACCAAGCAAAAAATATTGAGAAGCCAATATGACCTGGAAAAAGCAAGGAAGCTACTTCCCTGGAGCCTCCATAGGGATCACAGTCTTGCAAACACATTGATTTTAGCCCAGCGAGATGCATTTTGGACTTCTACCCTTGAGAACTGTAAGATGATAAATCCGTGTTGTTTTAAGCCATTATGTTTGTGGTTATAGCAGCAATAAGAAACTAACACATTCCCCTGCAACACAGCCTGGCCTGAAAACCTTCCTCTCCTGGCCTTGTTTAAATACTGTGGGTGAAGGAATGTGCTAAGTCGGGTGGAGTTCTTTGCATTTCTCCAGAGCTTCTAGCAATGCATTGGGCACATAGGAGTCATTAAGTTGGTATTTGTCTGTTTGGTTTGATTTGGCAATAAGAGACAAAAATGGTTTGGTGGTCTGGCATTGCCAAAGCTCTTGAGCAAGCATAAGAGTGAACTCAAGCATAAGAGGCCACTTGGTAGTGAGCTCCCGCTTGTTTAAGGTGTTCATCTTGGAATAGGGTGAGAGGCTATTCTCCACCTTGTTGTTCATGTGTCATAAGCATCCAGGAAGCCCCCAAGGCCACCTCGGCTGCATTGACTACAGCTCTCGGAGCCCTTCCCAGAGCCCTTCCTTGTTAAATAGAAAGGGTGACTCTCCTTGCAGTAGCTCATGGAGACAAGTTAAACAGTAGAGAAGTTGAAAAATCAGAGAACATTACTCAATCAACATTCTTCCAGCAAATATTTCATGAGCCCTGTGCTAGATTCTGGGGATAGCAAAATGAATAAAACAGCCCTGTCACTCAAGGATATCACAGGCTATCAAAGTGCACAATAAAAAAATCAAGTAATTAGGAGGCAAGATTTTATATACAAAGAGCTTGTGGGGGTGAGAGAAGTGACATTTGGGCTGGGCTTGAGGAAGGATTCCTCTATCTAGAGAATCAGAGCAAATAAATTTCCAGACAGAAAGAAAAAACTAAGTAAATCATTTGTAGTATAAAAGTACACTAGAGCATTCAGAAAACTAGGAATAAAAGGAATTTCCTCAACATAATAAAGGGCATTTATGAAATAAAAATACAGCTACCGTCATACTTAATAGTTAAAGACTGAAATATTTCCCCCAAAATCAAGAACAAGACAAGGATGTTGGCTTTCCCCGCTGCTGTTTAAAATTGCACTAAAAGTTCTAGCCAAAATAATTAGACAAGAAAAGAAATAAATGGCATCCAAATTGGATAGGAATAATTAAAACAACTTCTATTCGCAGATGACATAAACCTAGATGGAGAAAATTCCAAGACTCCACAAGAAAGCCAGTAGGGCTAATAAAATAAACTCAGCAAAGTTGCAGATTACAAGGGCAGCACACAAAAATGAGTCGCATTACCATACACTAACAATGAATAATCCAGAAGGGAAATACAGACAGTAATTCCATTTATAATGGCATCTAAAAGAATCAAATATGCAGGAATAAATTTGGCTAAGGGAGTAAAAGATTTCTACACTGAAAACTACAAAACATTACTGAAAGAAATTAAAGAAGTCCTAAAAAAATGGAAATAGATCCTATGTTCATGGAATGGAAATCTAATATTGTTAAGATGTCATTACTACTCAAAGTGATCTGTGGATTCAATGTAATACCTAGTAAAATCTCAACAGCTTTTTTTGTCAGAAATGGAAAAGTCAGTCCTCAAATTCATATGACATTGTAAAAGGCCCTGAATGCCCAAAATAATCCTCAAAAAGAAGAATCAGTTTGGAAGATTCACACTTCCCAATTACAAAACTCATTATAAAGCTACAATAATCAAAACAGTGTGGTAGTGGCAAGAAGATAGACATATTAACTAATGAAGTAGAATTAAGAGTTCAGAGATAGACCTACACATCTATCGCCAATTGAATTTTGACAAGGTTTCTGGGTCCATTTGATGGGGAAAGAATAGTCTCTTCAACAGATGGTGCTAGGACAGCTGGATTTCCACAGGCAGAGGAGAATGCAATTGTACACTGCATTCTCATATCATATGCAAAAATCTCATAAGATATGCAAAAATTAACTTAAAATGGATAAACAACCTAAATTTGGGAGCTAAAACTATACAAGGTTTAGAAGAAATCATATGGGCACATCTTCATGATCTCAGTTTTGGTAATAGAGTCTTAGATATGACACCAAAAGCATGAACAACTAAAGAAAAAATAGATAAATTGAATTTCCTCAAAGTTAAAAACTTTTGTGCATCAAAGGATACTACCAAGAAAGTGAAAAGGCAACCTAAAAATGGGAGAAACTATGCTCAAATTTTTATATTTAAGAAGGATTTAATAGTCAGAAGATATAAAGAACACTTACAATTCAACAACAAGAAGAACGACTATCCAATTAAAAAGTGGGCAAAAGACTTGAATAGACATTTCTTCAAAGAAGATATAAAAATGGCCAGTAAGCACATCAAAAGTTGTTCAACATCATTAGTCATTAGGAAAATCAATATCAAAATCAATGGCCTAGATACCATTACACATCTACTAGAATGGCTATAATTTTTAAAAAGTGAAATATAACAAGTGTTGATGAGGTAGTGGAGAAATTGGAACCCTTATACATTGTTGTTAGGGATGTAAAATGATGCATCTGTTATCCAAAACAGGTTGGTGGTTCCTCAAAGTTAATCACAGAATTACCATATGACCCAGCAATTTGACTTCTAGCTACATACCCAAAAGAATGAAAAACAGGCATTCAAACAGATATTTATACACCAGTGTTCATTGCAGCATGATTCACAAGCCAAAAGGTAGAAACAACCCAAGAGTCTATCAACAGATGATTGTATAAACAAAAAATGGTATATCCACAATAGTGGAATATTATTTAGCCATAAAAAGAATGAATTTCTGGTACATGCTACAACATGGACAAATTATGAAAACATTATTCCAAGTGAAATAAGCCAGAAACAAAAAGACAAATATTGTATGATTGTACTTAAATGAAATATCTCTAACAGGCAAATTCATAGAGAGAAAAAGGAGAGATTACCACAGCCTGAAGATATTATTGCTTCATAGGTACAGAGTTTCTGTTTGGGCTGATGAAAAAGTTTTAGAAATAGATAGTGGTGAAGATAATGCAACATTAGGAATATAATTAATACCATTGAATTTAAAAATGATCAAAATGAATGGAAATTATTATGTTATATATTTACTGTGATTAAAAAAAAAAAACTGAGAAAAAATATATTGGATTTGGGGGCAGAAGGCAGAAGTAAAAGAAGTATATGACCTGGAAGAGCCAAGTGTATGCTTCGTGGGGATATGGAAAGAGATGGATGGCCCAGTCAGGCTGAGGTCAAATTGTGAATAAGTCTAAGAGCCCTGCTAGAGAATCTGGACTTCTAGAGGGTGCAATGCATTTAACTGTTGTTGTGTTGTTGCTTTTATTTTAGCTTGGAGAACTGGTTGACTTGTAGAGGAGTAACAGGCCTAGAGATCACCACACGGCAGTTACAAAAGCACAGATAAGAAACCTCAAGAGCCTAATGTATGGCAGTGGTGACGGGGCAGAGGGAAAGGAGGGCTGTGAGAGGGTAGCAGAGGCTGAATCCTTATGGTTTGTGGCACAAGAGAAGGATGAGGAAGGGCAAGGAGTTGAGGATGACTCTACATGATTCCAGTCCACTGCCTTGCTCTTACTTCAACATGCCTGTGGCTTAGAGAGATTGGGTGGCTGGAACAACCACAAATGGCTAATGAGACGCAGAACTAAGGATCAAATCCAGGTTTCCCGACTCTCAGCGTCTTTTGCTCTTACAGAGTCTTGTAATTAAAGTTTTAATTTTATTTTAAACCCCTGCATACAATTCAATCAGTTTGGGGCTGTGGAGGTCCTTTGGTTTTCTGCCTGACCTTATTTTTCTGTTTCTGACTCCTCCAAGCCACTGCATTCCATGGGGCCACTTGCTTGGGGAAGGGGATTGTTCCCAGCTCAGCTGCAGCTCTAAAATGTCTCCTTTTCCCTTGACCGTTTGTTATCTTGCTTGTGGACTTCCTATTTCCCCTATCCAGAAGAGAAGAGTGAGCTTAGCTGGGTCCAGGAAAAGTATGTAGATGGTTGTAAATTAATTTCCATGGTTTCATCATTATTAATCTTGTCTGGGTACATGATTAGAGGCCAATGACATACTAATTAGTCACTGTAATTAGCAAATGTCAGAGAGGGTCCAGGGGCTCCATGGGTTAGACACAAGGGGTTGCCTTTGATAGTGGGGTCATTCAAGGCCAGCCTGCCTCCTGTCACATCCATCTTTATTTGGCTCATTATCCTACCCAAGACATATTGTATATGTCTTATAAGTTTGCCTCCTTCTCAATGTAAAGAATTTCCTTATGTTTATTATTTGTAAATGAAAACATCAAATAATTTGATAGGGGATGAGTTAAATAGTGGAAAAGAAAATAGTAAGAGGGCAGAGCTTGTAGGGAGTCCAGAAGGCAGGAAAATTGAATCCATATCTCAGCCATGCCCAGGCTGGTGTGCAGCCTCAGGCAATTCACATCACGTGCCCATCAAAGCAAGGCCTGTTTGCTGGATCTGGAAGTGGGAAAGTGAGCTTCTCTCCAGCGGTTGCTACTTGCTGCCATCTGAGCCATCATTGTCTCACAGACCCGGCAAGATTACCCAGTACAGCCCCATCTAAAGCAATTGTATACTTTCCAGTGAAGCTAATTCATTAAATATACAAGTCATTGTGACTTCATTTTTATTCCCCTGCAAGAATTTTTCTTGCAAATAAATATCCAACACAGAAAAATAAAATTGCCAAACTATGCGCCCTGTTTTGTGTGTTTAGGAAAGAAATCCACCGATCATTATAGTTAGATTCTCCTTGACAGTAGTGCATGAGAGGTGGAAATAGGTGAACTCCAGGCCTGCCGCGACCATCAACTCCAGGGAACCCCTCCTTCATGTAGATGCTTCTTCTGCAAAGAGGCCGTGCTAAGCCCGCTGATTATAACTTTCCTGCAACACCAAATCCAGCACTGCAAAAGAATCTAGAAAAATCTAGCAGCCTGACAGCCTTGCATTATGTCTTAAAACACCAAAATGAACTCTCTTGAACTATGACTGTCTCCTCAGCATTTTTTTGCCATGTTCATGCAAGCATACCGAGACCCACTTTCAATGGTGGCCAGGAAAGAGAACATTCCCCTTCCCTCTTTAAATAGTTCTCCCAACCCGTCTGGTCTTGAGTACCTCCCTCATACACGGCCATGCTATTTCAAGAACACTGTTCCAGAGGGAAGAATACCCAATGATTATCAGTCACATGCCCGTAGCCACTAGCCAGTGGGTGATGCCTTCCTCATTGGGATAAAGCCAATGCTTTACTCAGAGATTTTTTTCTCATCAGTGCATCGTGTGATGAAAACATCAGGAATATCCATGCTTGGGTCTTCATGTATTATCACTGGTCCCATTACCCTAGCTGTCATCTCATATTGCTGACAGTAGTTGCTTTTTAAGTGATACTTCCCTTTTCTTCTCTATAATGAACCTACCAAATCATGATAGTCTGGCTTGTTTGATGACAGTGGATAGATTCCTGCAGCACAAACCATTGGCCTACAGCGTACTTACAGGGCCAGTGGTGACGAGTTTGCTACTCCAGGCAGGATTCTCACCTTCGCTCCATTCTACTTTCACCCCTTTGCCAGTCAAATCCTCTCACCAGCCCCCAGGTCCTTGATTAAATAAGGCTTTTTTGTTTTTGTTTTTGTTTTTTGAGATGGAGTTTTGCCCTTGTCGCCCAGGCTGGAGTGTAGTGGCACAGTCTTGGCTTACTGCAACTTCTGCCTCCTGGGTTCAACCAATTCTCCTGCCTCAGCCTTCCGAGTAGCCGGGATTACAAGCACACACCACCACATGTGGCTAATTTTTGTGTTTTTAGTAGAGACAGGATTTCACCATGTTGTTCAGCTAGTCTCAAATTCCTGACCTCAGGTGATCCATCCACCTTGGCCTCCCAAAGTGCTGGGATTACAGGCATGAGCCACCACACCTGGCCTAAATAAGGCTTTTCTGGCATAATCTTTAGGTTCAAACTTCAATTTCAGGCTAAAACTAACAGGTCACATTCTAAGCCTCAGGTTGATGCCAATTTCCCAGACCCAGAAATCTTCCTCCACATGCCTTTCCCTAGGATTAGAAACCAGTTCAACCCTTCATTCTACCACTCTCACACCTTTGGTTATATCTTCTCATTGCTCCTGTCAGCAATGTAATAAAGTTCCTTCTTGTCTATCATGACATCTTTGCCTTGAATTATAATATGTCAGATACTAAGATTGCTAGCCAGCTTTCTTTTTGTTTATATTTACCTGGAATATCTTTTTCTACCTATCCTTTTTTTTCATCCCTCTTGTAGCATTGCAGTGTGTCTCTTGTAGACAGCATATTGTTGATCTTTTAAATTCCAGTATGAGAATGTGTTTTTTTTTAATTGTGGTAAAATGCATAACATTCTTTATATCTAATATTTTCCCTTGGTTCCTTTTTATGATTCTGCTTTGTAGTGCATTTTGCTAATATTTTCCTTTATCTATTGGATCTTTATTTTGCTTATGTTAAATTCCTGGCCAATCTGTTACTAGTAATTCTGCTTTAGTTGATAGGCCCAATTCGGCTTGCTGTCTTTCCTTTTCATTGGTTGTGTTCTCAGCTGTTTTATTGTTGTAGCCTGCAAGCTCATTTTCTTATGGGGATTTCAGCTGCTTAGTTTTTCTAGTAATGGATACTTGTGAAGTGTCAAAGGCCAGGCTGTATTGTGTGTTCCACTCAGCCCATGCTTACTGCCATCTCTTCTCCCCATCTGGGCTTTGGCGCTGTCCTGAAAGAATCACAGATTAATTGGGACAGGCGATGAGGACTTAGGCAATATGCAATGTAGGCAAGAGCAGATATTAAGACATTCCCCACTCTCCTCTATTCCCCATCCCAGGCTTCAACCACTGCCTCCACATACAACACACACAAACACACACATGCATGCATGGATACACACACATGCACACACATAAACGCATGTACACACACACAAACACCTGCACACATTGCACACATGTTCACACACATATACACACCAGTTCCCCACAGCCTCTCATATCCTTGGGAACTTTCCCTAGTTCTTGTATGATCATTATTCCTCCAATTCACGTGTCACCGTAAAATGTTAGTTTACCATCTTCATAGGAATATCCAGTGGTTTCTTGAGCCTGAAGGCTACTTAGCATTGACTGGGAGACAATCACATTTTTGAGAACTTTATATCCCTGAATGGAAATCTTTAGAGATTGTCCATGTGAATGTGCAGCTTGGATGCTAGTTGTATTGGTGTCAAAACACAAAACACAGACGCTCATGTGGACTCTTATGTGTGAAGTTCTCAAAGGCCAGGATGTCTCCTTTTTTTTTTTTTCATTTATAAGGTACATTCCTGGATGACCTTACATGGTCCTCACATTAACCTTCTGAGATAAGCAAGACCAGAAATATAGTCCTCCTCTTATTTGAAAGGTAACTGAAGCCAAAAGAAATAGAGATATTGAATGAAGGTTATATAAGCACAGCCGGTTTGTGGTCTTTGCACTGATTTACAGCCACTGTGGATGATAATTAAAGAGGCCACTTCTAGCTTAGGAAGTTAATTTACCGGTACCAGCCATGTGGGAGGGGCCTCATAAAAGCTGCACAGGTGCTCCCCACCTGCCTCAGAGCATAAGTCTAGATCAAGAAAGAATTATCCAACATCACCACAAAAGTCTGGGTTTTGCAAATGTCTTACTGATTATCATCTTATTAAATAGTTCTCCAGTTAGCAGGAGATTGATGATCTACAGACTGGTGGTTTGGATGATGGAGAAAGGAGGTGTGTCAGGACTGTTGAGAGTGAAAGACCCTCTTTTCCTCTTTTCCATAAATGACAGCACCATTATCCCAGTTGCTCAGGCCAAAACCTTTGGATCATCCTTGAGTCTTCTCTTTTTGCCATACCCTAGTGTAATGGACACAATCCATCAGCAAACTCTGTCAGTTCTACCTTCTGCAAATATCCAGCATCTGACTCCCCCTGATGCCCCAACCAACCTGGCCCAAGCACTTCCCCTGGATTTTGTAATTGGCTCTATTCCTGTATTATCATCTCTTATCAACACAGCAATCAGAGAGATCATTTTAAAACAGAAGTCAGATTGTGTCATTAGCCAGATAAAAACTTGCCAGTGGCTTCCTATCTCATGCAGAACAAGAAGCCAAATTGCTAACCAGAGGCTATAAAGCTCTACCTGCCCCCACCCCCGTCACTAAGTTCTCTAATCTGTCTGCCACCTTCTCCCTCATGTGCTCCACTGCAGACACTGACCCCAGTGCTAAACCTCACACATGCCTGCAGCCACCTACAGTTCTCACCTGTTGTTCAGCCTGCTGGACACATTCTTCCCCAGACATCTGAGTGGCTTGCTCCTTCCCTTCCTCTAGGTAAGTGCCTACCCAGATATCACCTTATTAGACAGGCCTTCAGTGACCACCCTAAAAAATTAGCAGTACCCCTCCACTCCCTATCTTCCTTACTCTGATTTATTTTTGCCATAACTGTATCATATATCATCTGATATATTTACTATTTATGCTTATTATCTGTCTTCCCATACTAAAATCTAAGCTCTAAGAAGGCAAAGGGTTTTTGAAATTTTTGTTCCCTGCTATATCCCAGTCTCTGGAAGTGTGTCTATCACATATTAGTCACCCAATAAATAGTTGTTGAATGAATGGAGGCATAAATAAATGAAATTCTGAGAGGGTACAATCTAGAAACAGGTTTTGTAGCTACCTTGAATGTCATTGCCTTGCATGCTACACTAAATCATAGCCTAACATTGATCCTGTACAGAAGGACGACAGGGAAGGGGAAAGAAGCCAGAACCAGCACAAGAGAATTACAAAGGGCACAACCTCTACACATTTGCAAACAGATGTAATCCCTCTCCTAATTCCTTTATACCTTTTCTCAAGTTTGACTCAAAATGCCCTCATTTTTATTCCATTCTTTGGTTTTATCCCCTTTGTCACTATCTGAGCAATTCAGCTCTAGTGCACACTCTAACCCAACCAGAAGATCTTATGAATCTTTAGACCCTAGAAGTTTCTGAATCCATGGACAACTTTCCACCTCAGAAAGCCTGACAGTCACCAAGTTAACAGCACAGTCTCCTTTTGAATTGTTTATTAAGCAGACTCTATGTTCACCCTCCCAGGGAAAGGATATGCCAAGTGCCAGAAATATCAGCCATTTGCCACGCTATCCAGAAAAGCAGGCAATGGCTGATAGCTTTCCTAGGAAAAAGATAATAGAAAATCAGTATCAATTTCTCATAGACTGCAATGGGTATATTAGCAGGAAAAAAATGGGACAAACAAATGAATGACAGCATCAAATGCAAATCGCTTCGTCCACATGAAATGTGGGTCTCCACTTCCACAAGCATGGACTGTGCCCACCAGGATCACAGGAAGCAACTTCACTTCAGTGTAACCCAGCAGTGGTTTTGAAGTGAGCTGGTACCACTCAACAGTAAGAAATTCTGCCAGTATGTTCTTGCCTTCAAGTTCCATATAGTTTCATGGCATCTTGTGGCTGTTAAAAAGGTGACCCAACTTCTACAGTTGTTGGACAGCTATCTCTGTCTAAGATGCTTTTCACATTTTCAAAGAACAAGAACCTTTCCTCCAACTAAGTTTTTTTCTAAAAGCACAGGCAACAGTTGAGGGGAAAGGGAATCTAAAGAAGAGCGTGTAGATTTCTATCTATTTTTCTAAGGAAGAAATCAACATGGTAAATAAAGTGGAATAAGTATATTCTAAGTATCCATCGTATTGATGTAACACATTACAAATCATGAGGCAGTTTTTACATGCGTTATTTCATTGATATACATATAAGCTAAGTAAGGTAGGAAGATATAATTATATTCATGTTATAGATAAGGCAATTGAGGCTAAGAAAGAATAATTAATTTGACTACATTCACATAACTGGCTTAGAATGCAAATCAAGACTCCAGTGTAGTCTTGAGATGTTAAGTACATTGTTCTTCTCACCATGTGTAGCTGTGCCTCCATTCAACACCACTTTAAGACAATACATTTTCTGTTTAAACACATTATAAGATGGTCTTTAACAATGCAATATAGATGGGACATTAGCTGAAAGCTTGCAGAATTTAGATGCAAATTGCATATTAGTGTCAAATCAGCTTGCCACAGGGACTTCTCACCAGGCGAGTCTGGTGACAGGGCCTGTTTTCTCCTTCCCTTTGCAGAGTCAGTCTCTCCATTCTTCAGGAAGAGCCTTGGTGGGTACAGAGAGAGGCCTGAGTGCCAGGCAGCACCGTTGCAAAACCAAGAGGATCAAAAAACTCAGTGAAACCTACAGAACAACTTTGGGGGCTGGGACAAATTGGTCACATTGCAGTGCCTGTGTCAGGCTGGCCTGTGATGAAGTCCACCCTTGTCAGTTGTTCACTACCTGGCCTTAACAAGCTGTCTGACTCTTCTGAGCCTCAGTTTGCTGAGTTGCAAATGGGAGTATAATTTTGCCTTATCTCAAAAGTGTATTGTGATGCTTAAGTGATAGCACTAGGCATCGGTTCTAGAACATAGATGGTGCTGGAGACTTAATAATGTCCTTTCTTACTTCTTATGACCAACAAAAGCAAGGAGATGGAAACTGACAGAAGCTCAGATTCTTATTTCCCAACTTGTACATCGGAGCATCCAATTTTTATCCCTGTAGCCCAGTGGCTGGCTTATGAGTTCTGTCTGTGTCTATTGAACCAAATTGGTAGAAAGAGTGTCTTATCTATATAGCCATCTCCCTGCCATCATCCCAACAATCAACAAGTACCAAGGGGGACGAAACTTCAGTTGGCCTCTACTTTAGGGCCTGCAATAAAAATGAATCAGGCCTGGCGTGGTGGCTCACACCTGTAATCCCAGCACTTTGAGAGGCCGAGACAGGTGGATCACCTGAGGTCAGGAGTTTGAGACCAGCCTGGCCAACATGATAAAACCCAGTGTCTACTAAAAATACAAAAATTAGCCGGGCATGGTGGTGGGCACCTGTAATCCCAATTACTCCGGAGGCTGAGGCAGAAGAATCGCTTGAACCTGGGAGATGGTGGTTGCAGTGAGCTGAAATCATGCCATTGCACTCTAGCCTGGGCGACAAGAGTGAAACTCCATCTCAAAAAAAGAAGAATCAACAGGCAGGCCTCCTGCCTCTATCCCATTTACAGCATGGCGTAGTAGAAACAGCAGTAAGCTGGGATCACAGCTGGGTTCTCTGTAGCTATGCCCCTTGGACACATAAAGCCTCAGTGTTCTCATCTGTGAAAAAGTAGTCATAATCTCTGCCTCCCTGGAGAGGGTGTGTATGGAACCAGGGCAAGGTAGAAGACATGAAACCCAACAGGTGGGTGAGGCACTAAGACAACTAATGAGGCTGGGTTTGTTTACAGGGTCCCACTGGGGGCTGCTGTGTGCTGTCCTCCCCTTGCTGGCTCCAACTCCTGCAGACCCTTGGGCGGCTGTTTCCCCAAACCTGGAGCTTTGGCAAGGGGCTCTGAAGCCTGCCAGGAGAGAATGAGGGGAGCCCACAGGGGGAGAGCTGCACCTTTCTACTGAGCCGCTAAACAGAGTAGATTTATAAGTCAATAAACATGGGCCGATTGAGAGTGCAGGCTCCCAACTGCCCCCGTGGGAGGGGACCTCCCTTGGCTCCACATGTGGCACCCTCCGAGGGAGGTGGGAGTGTGGGGGCAGGGAGCTGGCCCAGCACATGCAGGTGGCCCTGAGCTGCATCTCTGTCCTCCACTCCACTGTGCTTATTCTCCACAGTGAGCGCCTACCTCCTGCTGGATCAGAGCCTCTACAGGGTGGAAGGGGAAACAGAGGCACGTAACTCAGACCAAAATAATGCTGCAGCAGAGCAGGGATTTGAGTTCCTGACCACAAAACCCACCATAGAAGCATAACTATCCCCAGTGTCCTCACCTGAAATGGAAGCAGCACATGAGAGCCCCGGCCACACCAGCAAAGGCTGAGCATTCATCGAACTCAGAGCCGGCTTCAGGGTGCGGACAGCAGCCAGCAGGGCTCTGGGCTGTTGCTCAGAGCTGGGCAGCACGCAGCAAACGCCCCCTTGCCAGGAGATGTGCCCTCTGACAAAGACCCATTCTTCAGAGACCCTGCAGGCTGCAGCTATGCTGTCACTAAAAAGCAAATTTATAACCCAAGAGTTGATAATTTAAGCAAGAATTGGGAGGAGCTAAAATCTCTATCAGTAAAAATATTTTTTTCTCTCACCAAAAACTGAACCAGCACCACCTCCACTCCCCTCCTCCACCACATCCCGTTTCTTTAAATGGAGAACACCCATGGTTCAATTAAAATGACTTTTTGGAAAAATTGGATTTCTAAGCAATCTGTAGTTGGAATCAGGTGTTCCTGTTGTGGGGTAAAAGGTGCCCAGCTGCTCCCGCATCTTCTCCTGCCTCCCTCCATTCAGGGCTCGGGCCTGATGTGAGCCTGGCTGCTGCTGTACTACACGAGGGACAGTTGCCATCTCCAGACACTGACTTCAGGGGCACACCCAGCATCCTGCCACAGCAGAGCAGGGCAGTCAGTGGCATCAGAGCCAAGCTGGGGCGTGCAGTGCACCTGCCTGTCAGCCGGCTGGGGTGCTGAGGCGTCGCATCAGAATTGCAGGATGCAACACATCTGCCTGCATGTCAGCCGCTGGGAGAGATGCAGGCAGCTGATAAGCAGGCCATTTGTTCCTTTTTAGTGGAGGAAGGGGATGTAGAGTAATGTAGTGTAACAGCAGCAAAAAGCACAAGCCAGCAAGAAAGGCTTTCTTCAAAACCTTCTTAGCCTTCAAAGCGTCAATTCAGCATAATGTCAAATCCAATGGAAAAAAAATAAATCCGACGGGGTGGGAGAGCAGTGTATGCTGGAGATCTAAAAATCCTCCCTGTCCCTGAAAGCTGATATTGCTGTTGGCACCTTTAATGCAGTCCAGCCTCCTACTCTGTGAGACCTTACATGGTTACCCCTCATCAGGCTGGTGTATTCAAGTGGTTCTGTTAACCTACGCGGATGAGATCAGGAAGGAGCTGGTCACGTGGCCATCACAGCTTCATGGCTTTCCTGCCTGTCCTCCCCCACCCCCTGCCCAGCCTGCAGGGATGTTTGGCGTTTCGCTCAGTGGGGGGCATCACAGAGTTGCTGAGTGCTGGTGGAGAGAAGCCCTGGTTCTTCAGTTCGAGGCCCTCTTTAAATAGTAGTGAGGGGCAGACTGGTTAACCTTGCTCTCCCCTGGAGGAAGCCAGCCTCAGTGTCTTTGTCTTCTTTGTCACCTACATTCTATATAAGAAGAGCGTCCCAGTCTCCTTTGCAAGCTGTGTGCAGAAAAGACACAAAATGGTGCCAGTTTTGCAAAAGGGCGGAGTAGCTAGCTACCGACAGGGCGGCGCAATTGCACAGGTCCCAGGAAATCTCAACAACAGATGCCCTGCAGACCTGAAAATCTCCCTCATCCAATGACCAATTGCTTGAAATTCCCCTATGCAAGGCTCATTCTTTTGTTTTGTGATCCAGTTGGGCTGCAAATGCCTCCAGTCATCTGGGATGTTTAACTGTCAGAGAGAATAAGCACAGGTAATCTTTACTTGAGATTTTTCTTGAGATTAAAATAAATGGGAAGGGGCTCCCCTAAGGAATGGATTAAAAGTAAAGGGGAAGGGGGTCCCCTAAGGAATGGATAACCAGCAAGTGCTGCAGGCAGAGAAAACCTCCCCCTTGTCTTGTCACGAAGGACAGAGATCTCTGTGGTTTGCCTTAGAGAAGAAAAACTGGCCCTTGAGGTGGTTTGAGGGAGCTGGGGAGGACAAGGGTCAGGAAAGGAGAAGGTGACAATGAAGTTGCCAAAAAAAAAAGCACTCAGCACAGCAGCAGGCCTGGAAAACCCCTCACCCTGGTGTCCTTGTTAGGATATATGGACTCCCGGGGCCACTTAGTTGGGGTTAGCCCCGACAAAGCTCTCAGCCACCCTGGGCACTTGCTGATGTATGTCCTGAGCTATATCCTCTCTTTCCTTTACTCTGTCTCCGTATAGAATAATATGAGATTAATTGATTTTCTGTCACTCTTTTAGTACAGAAAATTAATTTCAGAGCAACCTTGTTTTCTCAGGGTATGAATCCTCTACACGCAGAGTAATTCAGCTCCTCCATTATTCATGAGAGAAAATAGTGATGGAGTGTGCACAGAGGCCGCCCCAAGGCCACAAAGTGATAGTCTGTGTTACTGATACAACAATATTCCACCGGTGCCTCTAAATAATTCACATCTACAACTCAATTTGGGCCTGCGTGCTGCTCAGGATGTGGCTGGGGGAAGCATTGCTGGGAGATTTGGGAGATTCTCAATGACAAGGAAAAGGGGAAGCAGGCAGGGCCTCCCGATGCCATCCTGAGGTTGGCAAAGGAGTGACCTCCTGGGGCCTGAAGCTACAGCCTGTTGCTGCAGTCCCGGGTCCCCCTTCATGGCAAAGCTCACACCTGTTCTGTGAGACAGCTAAGAGCTTCTCAAAGAAGACACACAAATGGCCAGCAGGTACATGAAGAAACGCTCATCATCACTAATCATCAGGGAAGTGCACATGCAAACCACACTGAGAGATTATCCCACCCAAGTCAGGGTGGCTTTTATCAAAAAGACAAAATGTATAACAAATGCTAGCAAGAAATCAGAGAAAAGGAAACTCTTATACGCTGCTGGTGGCAATGTAAATTAGCACAGCCTCTATGGAAAACGGTATAGAGGTTCCTCAAAGAACCAAAAATAGAACTAAAAGTAGATCCAGCCATCCCCCTACTGGGTATTTATCCAAAAGAAAGAAAATCAGTATGTCAAAGGGACACGTGCAGCCCCATGTTTATTGCAGAACTGTTCACAATAGCCAAGATATGGAAGCAAACTAAGTACCCATCAATAGATGAATGGATATGGAAAATGTGGTATATGTCACAGTGGAATACTATCCACCCATAAAAAAGAATGAAACCCTGTCATTTGCAGCCACGTGGATGGCACTAGAGGTCATTGTGTTAACTGAAATAAACCAGGCACAAAAAGACAAATATCTCATGTTCTCACTCATATGTGAGAGCTAGAAAATTGGTCTCATGGAGGTAGAGAGTAAAACGATAGTTACCAGAGGCTGAGAAGGGCGTGGGAGGGGGTGAAGAAAGGTTGATGAATGAGTACAAGCATACAGTTAGGTGGAAGGAGTAAATTCTAATGTTCAATAGCAGAGTAGGATGACTGTAGTTAACAACAATGTATTGTATATTTCAGAATAGCTAGAAGAGATTTGAAATAATACCAACACAAAAAAAAATGATAAGTGTTTGAGATTGTAAATATCTCAAATACCCTGACTTGGTCATTACAAATTCTATGCATGTATCAAAATATCATATGCACCCCATATATAAGTATAATTATTATGTATCAACAGAAATAAATAAATAAGAAACACATCATGAGACTGCTGAGAGAGAAATGCGAGCAAAAAGGTGGAGTAGCTAGCTGCCGAAGAAGCTGGGCAGGACCCACAGGCATTCAGATTCAGCTCATCTCTTACTTCCAATTTTAAGGATTCTACCTATTTTGTTTTGTTTATTTGAAACCTAGCTGTTCATCAAGTTTACCTGCAGCATTTGTAAAAAATGCAGATTCCTGGACCCAACCCAGACCTACTGAATCAGAAGCTCCTGCAAGTCTGTCTTTTGAACAAGTTCCCAGGTGATTCTTCTTATGTGACTGCTCTCATAGGAACTGCTGGACTAGATGATACCCAAGGGCCCTTCCAGTTCAGGCATCCCCTGATGATTTTAGCCAATAAAATGGATGAACCCAAGCCTGGGAAAGGAAGGGCTGCCTCATGGGACTGTTGGTAACCAATGGAACAAGTAGGTCACCCTATCAGCTAGGGAGGAACAGAGGGAAAGCAACAAGGCCCAACATATAACAGAGCTCATCAACCCTGCTCTCTCCTCTCTCAAGACTGAAGCCTGTGAAAAGACGTGGGTCCCCGATTGCTTCCAAAAAAGTCAGTGGCCCACATGCCATATCCAGGCCATCTTGAAATGGACATATGTGGTAGGAAGGATTCTAAGATGATCCCAGATTTCCACCTACTACTGTCCATGCCCTGTGTCATCCCTCCCCTTGGGTTTGGGCAGGGATGGAGAATATGATGGCTGTCTCTCCCAAGATTAGATTACTAATGAGTTCACTCTGACATAATCAAAGGTAGGATTTGAACCTGAGGGTACTTCCAGTTGCCAACAGTGACCCCTAGCCAACAACCAGACAGAAAACAGGGACATCAATCCTACAACCACAAAGAGATGAATTCTGCCAACACCTGAATATGCTTGGAAGAAGACCCTGACTTCAAATGGGATCACAGCCCTGCTGACACCTTGATTTAGCCTAGAAAGACCCTGAGCAATGGACCCAGGTAACCGTGCCTGGTCTCCTAATGCATGGAAACCATGCATCGGGCGATCTATTAGGCAGTAAGAGAAAATCAATTTCACATGCAATAAAATAAAAACAATGGCATGCACATGCCCTTCACGATTTGCAAAGCCATCACCAGGCCCACACCTTACCCACCTGGGCCTGCTGAGGCCTGCACCTTCATGCAGTGCCCAGGAGTGTCCACTGGATGAACCTTCTCACACTGATGCTCAGGCAAGGCTGGGAGGCCGGTGGGGCCATTTTGTTTTTCTAAATTTCTGCTTCACAGATGGGGAAACTGAAGCTCAAATACATTTCTCTGGGGTCGTTTAAAAAGTCCACAGAAGAACCTGAACTCGACTTCAGGCCTTCTGATTCCAAAGCCAGGGACCTGTCCTCTATGCCGCCATCCCCAGCATGATTCTCTCCAAGAAAAGAGAATTGTTTTAAACTCAAGTCCCGGGGGGCTGAAGGGCTATAACTCTTTTTTAAAAGGGTAACTCAGAGTGGCTGAAAGAAGGTGACTGTTGTGAGGTTGCCAGTGCCCTTCCCCCTCTGGCACGGCATCCTCCCCTGTCCACCCTTCGGTTACAAGGTGGGCAGGGGTCTGGCAGGGAGAGGCCAGTGTTATTGCAGGCTGCGGCTGACGCACTGCCCATGTCCCACTCCAAGAGCCCTCAGCCGAACCTCCGAGTGCAGCTCAGCATTCCTGCCCTTCTCTGACCCAGGGAGGCAGAGAACCCAGCCAAACCACTCATCAACAAGCCCACTGTCATGTGTCATTAATGATGTCAGATCAAATCCAAGCAACAATTGGAAAAACAGATTGCAACATTGTGCTCTTTATTGCTGGTGTTTCTGTGGAGCATTAGCAATAAAAAGACTCCAGAGAGGAGCTGTAAAGGAGAAAGCGAAAAAGAGCAAAAGAGAAAGCAAGAAAGATACTTTTTCCCTTGCTGCAAGCTTCACGACACAGCCACTTTGTAACATGCACCATATGCAGCAGCCACTCTGCACAAGGCCCAATAACCTCCTTCCAAATGGTAATAAATCCCCTCGGACCCCAACACACTTGTAATTTACAACTTGGCTAAAATGAACATTATTTCAAGCTAAGCGTATTCTCAGAGGTGCAGGAGAATGTGGCAGCTTTCCTGCTGACAGAGGAGTTTCTTTTTAAATGTCATGCATTCACTTTCATTACTTCCAAGTAATTGCTGGAAAAGATCGGCCGCTGGACAGGGCTGCCCACTTTACATCACCATGAGTCAATATCATCATCATCAAAGGAGCCCCTGGGAGCTGGTTTCAGCCTGGGGAGGGCTCAGCCCTCAGTTGCTTGTTCCCTGTTGGTCTCTTGGCTGTGCAGATAAAGGTGCCTCCATCATTCTCCTGGGACAGCTTCAGGTAAGATGGAATGTTGTCTATAGATAGCATAACCTATCATCACTGCCATCATCAAATATCATTCTGCTGCATCCATTGGATCATAATGCCGTTGCCTGCCCAGTCCTGTATGTGGTGCTTGTTATCTGGCGCTAACTGGAGGAAATGTATTCCTGCCCCTCGTGGAAGTTGGATCTTTGGTCAAGAGGATGAAAGCACAAGAAGATATTAAACAGCATGCTTTTCTACATGCATACCGTACATTTTGGGGAAAGCCTGCTTTCAAATCTAACACAGTTTTTTCTGTCAAAGCTCTGAATGTGGACACCTATTGCTGCATAATAAACTACCCCCAAAACTTGCTGGCTTAATTATTTCCTACGAGTCTGTGGGTTCAATGATTTCAGCTGTGTGGGTGTTCTCACTGTGATGTCAGCTGGGGTTGCAATCATCTAGGGACTGGACTTAGCCGCAAATTTCCAGTCAGCTCACTCACATGTCTGGTGCCTTTGTATGAAAGGCAGGAAGACCAGACTTAGCTGAGCAGGTGGAGCTGGGTTTTTCTCTCTCTACATCAGGTAGACTCAAGGCCTCTTGCCCACCACATGACCTCTCCACATGGTCTCTTCATGCGGCTTCTTCTGCACGGCAGTTGCGCTTCCTACATCGTGGCTGAGAACCCATAAAAGCACAAAAGTAAAAGCTACCAGGACTAACACAGGATCACTTTTGCCACATTCTGCTGGTCAAAGCGAGTCATAAGGCCAGCTCAGATTACACATGGAGATGAGTAGACAGGGTGCAAACACCAAGAGATGTGGTTCATTGGGGCCACCTTTGAAGATTAGCTTGAATCAGGAAGATGGAAAAAAAAGAGCAGAAAGCCACACATCCTTTGCGAAACATCTTCAGATAACTGCCATCAGCTCTAATCTCCCTTAAGGAGTGAGCATGAAGCAGTTTTATTTCTTCCAATCACTGCTTCAAACTGTGATAGGTTTAATCCCCCTCTCCTATTACTTAGTGACATCCCAGGCAGAATCCACAACTTTCTAGTCATGTTCACTGATTACAGTAGTCTGATTCAGTGTTTTAGATGACACGGGAGAATTATTTTTTTTAGGCTTGATTATGTCTTTGCGATTATAAGAAAAAATACTCTTAATTTTAAGAGAACATACTGTGATGTTCAGGGGTAAAGTGTCATGGCATTGCAATTTACTTTGAGATATAGATAGATAGATAGATAACCATTAACAATTCATGAAATGAGTAAGTAATTAAATAGATGTTAATTGTTCCAATTTTTTAACATTTCTGCATATTTTTTAATTTGCCTAATAAAATATTGAAGAAGAAATTCAGTCCACTTTATAACTTCCATTTAATACCCAATTTAAAGGGATCCCTCTCTCCCATCATTGGCACAGCTTGGGGCTTTAGGGACTTGCAAGAGGATGGGAGGCGGTCTGTTCACACATTGCGTCGGAGAAGGAAATATCTCTTTGCCTAACTGGGTACAATTATAATTCTACACATACTGGCTTTTATGGCTTCTCTAGTGCACACCAATCACTATTACTATTCTTTGCGTGGCACATGTTGGGATTTTTGGAGGATCCTGCAGGTCCCGCACAGTTCTCTGAAAGGTAAGACCTACTTCTAGCTCTTCCTGCTCCACACTGGCCCCCTCAGCCCCTGCCACCTGTAGTCCACCTCCTTGAAATCTCTTGCTCCTGGATCCCTTTCTCAAGGAATAGATCTGATCTCTCAGGTGGGATGCAGGCAAGATGGTGAGAGTTAGCTCTCTCCTTCTGTGCCTCCTTGATCTAGGAAGGACTTGAAAAGCCAGTGGTGGGGGTCAGGCTGCTGCACTGCTGCCCCTTCCTCAAGCCTCAACACCCCCATTTCCCTTTCCCTTGCTCTGAGGCAGGTCTGTGAGTTCCCTTTGTAGGACATCCAAGCAAGGAATAGCATATTAATCTTCCAGTTTCACAAGTGCACCCACCTCTCGTGGTTTAGTAAGGAGGAGAGGATGGAAACTCCCCTTTCCTCCCTCATTCACTATGAACACTGCACCCTTACAAAGCAGACAATTCTGATGACTGCCCCCTTCTCAGCCCCCAGTTCTCACCATATGTAGACTGAGATTCTGTCATGGGGCAGGGGCCTGATTATTGCAAGAAGGTCAATGTTGCCACTTTTGGAAGCTCTGGAAGAAGATGCTGACCCAGTTGTTACCAGATCTCTTTACAAAGTGGGGTTTAATGCCTCCTATCTTCAGCTGTAGAACTTCATCACTAATTCTAGGGAAACAAGAAAAAATCTACTCCACATCCCTTACAGAGGCATAAATATGTTTATTGTATCTGGTGCAGAAAACCTGGGTTACAACCCAACTCAACTACTAACTCACCGTGTGATCTCAGACAGTTATTTAGTCTCTGCGGTCCTTAGGGTTGGTAAGGACACGCCGTCTGGTCAGGTAGGTTTTCAGATGAGTATTACAGACCCTGAGGGCTCCCAGGAGATACTTTAGGGACTCTGCAGATATTGGCATGAATCCGAGCAAACAGCCAAGAGCTAGACTGGCCAGGGAATCAGTTCATCACTCTAATCTGTTTTTGACATCAGGGTTCCAGGTAAGATTTTCATTTAGAAAAAAAGAAGAGTTCCATTCTAAAAATGTTTGAAAGCCATTCATCTGTCCAACTGCTTCATTTTACTGCCACAGAAAATGCCAGCCTCTGAGGAATGGCTGATGTGGTATGTGCTACCATACCAGTTCAACGAGCCACCAGTTATCTCTGATAGCACCAGACAAGAAAACAGTTCTGATTGAGAGCAGAAAGAAGAATCCTTTGAAGTATTATGTCCAGGAGAGGAATTTGACCACCATCATCAAGCAAGAGAATCTCTCCCTGTTGTGGTTTTCTCTGTGTGTGTGTGTGTGCGCGCGTTCACATGTGTGCACCTCCCCCTCAGTCTGCCTGTTGTTGTGTACCAGGAGTTAATTTAAAACTACACAAGACATCTGAGGCTGGACAATCAATCACTTCATCATTGCCACTGCAGATAAAGAGAGTGGCGAGACAGGAGGAAGGATGGAGGAGCACATAAGAGAGAGCGATAAACTCCCTGCCTCCGAATCAGCCTCAGAGAAACAAGCCATACTCCTTTGGTGCTCATGGGCCTCTGTGTGCAGGAACTGGAGAATGAAGAAGAAGGCTGAAACAGAAACTAAGCTTCCTCCAAGAGAAGCCCAGGGCTGTCCCAAACATCGGGTGTGCTGGGAAAGACTGGAAGCTGAAAGGGGTCTAGAAGATGTTGGGTTGGAAAAGGACTTCATTCTGCATGCAAAGGATGCTCAAGAAGTCACTGAGTGTCTCTGTTCACTGAGCTAACCAGCAAGCTCTATGTGCATGATTCTGGGCTATTTCCTTATAGCTGGAGCAGCAGTGGGCATAGCAGGGTCTCAGGAGTCAGGAGGATCCCCACTGTCACCCTGGCTGGACTGGACCGTGGCTCACTCCTCCTAGAGGGATATCAAGCCCAGCCTCTGGCAAGGAGACTGCAGTCTGTCAACTCTGAGTGGCATCCGTGGAGTGCCACGTTCCAGCGTCCCGTGTCCTCTGCATAAATGCAATTTCCCCAAATGTCAGGAGAAAAGCATTACGGATAACACATTGTGTGTGTCTTTGACCCAGTAAGTGCTGAAATCACAGATCTCATTATTCTGACATGATAGAATTTTCTCTTTCTCTCTCCCAGCACAGGCTGACTGCTGTTGTTTTTCATACTGCAGACCTAATTGCCAAAGGTGCAAAGCCACCACAGAAAAACAGGCCTCACCTATTTCCTACCCCCAAAACAAAATGCCAGGTCTCCTTGTATGAGAAGAAAATGATCTTAAAGTCAGCTCATAACAGGACATTAAGTTGTGGATAATTTGGGCCACAGCTTTCCTGGATGCCTGAAAAATAGACAGTATTTGACATTGAAAGCAGAATCGCCCTGGATGACTCCACCAGCACATCTGACTTCCAGTGCAGGAGCTGTCTGAGATTTAGGGTAGGGGCAAGAGCAATGAATGAATTTGAGAGCTAGGTCTATTCTGTCTATCTGTGCAGTCATACTCAAGTTGTTAATTCCCCTCAGTTAGTCTTCTCATCTATAAAAATAAAGGATTAAAGCTGTGTCATAGGATGGATGTGAGAAATAAAGACATGGTGATGCATATATGGTGTCTGGCAAAGAATCGGTGCTAAAAACATTTATTACAGTTAAATCTAGAGTTCCACTTTAGGGATGTAGTCAATATATCATCCATTCAATCAACAAACAAACAAGTGTTTACTGAGTGCCCTGATCTTGAAGACAGAAGACATGGGCTCACTAAGTATTCGTTGAATGAGTGAATTGCTTCTCATTTATCATGAGGGGACTCTGGACAAGTCCAATTCTTTCTCTGACTGTTTCACAGCCTATCAAATGCAAGGTATGTAGGAATCACCTTGAAACAGCCTTCTGGTTTTGAGACTCCGTTGCTCGAGAGGGCCTGTATGAAAGCACAAAGAGGTACAGTACAAGACAGAGTGGCAGCTCTCCCAAGCCTTATGATGTAGTTAACAGGGTGTATCAGATACATCTCCATGAAGGTAGCAAATAAATTGAGAGCTAGGTCTATTCTGTCTATCTGTGCAGTCAGAGGTGGTATGTGAGGGGTGCAGCTAAGGGGCAAGTGCTACAGGTGTTCAGAAGAGAAAGAGGGCTGGTGTTTGGAGGAAGCGAGGTCAAGCCTGCACCTTGGAGGTATGATGGGATTGTATTGGCAGCAAGAAGGCCAAAGGCATTCCAGGGCAAGTTGTACTGACCTTCACAGCTCAAGCGGGAATGGTTACATTGAAATCTCAGTGAAGTTCAATTCAAGTTAGAAGTTAAATCATAGGATACAAGTGCCGGTTATTAAAAGGCAGAACTGCATAACAAGCATCCCCAACCTGTTGTGGGCTTCCTACCAGGCCTTCTTTTAGCCCTCCATCTTGCCAGGCCATCACCCAAAATGCCAGTGAGAACTTGTCCCTCCTCACTTCCCCACCTGGCTTCTCCATCACCTCTTCATGGAGTCTTTCTGAAAAGTCACTGCCCCATGTTTGTCTCTTCTCTTGCTCACCTTCCTCTACAGGCTTAAAGGGAGACCCAGGAAGCAATGACACCTGGAAGGTTCTGTTTGGTCTTACTCCCTTCTTGGATTGTTGAACTACAAATGCCACATTTTCTCCTTCAAGCTTGGTCTTGCCTTCCTCTTTCTACCATAGAAACAGGCAACAATACATAAATTGAGTTTTTCTGGTAATAAAAAAATACACTTTTACATTCATTGTAAATTTTGGAAAGTATAGGCAAGTATAAAGAAAGTAATAAACACCAGTGTCAAGCATAGATGATAAATAGACAGATGATAGGTAAATGATAGATAGATAGATAGATAGATAGATAGATAGATAGATAGATGATAGAATGATAGATAATAGATATTCAAAACTGGATATATAGCTTTGTATTTTGTTTGTGTGTTTATTTCCACTTAAGATCCCAATATGAGCATTTTCCCATACCCTTAAAACATTATTTGAAAACAATGGTTTTTAATGGTTTTTATTATCATCATTAATGGAATAACGATAGTATTCCATTGAATGGATTTAACCATAAATTATCTAACTATTCCCATATGTTGGATTTTAAGGTTATTTCTAATTGTTAGCTATTACAAACAATGCTGCAATACAAATCCTGTACATAAATCATTTTCTAGTATTATTTTCTAAGGTTAAATTCTTAGAAATGGAATTTCTTGGTCAAAGTGTATATAGGATTTAAGGCTATTACATTCCTCTTTATCACTACAAATGCTCTACAGTTCGTTGATCAGCTAAAGACATATTGCTAAACATTACAATGACTCTCCATGAGGATGTGCCTTGTCTCCCCAACTGGCCATAAGCATCCCCCCAAGGCACCTTGCACAGTGGTCAGCAGATGGGTAGTGAGTGAGCAAATTGGGACCACTAGACTTAGGGGAATCTTTTTCCCACCAGAGGAGTCCAGTATCACACAGGATTCTCTTTGATATCCATCCCAGGGAGTTTAGTTGCCAAAGTTCCAAGAAGACCTCATTATTACTTGGCCTTGCCTACAAAGTAATCCCGCACCATAATTTTCAGGTCTTGATGAATCCATCTCCGCCTAAAGAAGAGTTTCCTGACTGTCTGAGTTACGCCAAAATAAAATAGGCTTCCCTAAAAGTTGGTGAGTGAGTACCATGGGACAGGGATGCTGCTCCAGGGATTCAGCCTGAGATGAGATTTGAGCACCATTCAATCCTGAGATCCAGGGATTCCTCGTGATGGTTGATTCTCGTAACCCCAAAGTACAGGAGCCTACACTGAGGTCTTTCTCAGTAAATGCTGTTGACTGGATGACAGACAGACTCAGACCAACTCAACAACTGACAGAAATGGGTTGAAGGCAAAATCAATGGGGTTCACAAACCTAAGGTGCCTGTTAAATCTTCCTGCTCAGTATCAGTTACCTGATGGTTGCGTAAATCTTTTAAAACAGCTCTCATATTTCATTTCATCTGTGGCTGTACTGCAGGAATGAGTGAGTGCTATCTATTGCCTCCCACTTGCCAAATTCCACCCACGGAGGCTTCAGGACACAGAAGGGCTAGAGAGTAGTGCATGGAAGTCAGGGACCAGATTCTTCCACAGCTGAAGGAATCCGCCATGTCCAACCAGAATGCAGTTTGAGAAACGCCACATAATTGCACTAATTCAGACTCACAGCAGCCAAATGATGGGCCACTGTGAACTCATTTCTTTTTTAATCCTTAACTGATGTAAGAGAAATTCAGTATAACTGTAAGTATGTACCGATAACCAGAGCCAAGCTAATGGCTTGCTTGTCTGGGAGGTACCGAGGGAGCCTGCTCTGGGGTAGGAGTGTATTGTAAGCAATGAGCCGCTGTTCGGTAAGTGGGTGCTTGGGAAGTGTGTTGACGCTTCCTCTAATAAACAGCTTGTTTGATTTTTTTAAATGCCCCCTTTCTATTTATTTAAACTCAGGTCTATTTGCACCACTTTGAATCTACATGTGTTGAGTGAAGAATTCCTTTCCGAATTGTCATGGCTCTGAGTTGAGGTCAGAGTTAACTAGGTTTATCTAAGCCTGTAAGGTCTTCCCAGTTCCTAGGTGTGACATGGAGGACAAGGACCCTACGCTCTGTCTCCCCAGCACTGCATAGCCTTGCCAAAAGAGACAGAGAAGGTTGTAATTAATGTGGCGCTATTATCCTTAGCAAGCTAGGAGAGGATCAAAGGAGCAGGAACCTGCAGCCCTCCTGATTTCGTCAGCAGAGTTGGTAGGGGAATGGAAGGGAAAGAGCTTTGCTTGTGTTAATTAATAACAACCTCTGCAGCTCTCCCCCGGGAAAGGTGGCGACCAAAGCAATCTCAAGCTTGGGGGCATTGCAGGCAATTCTTGGGGCTATTCTCTTTTAGCACCTTGTTGCCTTTGTCTTCTACTGTGTAGAAATAAATGATGTGCTCTGGACAGCAATTTTGCTGCAATTTTCTCAACCGCCAAGCCCCTGGGGACTCCTGATCTTCCTGCCAAATACCTCAGTCCTCCTCATCATATTCAGAGCCACACTGGGGCATTTACTGAGTGAGATTCTTTTTCTTATTTTTCCCACCTTTCATTCCACCCCACCCTCCACACAGGCACCCACAACATGTTCATTAATGAATGCATTTAATCAAGTTTATGAAGTCGCTTTATTATCAATAACCCTAATCACTCTTAATTGCTGCATCATTAGTTCGGCCACACTCAGAGGTAGCAGTTAGGCAGAGCAGTAAATGACAGCCCCAGAAAAATGACTTGCTACATGAAAGCCTGGGAGGAAGAAACTGACAGAAGAGGCAAGGGAAGGAGAGAAGAGAGGGGGAGCATTCCAGCTGTGCACGAGGCCTGCTGCTGGGCAGAGCCAGGCAGGGAGATGCCATTAGGAGGTTCGGCCAGGTGTAAAGATGCTGGTGAGCCAGTTTTGCATATTTTGAAGCTTGGGGGAGCTCCGCATCAGCAGCGAGAGTGAACGTTCTGTTTGACAAAAGTTGATGTTATGTTAATATCTAGCACCTGCCACCCTCGGGGATCTCCAAGCCCTCTGCAAGCTCCATTGTGTTCAAAGCCAAATGTGTGGTGCATATGAGGTGAAGGATGCACCTTGTCATCGGGAAAGCAGCAAGCGGTGGCCCACTGCAGGTCTTTGTCGAGACATTAACTCCCCTGCCTTGTGCATGTTCTTGAAGGCTCTGCACAGCCAAGGAGACCCACTGAGATGCCTCGGGTCAGAAAAAGAGGTGGCCAACTGCAATTTCCTCCTGTTGAATTAACTTCCCTGGGAGGCCAGAAATCTCAGAGCCTGCCCTAATGCAACCTTAACTCATGGATTGTCTTAAGAGAGTCTCTCACTCTTCATAGGCCTCAGTTTCCTGTTTGGTAAGCAGATCTAAAAATATCTGTGGCAGCCAACTTCAAATGGATGCTTAGAGTCTATGAGGCTGCATGTGCAGAAAGGGCTGTGAGTAACACTCGGTGTGCTCCAGACTGAGAGAGCTAGAGAAATGTCAGCCTAGCCGCGGTGGGAGCCTCTACTGTATGTGGCCACTTCCTCCTTATAGTTGCCCCGCTAATGTTTACTTTGGCCTCCCCATGTCTGAGTACCTCTGTAATTCGTTTTCATGTACAGAAAGTCTTAACCCCGGAGGCATAAAGCTCTCCTGATCTCCAGTCTCTGGAAGTTTCTTCTGTGTCACACCCTCCTCAAAAATGCAAAACCCATCTTTATACCTCCACCATTTACACAGTTATTTTCTATCTCTATTTACACACTCACTTCAGCATTCATTGAAAAACATATTTGTTAGTACCTACAAAGTGCCAGACACTAAGATTATAATATTATACATGGATCCCATCTTCAAAGAGCTTACAACTTAGTAATGAACCTCAGGAACATAGTTATTGTAATATTAACTATGTCCCAACTCTACTCACCACCTGGGTGTTAAACATCCCATAGAGAGATGCTCACTGTACTAGACAAACAAGCCAGTACCCCACCTCTCCCCCAACCCTCCTTGCTACTTTACCTCCCTCTAGAAGCCAATCAACTAGCTAGATAACACTTGGAGCTCAGGATGCCCTAATGGAGGCTCTGGAACAAGTTAGAACCCAGTAGAAACTTACGTGTTCTATTTCAGAAACCAGAGAAAGCATGCAGAGCTTTCACCAGAGAGTCAAAGACCACCAAAGGGAAGGTCTGGGTAGGGCCGAATGACATACACTCAGGATCAGCTACATAATTTGCAGGGCCCAGTGCAAAATGAAAACATGAATTTCATTAAACAATGACTAGGACTGTCAAGATAGTGACAACAGGATGTGAAACCAAGCACAGGACTCTTTGAAGTGTGGGTCCCTGTGCAATTGATCAGACTGCACACCCACGAGGCCAGGCCTGCACACACCTCATATGCATGAACTTATACTCCCAAAAGCATCTCAGAATGCATTTCAAATTCAGAAATCCTGTGCAGCTCACACACTGTCTTGAAAGGGCCTAGAACATTGGCATGGTAGGTTCTAAATAAATATAAAGCCCTTATATTATCATCATTGTTTTGCTTACGTAGTCAAGTCTCTAGACAAAAAAGAAGGCAAATTATGTCTTTGGTGTCTAATAAATGCTTCTTCATACCAAAACACACAATCTTTTTGGTGTCCTCATAATCTGAGGCCCCACCAAAATCCCTGTATGGGAAAACCCTCCCTATGTCATTCCTAGATACCTGCAGGGAAAGATCTGGTTCATATGAGAATGTTCTAGAAGCTTCATCCTTAACAGGAAGGGTCTGGAGCTCTTCAGCCACAGGCTGGCCAAGCTATTTCTTTTACCGTAAACCATTCCATGCCTGTTCCATCTACCTGACTGGACCTTTTTCCTGTATGCTGTTTTGCACACTGGCTGCTTACTGCCCACCTACGTTTCCCATGGGCTGACCATAGCTCTGCACCCCAATTGCTAGATGAACTCCTGCTCCAGGCCTGGCAATGCACCTGAAACCATAATGCTTCAAGTGGGCATTAGCCCTGCCACAGCCACTGGAGGTATAGCTTGCCTGACTGAAAATGTTCCACATGCCACAAGTCTACAAAAAACTTAAATTTATTAAAGAATAAATGGGATCTTTCTTCACCCAGAATCCCGTCCTCACTGCCGGCACAGAGTGACCCAGCACCCTAAACATTCATGCTCATGGCTAAACCTATTCAGGCCCCAGGTTAATTTCTAACTCGTATCCTCTAGATACAAGGAAGTTGTGGCCGGGCACAGTGGCTCACGCCTGTAATCCCAGCACTTTGGGAGGCCAAGGTGGGCAGATCACCTGAGGTCCGGAGTTTGAGACCAGACTGACCAACATGGAGAAACCCCGTCTCTACTAAAAATACAAAATTAGCCGGATGTGGTAGCACATGCCTGTAATCCCATCTACTCCAGAGGCTGAGGCAGGATAATGGCTTGAATCCGGGAGGTGGAGGTTGCTGTGAGCCGAGATCGCGCCATTGCACTCCAGCCTGGGCAACAAGAGTGAAACTCCGTCTCAAAAAAAATAAAATAAAATAAAAGGAAGTTGTGCCCAAGTACCATGGAAGTTGTGAGTTGAGCCACTGCTGTCAGAAACTGACACTGCTGTAGAAGGGCTTAGATCTAGAAGAAAGGAGGGAGTAACCAACCAGTTTAGCCTGTTCTCTCAAATAATATGATGCTATAGAGACATAAAGAAATGTTATTGTTTTCCAGTAGAGCCAAGTGGCCATTTTCTTACTTCTTTCCATGTTCTAACTCATGGTTTAAGGGTATTAATGAAGTAACCACGGTAATTACAAGAGCTGCACATAGTGTCTGAGGTATATTTTGCATTCTTAAACAATTTATGGGCTAGGTTTGGTGGCTCATGCCTGGAATCCCAGCACTTGGGAGGCCAAGGCAAGAGCATTGCTTGAGGGCAGGAATTCAACACCAGCCTGGGCAATATAATGAGACCCAATCTCTACAAAAAAAAAAAAAATCCAGTCACCGGTGCCTGTAATGCCAGTGACTGGTGCCTGTAATCCCGGCTGTAAGACTGTGGCAGGAGACTGTGGGAGACTGAGGCAGGAGGACTGCCTGGGCCCAGGAGTGGAGCTACTCAGGAGGCTGTGGTGAGAGGATCACTTGAGCCCAGGAGTTGGAGGCTGAAGTGAGCCATGATCGTGCCACTGCACTCCAGCCCAGGCAACAGAGTAAGACTATTTCTCAAAAAATAAAAATAAATAATAAACAATTTATATTACTTTACATTTGTGTGTGTAAATGGATAAATGTACATAGATAAAGTGTGACACCAACTCTTCACATATCTGTGTGGATCCCGATATTGCTTTGAAAAACAGTGAAAATCAAGATATAAATGATAACAACTTACTTGATGAAAGTGATGAACTCTACACTATTTTCTGACCTAAGAATAATATGTGATCATATGTGATCCATTTCAATGTTTAAACAGAAAATGTAAAATTCATGCTCATTTCTGAATCCATGTACTTCTTTAAGACTTATATTGACAAATCCTGTTGCTACCACCTCAGCTAAGCAAAATTTCCCCAAGATGAAATTAATGAAGGGCCACATAAGAACTACAGTGACGGGGCCAAGATGGCTGACTAGAAACAGCAGTGTTGGGAGGCTCCCATCTAAGAAAACCATAATAACTGTGTGAGTCCTTCACTGGCAACCAAGGTATACAGGTTTTCTCATCAGAACTGTCTAGGAGACTGACGTGACCCATGGAGAGAAGGAAGAACAGTATGGTACGGCGGCCCACCTGAGAGCCACATGGAGTGGAAAAGCCTACTCCCCCCAGCCAAGAGAGGTGGTGAGTGACCATGCTACCCACCTGGGGAAACCCTGCTTTTTCCACAGAACTGTGCAACCCATGGATCAGAAGATCCCACTCACGAACCCATGCTACCGGGGCCTAGCGTCCCAACCCCAGAGTGCAGAGACACTTAACAGCCTCTCAGCTAAAATCTGCTTAAACCTACCAAACTCCTGGGGAAGGAGTGACCAGCACTAGCTGCAGCTGCCTGCTGTGTAAGCCCTTTGAGCTCCTTGTGGGAGAGGTAGCAGCCAGCACTGATACTGGCAATTGCCTAACATGTTAAGCTCCCTGGCAGGGGAAGGGTGGCACCCATCTCTATAGCTCCAGGCTGTGCTTTTTCCCTGCTGGAGCCACGAAGGCTGGATAGCTTTTTCCCAAGACTTTTCCCCATGGCCCAACACACCAGGTGTGGCAGTCTGTGGCCAGAGGGCCTCTTCAGGCCTGACCCTGACTCATCCTTCCTCACTGGGTGGGGCTTCCCTGCAGGAAGTCCAATAACTCCAGCCAGAGGCTCAGGGACAGAACCCGTATCCCCCTGGGCCTGATTCCCTAGGGAAAGGGGTGGCTACAGTATCTGCGGACCAGCAGACTTAGTCTTTTCTCCTGGCAGTTCTGAGGAATCTGGTCAGCCCAGATGAGTGGGTTTCCCCCAGTGAAGCACACCTCCTCCACCAAGGAAGAAAGTGCTTCATTAAATGGGTCCTGTTCCTCATGCCACCCAACTAGGTGAGAACCTCCAACAGGGGTTGTCAGACATCCTGTACAGGAGCAATCCTACTGGCATCAGGTTGGTGCCCCTCAAGATTAGAGGTCCCAGAAGAAGGAGCAGGCACGCACCTGTGCTGTTCTCCAGGCTTCTTCAGTGACATCTCTAGGCACAGCGGCAAATCAGATGAATAGGGCCTGAAGTGAACCCCCCAGCAAACAGCAGCAGCCCTACAGAAGAAGGACCTGACTATTGAAAGAAGAACAAACAAGCAGGAAGCAACAACAACAATGACATCAACAAAAAAGCCCCCACAAAAACCGCAACCAAGGGTCAGCAGCCTCAAAGACCAAAACTAGACAAACTCACGGAGATGGGAAAGAGTCAATGAAAAAAATGCTGAAAACTCAAAAGGCCAGAGTGCCTCTTCTCCTCCAAATGATTGCAACATCTCTCCATCAGGGGCAGAGAACTGGGTGGAGGATCAGATAGATGAATTGACAGAAGTAGGCTTCAGAAGATGGGTAATAAAAAACTACACTGAGCTAAAGGAGCATGTTCTAACCCAAAGCAAAGAAACTAAGAACCTTGACGAAAGGTTAGGGGAATTGCTAACTAGAATAATCAGTTTAGAGAGGAACATAAACAACTGATGGAGCTGAAAAACACAGCATGAGAACTTTGTGAAGCATACACAAGTATCAATAGCTGAATCGACCAAGAGGAAGAAAGGATGTCAGAGTTTGAAGACCACCTTCCTGAAATAAGACATGCAGACAAGACTAGAGAAATAAAAATGGAAAGTAATGAACACAGCCTCCAAGAAATATGGACTTCATAAAAAGACCAAACCTACGATTGATTGGCATACCAGAAGGAGATGGGGGTAATGGAAACAAGCTGGAAAATACACTTCAGGATATTATCCAGGAAAACTTCCCCAACCTAGCAAGATAGGCCAATATGCAAATTCAGGAAATACAGAGAACACCATTAAGATACTCCACAAGAAGATCAACTCTAAGACACATAATCATCAGATTCTCCAAGGTCGAAATGAAGGAAAAACTGGCAGCCAGAGAGAAAGACCAGGTCATCTACAAAGGGAAGCCCATCAGACTAACAGAAGACCTCTCAGCAGAAACTCTACAAGCCAGGAGAGATTGGGGGGCCAATATTCAACATTCTTAAAGAACAGAATTTTAACCCAGAATTTTATATCCAGCCAAGCTAACCTTCATAAGTGAAGGAGAAATAAAATCCTTTCCAGACAAGCAAATGCTGAGGGATTCCATTACCACCAGGACTGCCCTGCAAGAGCTCCTAAAAGAAGCACTAAATATGGAAAGGAAAATTCAGTACCAGCCACTGCAAAAACACACCAAAATACAAAGACCAATGACACAATGAAGAAACTGCATCAACTGGTATGCAAAATAACCAAATAGCAGTATGATGACAAGATCAAATTCACATATAACAATACTAACCATAAATGTAAATGGCTAACTGCCCCAATTAAAAGACACAGACTGGCAAATTGGATAAAGAGTCAAGACCCATTGGTGTGCTGTATTCAAGAGACCCATCTCATGTGCAAAGACACACATGGGCTCAAAACAAAGGGACGGAGGAAAACTTACCAAGCAAATGGAAAAAAAAAAAAAAAGGCAGGGGTTGAAATCCTAGTCTCTGATAAAACAGACTTTAAACCAAAAAATATCAGAAAAGACAAAGAAAGGCAATAAATAATGGTAAAGGAAACAATTCAGCAAGAACTAACTATTCTAAATATATACACACCCAATACAGGAGCACCCAGATTCATAAAACAAGTTCTTAGAGACCTATGAAGAGACTTAGGCTCCCAAACAATACTACTGGGAGACTTTAACACCCCACTGTCAGTATTAGACAGATCTACAAGACAGAAAATTAACAAGGACTTGAACTCAGCTCTGGATCAACTGGAGCTAGTAGACATCTACAGAACTCTCTATCCCAAATCAACAGAATATACGTTCTTCTTAGTGCCATGTAGCACTTATTCTAAAATCAACCACATAATTGGAAGAAAAACACTCCTCAGGAAATACAAAAGACCAGAAATCATAACAAGCAGTCTTTCAGACCATAGTGCAATCATATTAGAACTCAGGATTAAGAAACTCACTCAAAACCACACAATTACATGGAAATTGAACAACCTGCTCCTGAATGACTCCTGGGTATATAATGAAATTAAGGCAGAAATCAAGAAGTTCTTTGAAACTAACAAGAACAAAGAGACAACATACCAGAATCTCTGGGACATAGCTAAGCAGTGTTAAGAGGGAAATATATAGCAATAAATGCCCTCATCAGAAAGCTTGAAAGATCTAAAATTGACACCCTAACATCACAATTAAAAGAACTAGAGAGGCAGGAACAAACTAATCCAAAAGCTAGCAGAAGACAAGAAATAACTATGATCAGAGAATAATTGAAAGAGATAGAGACATGAAAAATCCTCCAAAAAAATCAATGAATTGAGGAGCTGGTTTTTGGAAAAGTTAACAAAATATATAGAGCACTAGCTAAACTAATAAAGAAGAAAAGAGAGAAGAACCAAACAGACAAAATAAAAAAATGACAAAGGGGATATCACCAGGGACCCCACAGAAATACAAACTACCATCAGAGAATACTATAAACAACTCTACGCAAATAAACTAGAAAATCTAGAAGAAATGGATAAATTCCTGGACATATACACCCTCCCAAAACTAAACCAGGAAGAAGTTGAATCCCTGAATAGACCAATAACAAGTTCTGAAATTCAGGCAGTAATTAATAGCCTACCAACCAAGAAAAGCCCAGGACCGGATGGATTCACAGCTGAATTCTACCAGAAATACAAAGAGGAGCTGGTACCATTCCTTCTGAAACTATTCCAAACAATTGAAAAGGAGGGACTCCTTCCTAACTCATTTTATGAAGCCAGCATCATCCTGATACCAAAACTGGGAAGAGACACAACCAAAAAAAGAAAACTTCAGGCCATTATCTCTGAGGAACATCAATATGAAAATCCTCCATGAAATACTGGCAATATGAATCCAGCATCACGTCAAAAAACTTATCCACCATGATCAAGTCAGCTTCATCCCTGGCATGCAAGGCTGGTTTGACATACACAAATCAATAAATGTTATCCATCACATAAACAGAACCAAAGACAAAAACCACATGATTATCTCAACAGATGAAGAAAAGCCCTTTGATAAAATTCATCATCCATTCATGTTAAAAACTCTCAATAAACTACATATTGATGGAACATATCTCAAAATAATAAGAGCTATTTATGACAAACCCACAGCCAATATCATATTGAATTGGCAAAAGCTGGAAACATTCTCTTTGAAAATCAGTACAAGACAAGGCTCCCCTCTCTCACTACTCCTATTCAACAAAGTATTGGAAGTTCTGGCCAGGGCGATCAGGCAAGAGAAAGAAATAAAGTGTATTCAAATAAGAAGAGAGGAAGTCAAATTGTCTCTGTTTTCAGACGACATGATTTTTATATTTAGAGAACCCCATCATCTCATCCCAAAAACTCCTTAAACCGATAGGCAACTTCAGCAAACTCTCAGGACACAAAATCAACGTGCAAAAATCACAAGCATGCCTTTGCACCAACAATAGACAAGCAGAGAGCCAAATCATGAACGAACTCCCATTCACAATCGCTACAAAGAGAATAAAATACCTAGGAATACAGCTAACAAGGGATGTGAAGGACCTCTTCAAGGAGAACTACAAACCACTGCTCAAGAAAATAAGAGAGAATGCAAACAAATTGAAAAATATTCCATGCTCATGGAAAGGAAGAATCAATATCATGAAAATGGCCATACTGCCCAAAGTAATTTATAGATTCAATACTATTCCCATCAAACTACCATTGACATTTTTTACAGAATTAGAAAAGAAACTATTTTAAATTTCATATGGAATCAAAGAAGACCCCATATAGCCAAGACAATCCTAAGCAAAAAGAACAAAGCTGGAGGCATCACACTACCTGACTTTGAACTATACTGCAGGCTACAGTAACCAAAACAGAATGGTACTGGTACCAAGGCAGACATATAGACCAATGGAGCAGAACAGAGACCTCAGAAACAATGCCACACATCTACAACCATCAGATCATTGACAAACCTGCCAAAAACAGGCAATGGGGAAAGGATCTCCTATTCAGTAAATGGTGCTGGGAAAATTGCTAGCCAATGCAGAAAACAGAAACTGGACCCCTTCCTTACACCTTATACAAAAATTAACTCAAGATGGATTAAAGACTTAAATGTAAAACTCAAAACCATAAAAATCCTAGAAGAAAACCTAGGCAATACAATTTAGGACATAGGCATGGGCAAAGACTTAATGAAAAAAATGTCAAAAGCAATTGCAATGAAAGCCAAAATTGACAAATGGGATCTAATTAAACTAAAGAGCTTATGCACAGCAAAAGAAATTATCATAAGAGTGAACAGGCAACCTAAAGAATGGAAGAAAATTTCTGTAATCTACCCATCTGACAAAGGTCTAATACCAGAATTTACAAGGAACTTACACAAATTTACAAGAAAAAAACAAAAAACCCCATCAAAAAGTGGGCAAAGGATATGAACAGACACTTCTCAAAAGAAAACATTTATGCAGCCAACAAACATATAAATAAAAGCTCAACACCACTGATCATCAGAGAAATGCAAATCAAAACCACAGTGAGATACCATCTCACACCAGTTAGAATGGAAATTATTAAAAAGTCAGGAAACAATAGATGCTGATGAGGCTGTGGAGAAATCGAAATGCTTTTATGCTCTTGGTGGGAATGCAAATTAGTTCAACCACTATAGAAGACAGTATGGCAATTCCTCAAGGATCTAGAACCAGAAACACCATTTGTCCCAGCAACCCCATTATTGGGTATATACCCAAAGGAATATAAAACATTCTACTATAAAGACACATGCACACATATGTTTACTACAGCACTATTTATAATAGCAAAGATTTGGAACCAACCCATCAATGATAGAATGTATAAAGAAAATGCAGTACATATACACCATGGAATACTATGCAGCCATAAAAAGGAATGAGATCATGTCCTTTGCAAGGACACGGATGAAGTTGAAAAGGACATGGATGAAGCTGAAAGCCATCAGCCTCAGCAAACTAACACAGGAACAGAAAACCAAATAGTTTATGTTCTCACTCATAAGTGGGAGTTGAACATTGAGAACACATGGACACAGAGAGGGAAACAACACACACCAGGGCCTATTGGGGGGCGGTGGGTGAGGGGAGGGAACTTAGAGGATGGGTCAGTAGGTGCAGCAAACCACCATGGCACACATATACCTATGTAAAAAGCCTGCATGTTCTTGATGTGTATTCCATTTTTTTAGAAGATTTTTTTTTAAAAAAAGAACTGCAGTGACTTAAGAAAGTTTGTCTGTTATAGCATTGCCAATAAAACACAAATTGTGTGAAAAAATATTTATTATAACCATATAATTAGTGATTTCAATGAAATTAAGACAAGAAAAATAAATTTTATGGAATGGTTATTATGAATTAGAAATCTTTTTTCTTTCAACTGAAATTTTTAAAAAGTGGGATCAAGATCCTGAAGAATTTCCTCAAAGAACTGTAACAGAAGATGAAACATGGCTTTACCAGTACAATCCAAAAGACAAACCACAATCAAAGCAATGGCTACCAAAAGGTGGAAGTGGTCTGGCCAAAGCAAAAGCAGACCAAGAGCAAAGGTCATGGCAACAGTTTTTTTGGATGCTCGTAAGGGGTCAAAGAACAGTAACTGCTTTTTATGAGTATTTTGACAATGTTACCACAGCTGTAGCAGAAAAACATCCAGAAAGGCTTCACCAGAAAGTCCTTCTCCACCATGACTGCTGCTCATTCTTCTCATCAAACAAGGGCAATTTTGTGAGTTTCAATGGGAAATCATCAGGCATCCACCTTACAGTCCTGATTTGGCTCCTTCTGACTTCTTTCTTGTTTTCTACTCTTAAAAAAAAAAATCTGTAAAAGGCACCCAGTTTTCTTCAGTTAATAATGTGAAAAAGACTGCATTGACATGGTTACATTCCCAGGACCCTCAGTTCTTTAGGGATGGACTAAATGGCTGGTATCATCACCTACAAAAGTATCATAGACCTGATGGAGCTTATGTTGAAAAATAAACTTTATATCTTTTTATCTCTTAATCCCATTTTTCTGAAAACTTGTTGAAGTCCCCTCTCATATTTATGTCAAATAACTAACTGATATATTATCTCAAATAACATACCCATTAACATTGAATAGAGGCCTTTGCAAATTCATGAGACTGTTTCTGTAGAATAAATATATAGATATGTAGTTGCTAGGTAAACGGTGTAGTGAATTCATACAATTTTCTGTTGGATACATTTTGAATCCAGTTTTAACTTTCTCACACCAGAACTGTGTCACCCTTGACATTGTCTCTAGTTCTACACCACATCCAAATGGTTCAAGCCAGTAGCCAGAAATAAGAATTTGCAGGCAACTCTCTCATCTAGCAGACTGGGCTGTCACTTCCTTTAAAGGGAATATTAAGGCATTTGCCCACAAACTTAAAATTACTCACACCCTATTTTCTTTTCTATACTGCTGGTTGCCTCTCTCTCTCTCTCTCTCTCTCTCTCTCTCTCTCTCTCTCTTTATCTCTCTCTCTCTCTCACTCTTTCCTGACTCTGTGTATTACTGCCTTGTGTCATCTGGGGAAGGAGGACTGCCCTCTCTACCCATTGCACCTTCCCTGTCCAGAATCTGTAAGTAAAAAATCTTTGAACACCTGTTGTGGTGGTGTATTGAATTTGCACCTTCTATTTGAAGAACAAGGGGCTACCCCAGGCTGTGTTTTTCCTGGAACACCAAGGAGAACACGAAGTTTGACTTCTACCACCAGAGCAAGCATAAAATGGACACAGATTAGACAAAAGCCACAAGGGTGTCTGCCAGTATAAATGAGTTCCCTGTGTGCAGGACTCCTGGTCACAGGTCAGACAACTAGGCATTAGGCCATCTTCCAGGAAAAGAAGCTTCTAGGGCGCAGCTATATACACCCAAGTCTAGGTCTCTTCATTTCCAGCTGAAGCGTTGCTAGATGCTCCGGTACTGGAATCCCAATTTAGCTGACGGCTTTCAAAACAAAAGAGAATGCTCATTTTAAATGTGATATGCATGGATAAATTACCTTTCCAGATGATTGTGACAACGAATTTACACCCTCATTGATATGGTTTGGTTCTGTGTCCCCACCAAATTTCATGTTGAATTGTAATCCCCAGTGGTGGAGGTGGGGCCTGGTGGGAAGTGATTGGATCATGGGGGCCATTTCTAATAGCTTAGCTCCATCCCTCTAGTGCTGTTCTTGTGATCTAGTTCTCAGGAGATCCAGTTGTTTAAAAGCCTGTAGAACCTCCCTGCCTCTCTCTTCCTCCTGCTCTGGCCATGTGAAGTGCTGGCTCCCCCTTCACATTCTGCCAGGATTGAAAGTTTCCTGAGGTCTCCCCAGAAGCTGAGCAGATGCCAGCATAATGCTTCCTGTACAGCCCAAAGAACCATGAGCCAATTAAACCTCTTTTCTTTATGAATTACCCACTCTCAGGTATTTCTTTATAGTGTGAGAACAGACTAATACACCCACAAATAGCATAATTTCCACACATTCTCAAAACACGTGCTACCATTGTTTCCAAGGTGTGAAAAGTGGGATTTGAAAGATTGAATATACATTCCTTTCTATTGCAAAATATCTTCTTTTAACATTTACCAAAAATTTGTATTTTTTTGTGAATCACCAGTTAACATAATTTGGTCACTATTTACTTTTTCTTATTGATTTGTAGGAGTACTTTATATATTATAAATCTTTGCCTAACATGCTCAATACATATTTTCCCAGTTTGTTTTTTGTCTATTTTGCCAATGATGTCTTCTGATGTATAAAAGTATACAATTATTGTGTAAGCAAATCTGTTGACTTTTTAAAGGATTTTGGCCTCAATGTAATTCTTCAAAAGATCTTTAGAAAGATCTGCTCCCACTGAAGGTTTAAAGAAAGTTTTTCTATATTTTATAATAGCATTTAAATCCAAATCTGTTTGTAATTAACTTTGATAAGTTAATTTGTCAATTCCTGTGCCAGTAAAATAACATTTGATTATTATTGTGATAGATAGCAAAGAAAATCCTGCCCTAATCTCCTCTTTCCCAAAATTTGCTAACTATTTTTATATATTCACTCTTCAAGATGAATTTTAGAATCAGTTTGTATAGTTTAAAAATATCCTACTGGGATTTTGAATGATATGCCATAAATTTACAGATAAATCTGGAATAAAAAAAATACAAGAACGAGTGTTTCCAGGAATAATATGTTTCTGCTATTTTCTTAGATCTTTCAATACACTTTAAAATGTTTTATGATATGAAAATCTCCCATATTTTATGTTGTTAATTTCTAGCAACTAGTTTCATTTGTGAATATGACATTTTTCCTTTATTAGCCTTCATTTGCTTGTTGGTAATGTGCAAGAAAGCTATTGACTTTTATCTTATATTAGTCAACGTACTGAATTCTCTTATCTAGTGGATTGTTACCTGATTAGCTTGGATTTTCTAGGTTTACAATAATAAGCTCTTTGGGCTCTTTTTAATATTTATCTCTTACTTACTTTTATTTTACTACTGCATTGGCCAGATCTCAACAGCAATACATGACAGCAGTTTGGGGGAGATTCCTGATTTACTCATTTCAGCGATTTCACTGTTTGCTATGATGATTACTGACACTCTTTTATCTTAAGAAATTTTCTTCTGTTCCTAATGTACTAAAGTTTTCTAAATTACAATTTTCAGTTCTGGACATTGAATTTTATAAAATGCACTTTGGCACCCCAACAAGATGACCTTTTTTTTTTTTCTAACCTAGTAATGGAATAAATCGTATCGCATTTTTTAATTGCATTAATAAATTTTCTAATGTTGAATGGAGATTTCATTATCATTCTTGGAATGAATCCTTGGATTGGAATCATTGGTTATGACATATTTTTCCTTCAATACATTGCTATATTTTATTTGTTAATATTTTTCTCAGGTTTTTTATATCTATATTCAAGTGAGATTGTTCTGTATGTTTTCTTTGAGAAACTTTGTCTAGTTTCATTGTCAGAATCAAAAAATGAATTTGAAGATATTCCGTATTTTTAATGCTCTGGAGAAATGTATGTAATCTGGGTATTATCTTTTCAATGAAGACATGAAAAAACTTGTCCACAAAATTTTCTAGAACGGGTGCCTTTTTGGTGAACCTTTGGGAGAAGGGAGGATTTATTATTCTATTCAAATTTTTTATCCTTGAGTCGACTGTTGACATTTTTATTTTTCCAGGGTAGGATACACCATTCATCTAGAATTTCAGAATTATTACAGTCATGTTTTATATAACATTTCCCTAATATGCGTTTTATGTTTTTGTTTTTTAGCTTTATTGAAGTATAATTGAAAAATAAAAATTATACATATTTAAGGTACGCAATGTGTGCAATGTGATGTTTTGATATATGTATACATTGTGAAATGATTCCACAACCAAGCTAATTAACATGCCAAATTATTTCATCATCTCACATTGTTACCTTCTTTTTGTGGTGAGAATACTTAAGAGCTACATTAAGACTAACAAGTTTAACATTTACATTTGAAAATGTTTGTGGTTATAAAATATGGTAGGCTGAATAATGTTTTTCTAAAAGATATCCATGTTCTAATTCCCAGAAACTGTGGATATTGCCTCGAATGGCAAAGGAACTTGCAGTTGTGATTAAGGATTTTGAGATTAGTTCATGATGCAGTATTTGCCAGCTGGACTCTACATGTGATCACAAGGCCTTTTTTTCAGAGACACGGTCTTGCTCTGTGGCCCAGGCTGGAGTGCAGTGTCATAATCACAGCTCACTGCAGCCTCTAACTCCTGGGCTCACGTGATCCTCCCACCTCAGCCTCCCAATACAAGTCTTTATAAAAGGGAGACAAGAAGGTCAAAGGATATGTGATAACAGAAGCAAAAGTTCAAAGAAAGGATCACAAGCCAAGGAATGTAGGAATGCGAGGAAGCAGATCCATCTCAGAGCCTCCAAAAGGAGCCAGCCTGCCAACACCTTGGATTCAGCCCAGTGAAACTGACTTCAGACTTGCAACCCCTAAAACTATAAGAGAATAAATTTGTGATGTTTTAAGCCACTAAATTTGCTGTAATCTGTTACACTAGTCATAGGAAACTAATACAAGCAATCTTTCTCATATCTGATTGTGTATTTCTTGTTCATTCTTTCTTTTTTGGCCATCCTTGCCAAAGCATAATCTGTTTTTGTCTGTTTGTTCTGTATTTTTTAAGAATCGAATCGATCCTTTTTTATGCTAATGTATTTGTTTCTGCTCTTAGTTTTGCTAATTCTTACCTCTTACTCTTCTTGGTTGTCTTTATTTTTATTTCTTTCACTTCTGGAATTCAGTTATTACATCATTTACTTTTCATTTCTTCTTATTAATAAAGTCATTTAAGGATATGAATCACCCTTTCAAAATAGATTTTGCCACATTCCATAACTTTTGATACGCAGAGTTTTAGACCTTTAATAATTTTAAACAATCTGTCTTTGCAGTTACGATTTCCTCTCCGGCCAATTAGGGTTTTTTTTAAGTTCTTTTAGGTTTTAGGGTTGTTTGGCTGACACTAAGTTTCTAACATGTTCGACAAGTATTATTCTATTAGTAAATTCTAATATTAATGCATTGTGGTCAGTGAATGTGGCCAATAAACTTTCTACTTCAGGGAAGTTATTACAATAGAAGTTCCATTTTTGTGGATGTTTCACTTGCTTTTGGGAGGAATGGGCATCTCAGTTTTGTGCTTAAACCAAGTTGGTATTTGGTAATCCACTCTATAATTATCTGCTGGTAAATCACACTCTATAGTTCTGTTACCTATATTCTCCATGTCCTTCTTTATATCCATGGCAAAGAATTCTGTCTGTATTCGATAGGCACGAGGGTTTTAGGTGAAAGTAAGTCATGACAGGGTTTGCATATTTAGAAAGACCACTCCAGGAGCAGGAAGATGGACTGTGAATCAGAGGAGAGGCCTACGGGCAGCTAGATGACCCTCAGCAGCAGCAGGGGAAGAATGCCCGGATGAAGCATGCATACAGGTGGACAGTAAAGGCAGGGAGGGTTCTTAGAACTCATTTAGCTTGACCTCTAATTTTATAGAAACCAAGGCCAGCCAGAAGATGGAAATAATTTATCCAAGGTCATATGGGCAGTCAGCAACAGAGGAGGGGACTCAGATCAAAGCCCCCTGGCTACCAGCCTCAGACTCTCTGTGCTGTGCCATGCTATGATGATGGGGTCCCCAGGAACAATCCCACAATTGTGTACACTTTCCCTTGTTCATGCTGCAAGGGCATCTAAACCTCTTCATCTATCTTTGCCAATGAGGACCAAACTATTCAAGAAAGTAATCATGCCCTCATACAAAATAATCTATTGGGCCCCTACTTGGATTTAAAAAAAAAATGGCATTCCAAACACTGCCCTGTGCAAGACCGACAATGCTAACAGCAGCAAGTGCTACAAGAATCTTCAGACAGCATCAACATTAGCCTCCTAGGATGCCAGGAAGAAATGCATTTGCCTCATATCCATAGCAAGATCAAATGCATTTTGGCACACTCCAAGAAAGCAATTGGTTTTGAGCATTGGGGACATTATTAAATGTTACATGGTTTTTTTTTAATAGAACAATTTTTTTTTCTTTTACTATACTCTGCTAATGAATACTCTTTCTACCAGCCTCCATTCCCCTTGCATCTCCCTTTTGTCCTGACAGCAGAGTGGCAGGTCGGGGAGGCCTTTAAAATTTTTTAAGTTTGGATGTACTTCAGAAATATAACCATGCTCATTATCATGTTGGTACCACTGTCCCCATTAAATGGCTATTCTAATGACCTCTTTTGGCCTCAGTCTTCTCATCCAGAAAGTGGATAAATTTGTAGAGGAATATGATAAAAATTAAAGAGTTGATGTATGTAGAGTGCTTTCAACAAGGTTAATAAGCACTCAGTATATGTTAACTTCTACCAGTAGCATAGTAGCAGTCATCAGACTTCTTTAGTAGTAGTATTTGGTAATTTTCAAGAGAGACAGAACACCTTAGCTATAGACTCACTTCCTCAGAATCCATCCTGTCATGTCCTTTCATGTAAGAGGCAAGTTTATACAGCAGAGAGGGCCCTAAAATTAGACAGACTCAGGGTGAAATTTCACCTCTGTCCTAGGGTTAGCTACGATATCTTGGGCCAGTTATTTAGGGCCCACAAGCCTCTTTCTTATCATCTCTAAAATGCAGACAACAACTCTGGCCCTGTAGGGTCAACAGACAGCCTGATATGAAAAAGGAACACCAGCACTCCCCACCACCCAATTTCTTTACTCAGAACTGCCTTCAGCTTTCACTCCTGGGTAAACCCACAAGGCCTTTTTGACCTTTGGAAATAAGAGGTCCTCTCCTGGGACTGAGGAGCACAAGGCAGTGGAAATGACAGCCTAAGGGGGCTGGGCTGTGTGGTTCAGAACACCCAGGGGTGCTAGAGACATCACAGGCCCAAATTCAATAAACACAGACAATTTGGCATGAAGATGAAGAGAGTCAGAGAGCAAAGGGAAAGTGTGGTGGTACAATGACCAGCTCCACTCTGCCCAGGAATTGGCTGAGTTTGGAAATGCTGTGTAAGGAGGGAAAGAAAGAAGGGCAACTGGGAGACAAAAATCTTGCAAAAAAAAGAAAAGTGGAAAAATAAAAAATGCAATGCACCCAATTCTAACAAACCCAGGCATGAAACTTTGAAGTTTCTCAGCAAGTAGACGTGATCTTGCAACTGAAGACAGATCAGTGCAAGTGAAAACCCAGCAAAGGGTTGTGAAGATGGGAGACTTTGTGTGTAAAATGATAACCATAGTGCTGGGCTTCAAAGATCCTGACACAGACGGTATGATTGTTCCTATGACTGGCTACCACACATCCCTGTGTCAATGCATAGGCGAAGCGTAGATGCTCTGGCCTTGCGTTGGAGCCCCAGAACGCAGGTTAGGCTACCTAGTACTATAGAATATAAAGTGTTGAAGTGAAACATGATGATTTATACAGTAGCACAACTCCTTAGCAATATCTGGAGGCATGGGGGGATGAATATCCAGGTTCCCAAGACACACTAAAGATGCCATGTAGGCTAAAGCAAAGAGGGGCTGAAGGTGTCCATGCTCTTCTCTGATGGTCTGCAGGGGCTGTGCTGGGCTTCTCTGTGTCCAGGCGCAGTGGTGGACCACTGGACCCAGCCTATCTCAGGGAGTGTTGCCTTCACACTTGTCCCCATCCTCCTGGTCACAGCAAATAGGTCTAAATGTGTCTATTTCCTGCCCTCTGTCTTTAGTTGCAAGATCACATCTACTTGCTGAGCGATTTCAAAGTTTCATGCCTCAATTTGTTAGAGTTTGGGGCATTGCATTTTTTATTTTTCCACGCTTTTTTTTTTTTTTTTTTTTGAGACGGAGTCTCACTCTGTCGCCCAGGCAGATAGTACAGTGGTGCTATCAGGCAGATAGTACAGTGGTGCTATCTCGGCTCACTGCAAGCTCTGCCTCCCAGGTTCACGCCATTCTCCTGCCTCAGCCTCCCAAGTAGCTGGGACTACAGGCGCCCGCCACCATGCCTGGCTAATTTTTTTGTATTTTTAGTAGAGACGGGGTTTCACCATGTTAGCCAGGATGGTCTTGATCTCCTGACCTCGTGATCCGCCCACCTCGGCCTCCCAAAGTGCTGGGATTACAGGCATGAGCCACCACGCCCAGCCTTTTCCACGCTTTTTTGCCCAAGATTTTTGTCTCTTAGTTGCCCCTCTTTCTTTCCCTCCACACACAGCATTTCCAGACACAGCCAATCCCTGTGCAGAGTGGAGCTGGTCATTGCACTTCCACACTTTCCCAGGTGTGCTTCTAAGAGATGCAGTCCCCAATATACCCTGTTCTTACTTCAACTTGCAGTTTCTCCAAATGAAATTCCCCTTTACCTCCCAAGGTCTGGTCACATTGAGAAGATGCGACAACACTAAGGCAGCAACACAATGCTGGCCCTCCAGAAAGGAGCAAAAGACTTAAAAATAGCCTCTCTGAGACAACCTGCAGGGCTGCACCTAGCCCTGGCTGACCAGCACATACCTCTGGGGTAGACCAGGCATTGGCCAGCCCTGCTCCACAGAGGGCAGGAAATGGACACATTTAGACCTATTTGCAGTGACCAGGAGTATGGGGACCAGTGTGAAGGCAACACTCGGTAAGACAGGCTGGACCACCGCACTTGGGCACAGAGAAGCTCAGCCTGGGTTCTAGAACACAACAGGCATGGAGACTGGTGTTCCATCAGTGTCTCTCCTCTACAACTGCATCCCTCTCCTCTCCCAAGATGCCGGAGAGGAGGAATGACCCAGCTAAGAACAGGGCAGAACATCAGAAAATATATCACAGGTGACTATTTCAAACGAATTGAAAAAGATGACATTTTCCATTACAGCCCAGTGTGCTGGCGCTAATATCCCCCATTTCTGAACCACAGGCTCTCCACCACCACCCGCAGCCTCTTGACTGCACTTCTAATAGGTACTGCAGAGGAGCCTCGAGGAGAGGTTTTGTCTTGCTGACACATCTTATTTCCACTCTTGTTGGCATGGAGAAGTCTACTTTGTTTGTGTCTGATTCCAGCTGGGCCACAACAGAGTCCTGTCTGATGAACAGAAATGGCTGGAAGACTGTTCCCATCTTGCTCAGCCACCCTGCAAGAGACCTCATGCTAACCTTCTCCACTTCCACGGCCCATCCTCACACCCTTGCCACACTCCCATTCCCCAGGTACCTTGGAGAGGTTCCAACTGAGTGTGCTTCGTACACACGATGGTCACTAAAACCTTGCACCTGCCTTCTGTGCTTATCGGATAAGGGAAAAAAGTAATAGTTGTGTGTCATGTTCTCTCCCACAGAAATTCTCTCTAGGCCACCAGCATTTCAGCAGGAGCTGGTGATGTAGTGAAAAGCACAGATGTGTTGGAATTAAAAAGAATCTGTGTTTTAGTCACTCATTCGACAAGACCTTATCCAGTGAGCACCATGTCCCAGGCACTCTTCTAGGTGCTGAAAACATGCCAGTGAGCAGCCACTCAGAGGACGCAAGTCCCTGCTCGCATGGGGGCCACATGCTACCAGGCTAAGAACTAACGGTACAAAAAAAAAAAAAGTAACACTGGGAAAAGTACACCCCCTCTCTGCATTGTCGTTTCTTAATTTATCAAATGGGAATGACAAGAATAGCTGTCTTATGGGACAACCGTGCCTTTTGCAAAGTGCTGCACAGATGTGAGTTGTCATTACTAATATTTTCACAGCCTAGACCCCAGGAGCAGTATTCCTAAGAGAGAAAGGAGAGAACTGAAATATGAATATCCTAATTCTCTCTGACCTGGGCAGTTCAGCTGCAGCCTCAGACTCAGAACCTCCCCAAGGTGACTTGAGATCCCCATCACCTTTTCCCCTATAGTCCCTTGTGCTCTGTTCATCTTTGTTATAGTATTTGATGCCCTGTGGACAGTACAATAGTCTATTACTCTAACAGCTGTGAGAGCACATTCCCTCTCTATTCAGCTACTGATCCCGAGTGCCAGTGATGGCGTTGCTCTTTCACAGATACTTGAGAACTGTTACATTTAGCAGAATAAATTATGAATGAGTAGGAATGAATGAATAAGGAGCCTCTGAGTGCTATCACTGTATTTGTTGCATACTTACCCTACCACACCCTAAAAGAGCAAAACGTGTGGTTTGTTCCATAGATGGCATTGTCCCCTATGCCTGCCCATCTCTTCGTATAAATACAGTCAAAATGGGACCACCTGTCTCCTGAATACGTTTCCATTCTAAGTTACCCCTTTTTTTTTTTTTTTCTGAGACAGAGTCTCGCTCTATTGCCCAGGTTAGAGTGCAGTGGCATGATCTCAGCTCACTGCAACCTCCGCCTTCCGGATTCAAGCCATTCTCCTGCCTCAGCCTCCCAAGTACCTGGGATTACAGGTGCCCACCACCATGCCCAGCTAATTTTTATATTTTTAGTACAGATGGAGTTTCATGATGTTGGCCAGGCTGGCCTTGAACCCCTGAACCTTGGCTGCTCCAAGGCATTCTTATCCTTGTAAAATGCTGAAGAGTTGTGCCAAGGCAACAAAGACAACCTGCCATAAGGGGCACACTAGATGGCTCTGATCATACCCTCCCCAAGCCTGCCAGAAGCCAGAGCTGCTCCTGGAAACCAAGGTCGATAGAGCCCAAGTTGAAGTCCTATGGATGGGTGCAGTGCAATGCAGGAAGGATAAGAAGAGCAGTTTCTTCCCATTTCTCTAGGTTATCTGCCCTATGAATCTTAGAAAGTATTCTGAATTATGGCATCTTGAGCATGGACTTTGAAATCAGCCCAATCTATTTGTGATTCCAACTCCGCCATCAATGAGCTGTTACCAAGGGACTTTCTGCCCTGAGCCTCACTGTGTCTGCATTTATGAAATAGGGCTAATAATAGTTATGCTAGTGTTTATTATGAATATTAAAGAGATAATTCATGTAAAGTACAAACAGAGATGCTAATACATAGTAGAAGTTCAATAAATGGCAGTAATAATATTAATTGAGGGTTTATGATATGCCAGTCTGGACCCCTTCAAAAATTCACATATATCACACATTTAATCCTCTAACAACCCTATGAGTAGGTCATTTAAATGAGGATAAGTATAAATAATAAATATACAAATGATAAATATGATATAAATATAATTATACAAATAATATAGCATAAATATAATGTGATCTATAAATACATAAATTAAAAAGAGAATATTAAAGCATAAAGATGCTAAATAACCTACCCCAGGCCACTAAATGGAGAAGTCTTGAGTTTGTGTTTATCTCCCCAACCCTCCTGACCCCGGAGCACCCTCTCCTGCCCTCCACACTAAACAGCTGTCACTGTTGTTGACTCATTACACAAGTTCCCTGAAAATATTTAGCTCCACCTCCCACATCTGGGGAGGTGACATGGGTCTCATAGCTACATCTTTTTCTTTCCTGGATAAAATGTAGGACATCCAAGTGCTGTCAGGAGGCTTGTGGCCCATGCTTGGTAAAGGAAGCCCCAAATGACTAATGCTCCTACCCCTTTTGAGAAGTTGCCACCCTCCGTGGCAAAGGCTCTGAGATTTAACGAACCACACAAATGACTTCAGCTCTGGGATGGGCAATGAAGAAGGAAACTCCTGCCTTCTGGGCAATGCAGGGCACCACGGGGCAACAGCCCCTGTCACAGGGCTTCAAACAGGAGGCAAGCCGTACCACCCCAGGACTCAGGAAGTCTGGGCTTCCACTGACATTTTCTTTTAGCTGAAGGTATGGACTAGTGATCCAGACAGGAATTGTTGCCTCCTTGGGTGACAGACTGGGCAGCTAAAGAAAATTTCAGCTTGATTGAAGCATAGCAAGGCAAAGAGAACCAGAAAGAGAAAACCCACTTCACTTCTTTCCCAGCAGTAGACTCCATCGATGGGCTTGACCAGCTCTTAGAAAATTCTGCACTAGATTTTTATGTTCTCGTGCATATGTTATCACTCCCTCACTAGACTACAGCTCTTTAGGGGCAGAAACTAGGTCTATAGGTCAATTTACCTTTTGCTTCCCATAGCACCACCCTCGAGCCTACACAGTGACCATTTGGAGTTGCCCAGCATATAGAATGGGAAACGCCACATTAAGGGGAGTTGAATCTCCATAGTGAATGAAAACAAAGGGTCAAGGAGGGAATCCGCACTTCCTGGAAAGGTGTCACATCCAAACCAGGGTGTGTGGGACAGACACAGGGCTCTTCCTCTCTGCCCAGTCTTATGTCCCAGAGTCCCAAGAAATATGACATTCAACATCCAATGTCTGATGTCTCTAAGTCCTCAGTGTAGGCAGCATCTCTCTGTGCTCTGCTCCACCCTGAAGGAAATCCCACCTAAGACTCCCCCCTAGAGCCTGGGCCTGGGCCTGGCCCTGAGGCGACCACTGAATACTGACATGCCTCACTATGCCAGAGAAAGCATGAGCCCGCCTTGGTGGCTGAGTGCAGCTGCGGCTGTTGCTTAAAAGCTTTTCCTCGTGCAATAACCTCTCATTATATTTTAATGTTGTTGTAACTTTATGGCTTAATCAGTAGTTGCAATTTGTTAGTAGCCTGGGCGGCCATAAAATTGTTTTCCAGGTACTGAAACATCCCATCAAGGTTTGTAAAGCAGTGGTTCTTAGTTTATCACACCCATAAAATGCCCTGGCAATTTGACAGATATAATAACTTTTTTAATCAAGTGTCTAATTTTAGAGGAAATTAAGCCATACGTTACATGCAGCTCGCACTGGGCTTGGAACTCTTCAGCCTCCCAGTCTCTCAGGGATGCCCCTCTCCTCACCCTATCTGTCCTCTTCAGCCAAGGGCTGGATTTCCTTCTTGCCCCTTGTACAGGGCTTGCTGCCACCTCTGCAGAGCTGGGGGCCAATGGTCGTGGGTCTGCCATGTGGCCTGTGCAGGCGTCCTTGATGAGACAGTGCTTTTGCACTGAGGATCCAGCAATGACTGGGAAATTGGTCCCCAGAAAGAGAGCTAAAGCCCTGTTAATCCCATCCCTGTGTCTCCCAGCAAGTTGATGCACCCTGGGCCTAATCCCATCATGGGTCTACATGTGAAAGGAACCACGTTGGCTCTCTGCCCTTCTCTTACCAAGCTCATCCCCATTCTCCAAAGATATTTAACCTCTCATGCTTTTCTTCATATTCTGTCCAAGTCACCGAGAGACAGCAATTACATCAGAAAGGTACAAAGAAAAATAAATGATTCTCCTTGCCAGTTACATGGGTTTGCTCCTCCCTGCCATTTTCCAGTGTTCATTTATCTTGGGATAATGTTGAACCAAAGAGCAGTTTTGGTCACACGTTATGTTGCATGTGTATATATCCCACACAGGGGTACCCCACCCAGGCCCAAATTATAACTAACTCACCAATGCCTAGCATCAACTTTTCATGCGGCCCAGAAACTTGAGTCAAGCTGATTTCCCCTCCAGCCCTATTCTGCACAGTCAATAGTGTCACTGGTGGTGAACAGTTCTGGCTTTCCAACATTTAACTGCAAAAGCTATGTCCCACCATGACACCCAGCCTCAGACAGTCATATTAAAAAATGGGGCCTGGGGCCAAGCATAGTGGCTCAAACCTGTAATCCCAGCACTTTGGGAGGCCAAGGAGGGCAGATCACTAGGGGCCAGGAGTTCAAGAACAGTCTGGCCACCATGGTGAAATCCCATCTCTAATAAGAATACCAAAAGTATCCTGGTGTGATGGTGCATGCCTGTAATTCCAGCTACTTGGGAGGCTGAGGCACAAGAACCACTTGAGCCCAGGAGGCAGGCAGAGGTTGCAGTGAGCCAAGATTGTGCCACTGCTCTCCAACCTGGGTGACAGAGTAAGACTCTCTCTCAAAGAAAAGAAAAGAAAATGGGATCTGGACCACCTCACATTGTTCGTTACCATTTGGTTGGCATTTACTGAGCAACCACTATGTGGCCAGTGGCATTCTAATCTCTGAGGGATCTAAAGACAGTAAAGACAGAGTCTTTGCCCCTCTTAAAAAACTGGCAAGAAAGGCAAAGATCAGAACTGCAATAGAGCTATGAAAACACAGAAAAGAACCACAGCTTGACCTTGGATGGGGGACATGACTCCAGAGAGGGCTTCTTGGTGGTGACAGCCCTTGACACAGGTGTGTGTGTGAATGTATATATGTATATATGTATGTATATGTGTATGTATGTATATATATGTGTATATATATAAATTAAAACTAGCCTGGTACACAAGGATGCAGAGGAAGGACTTTTGATGCAGAAGGATCTGCAGATTTGCAAATACAAAATTTCAGACAAAGAAGACTATGGAAAACATGAAAAAGAGCCAGAAAGCAACATGGCAGTAAAGAGGCTGTGCATGGGCTGTGGGCTCTAGGCTGTGGCCAGAAGACACCTGCAAACGTAGGGAAGGGCCAGGTTCATAGCTCTCTGCTATGCCAGGCTGAGGAGACTGAGACTGATTCAAAAATTGTTGGGAAACATCAGAGGATCTTAGGCTTGGCGGTCACATGATCACAATAGAATTTTAGATCATAATGGCATCAAAGTAATGAAGACCTAAACAGAGCTGGGGAGTCAGGCTGCAGAAGATCATTGTCATTTGGGGGCAGCATACCACACAATACTGTCCTCCACATCCCCATTTCCATCTTCCTATTAGCACCCTGATCTCCCTTTCAGTGGAAACTCCTTATTTTGTGTGGTCCTGAAGGGAGACCACTGCTGCTTTCTATCATAGAAGGGGCAAGATTCTCTGCCTCACCTGCCAGAGTAGCCAGGAGTGGACGACAGGCACAGTCAATCCAACACTCCCCTCTAGAAATGTTGACTTTTGAGTGGGTAACTAAACAGCACACTTTTCACAGGCTGTGGCAGATTGTATTTTCCAAAAATGACCACAGCAATATTTCCAATTCCACATGCTGTTCCACAGTCTTGCTACTCTCCAACAAGAGGTAGAGTTTATTTCTCCTCTGGAATCAAAGCAATGGAAGTAACACTGCAAGACTTCAGAGACTACATCATGAAAAGTGAGATGGCTTCCATCTGGCTCATTCTCTCTTGAGAGGCTTGCCCTGGGAACCTAGCCACCACGTTGCAGGGAAGCCCAGACCACACAGAGCAGCCATGTGTAGGTAGGTGTCCCGGCCAACAATCCCAGCTAAGATTCCAGCTGACAGCCAGCATTGACCATCAGACTTGTGAAGGAGGGAGCCTTTGGGAGACTTCAGGCCCCACCCTTCCAGCCACCCCAGCTAACTCCACGTAGAGCAAAGACAAGCTGCTCCCTGTAAGCCATGCCCAAATTGCCTATTCATGAGCAAAATAAACATTGTCATTTTAAGTAATTGAGTGCGGGGTGCTTTGTTCCACAGAAACAGATCACTGGAATGGGGACCTTGACTGAGGATCCAACTGTGTAATATTTAGAGGTCTCTTAACTCCTAGCTATTTTCTAGTCCTGACTTTCTGGTTTCCCCCTACTATTTTAAGCACAAAATATATTTGGCGACAGCAATACTGAGTTTCTGTTGCTTGCAACCACTACCCCCAGCCAAGGAAGGGCACACGGCCATGGTCCAGGGGAGGAATGCTGAGGGCCTGAGGATAGACATGGTGGGGAAGGTTTGGAGCTGATAAACATACAGGGCACAGAATCCACCAGGACTTGAGGAAGATACAGGAAATGATGGAGGCAAGAAGGCTTCTCAGATTTCTAACTGGACCACTGGGCAGATGTTCATGCCATTCAATGAGAAAGGTATTCCAAGGAGAGAAAGGAGCTTTCAGGGAACGAACACACGTAAACTCATTACAAGCGCGGTTATCAACCTGAAGATTTTGGGATACCAGTGGGAGGCACACATGGATCTGGAATACAGAAGGGTGCCACTGTAGCTTTCCAGCTTCCCCGCGTCACTTAGGACAGACAACGCTAGAAACCAGGAAGAGTCTACTAGGGATACAGAAATCTGAGGGAAGCTGAATGCTATCCCTGTTCATGCTAAATCTTTAACTTTCACAAGTGCGCTCCATCAGGGGTGGGGGCACATAGGGGTGTGTGCATGTGTCTGAAAAGGCATACAGGTGAATATTCATGCTTTCTCAGTCCGAGACTGAAAGGGGAGCTAGATCTTTCATTTATTTCCCACTCCTCCACAGCATCTTATGAACCTACTCTAAAGGTTAAGAACCGACTTAATATAAGCACAAGAATAACTGTGCATTTATGTAAAGCCTTCCTCCAAGGAGCTCTCGGCACTCTGCAGATAATGGACTTATTTATCCTTAGAGCACCTCTGTGAGGCAGTTACAGGACAGGGGTGACCAGGCTCATGTCATAAATAATGTCAGGAACAACACGAAGCCCAGCCAGCCTACAACTCTGAGGCTGAGCAAGATGGGGTGGGCCCAAGGTCACCCAGCAAGTTAGGAACAGGATGAGCCTCCGTGCTGTGATGGCATGACTCACATTCTCTCTGAATGTCCCCTGGGCCTGCTCAGCCCTGTCACCTGTGTGGTGACTCTGTGGTGGTAAGGAGTTAAGAGATAAATCTACCAGGCGGACTGGTTAGGACAGGTCAGCACCTCCTTTTCCAGCCAAGCAGTTCCTCACATGCCAACAGGCACAAACCCAGAGACAGAATCCACACAAGTCGTTGGGAAACTGATACAAGTCGTTGGGAAACTGGCCTGACCAACTCGGCTGTAGAAAAATAGTCCCATCACAAGGAATTGCAAATCAATAGAGAGGAAAACATCTCCAGTCTCACACACAGAGACCAGTTCCTGCCCTGTGAAAGCTGCAGCAACGCTGATCATAAAAAGCCCCCTCTTGGCCAGAATGGGTTGGCTCCAGAGGCTCCAAGAGAAAACAGAAGTTGAGTAAGAGCAATATACTGTATTTGTTTAAATTTCATGCCAGTGAATGTCTGTGACGCAGGAGACAGGTTTATGGAGAGAGAAATAAAATGTTGACAAATGGCCCTGTAATCAACTGGAACATGCAATAAATCATTAGAATGCCAATAACACTTCCAGGACAAGCTTAGAAAGGTCATTACTGTGTCACAATATATCTTCCAGCACCAAACAAAGCAAACAGAACATGTTGGGAATAGGATTATGGGGGAAGCATCTGTCAGTCCTAATTAAGAATTAACTACAGATCGTATCTTGGGAGATGTATAATTTATTTTCCCTCTTCTTCCTCCCTATGCGCTCACAAAAAGAAAAATAAATCAATAAAAAATTTAACCCATTCTGGATCAGACATGATGTCGAAGTAGGAGGCAAGAAGCACCTCCAGGGAGAGCCAAGACCCTGGGAGGGCGGAGAGCAGGGCAGGCAGGAGCAGACAGGCACGAAGGAGGGTGGGACAGAGAGCTGGAGAGCTCCAGTCGGCCCAGGCACTGGAAGCTTTTCTCTTTGCCCCAGCCCAGCCCAAGACACTCAGTTTTACACCCTCGGGAAAGTTGGGGTTATTTAATACTTTGACAATGAAGTCTCATGAGCTAGAAAGAGGCAACACGAAGGTTGGAAGTTAAAAAAACAAAAAGGTGCCAAGTTCTTTCTACCTGAATGTACCAGTTAAGATTGAATTTGGCTGCAAGTACAAAAAACTCAACTCACAGCGACTTACACAAAGAAGTATTTATTTTTTCTCACATAACGGAAATCCAGGGGTGGGAGGTGCCGGATCAGTTTTCTAAATGTCTGTTTTAGAATCTCGTAGGGATTGGCTTTTGCCCTGTTTGACTCTATAGTCACAAGATGGCTGCTGCAGCTCCAGACACCGTATCCATGTTCAAGGGGAAAACAGAGGAGAAAAGACAGCTCCAGCCTTCATTATCCCTGATATCAGGAAAGCCACAGTTTTCACAGCACCACCCCCACTCCTACACCAGCAGCAAATTAGGCATTTATCTCATTAACCAGAATTGTCTCATATGGTTCCCAAAGAGCCTGAGACATGAAATAGACACCTTGTCACCCCCCAAAGAAAGCTGAGGTTCTGTTTATGGGCAAAGAAAGAGGAATGGATTTTGTGTCATTAATTAGCAGGGTTTGCCATGCTGGTAAAGTGGGATATGGGGCGATGCAGGCTCCCTGCAAAGGAAGAGCCAGTTGTGTGCGTGTGTGTGTTTGCAACATGCTCTCTGCAGAAATGGTCTTTATCGCACAGGGAGAAAGTGCTGGGGCTCTAAGCCCTGCTCCCACAGCACTGCCCTGCCACGATTGCTCCAACTGTGCACGTCCACCGCAGACCCAGCATGTTCTAATTTTGTTGTACTCCTTTCTAAAACGGGCAGAGTCCACTTTGCTGAGCCTTAAAGGAACTCGGGGTATTCAGAGGAAAGTCAATTCAGCCATCTGAGTAGCACCAAAGGATAGAGGAGAAAATATCCACTCCTTCCCCAGAGACCTTGCTCCCAGTGGTGCTTCCATCAGTGGAAGCTGCTCAGAAGGTTTCAAGAGGTCTTTTGTTGTCTACCTGGGTTTTGCTTTTCTCCAAGCAGCTTCTTATGCTTTCCTCTGTGGCTGTGTGTGTGTGTGTGTGTGTGTGTGTGTGTATACAGGTGTAAGTGTCTTTCTTTCTAATTGCCCCAGCCACTTGCCCACTTCTCCCATGAGCTGGGCCCCATCCTGTGATCAAGGCGACTTCCCCAGACTTGCTCAGTGAGGTTTGCACACACCACCTCCCTCTTTGTGTACTGATGACTATTACCGTCATTAATAGCGTGGCTGTTGTTTTTGCTCTCGCTCCTTCTTCCTGCCTTCCCTTCTCGGGTCTCTTTTTCTGCTTGAGTTTGCATTTCTCCTTTTATTTTATTTTATTTTTTTCTGCTGACAGAGACAAGAGCTCGTCCTAGTTCACCATTTCAGGATTTGTTGCAAAATTCAAGGTACAGGTTTATGGCTGCTGGTGTCTTGGTTATAGTACAGTTCTTATGGGTCCTAATAAACTCAGCTGCTCTAGGGAACTCTTAAATTCCAGTATGAAAGATAGAAAAGGCATTATTTAGTTCCTGGTACATTCAGAGATCCTCATCCTTGAAGGCTGAGGATAATGTTTCTTTCTTGGGGGAGCAAAAGCCCATAACTCTTGAATGCTGCCCAGGAACTAGAGGGTAAAAGAAGAGTTCTTTTCTCCTTCCCAGTTGCTAGATGGATGGCAAATGAGAGACAGGGTTGGAGCTAGAAAGACAGTCACAAACCGAGGACTGAAATGCAGTAGTATTTTCTTTTTCCTTTTTTTTTTTTTTCCAATCTCAAAAAGCCTATCCTTAGATGCTGAGCATGCAGTTGGGTTAAGACAAACTGGGCTGGTTGAAAATCCCACACAGTTCCATTCTGCACAAACATAGGCTGTGGCCCTCCATGGGGCAGCCCCTGAGATATGCCTAGAACAGCCATAATCACATGCTTTTGTACTATTTTTTAATATTTTTATTTTGTATTATTTTTTAATATCTCAGGGGCAGCCCCTGAGATATGCCTAGAACAGCCATAATCACATTCTTTTGTATTCGTTTTTAATATTTTTAGATTCGAAGTCTCTCTGGGTCACCCATGCTGGAGTGCAGTGGCACAATCATAGCTCACTGCAGCCTTGAACTCCTGGCCTCAAGTGATCCTCTCACCTCAGCTTCCCAAGCAGCTTGAACTATAGGCACATATGAACACACCTGGCTAATTTTCTTATCTTTTGTAGAGACAGGGTCTTCCTGTGTTGCCCAAGCTGGTCTCAAACTCTTGGGCTCAAGGGATCCTCCTGCTTCAACCTCCTGAGTAGCTGCGATTACAGGTGTGAGCCATCATGCCCTCATAATCACGTTCTGAAACAGCACTTCACAAAATGCTTCTGCTTATTTCTTTCTTAAGATCCTCTAACAAATCTGGCTGTGACTCCTTTAACGCACATGAGGAAACCATGGCTGATGGTGCGTAGTTATTTGCTCAAGGTCACATAGCTGGTTAAGTGTCAGCTGAGACTCAAACCCAAATTGCTGTCACATAATCCAGGGCTGATTCCATGTTCCCAAGCTGCCCCTCTTGAAGTATCTATGCCCACCTCTAGAAATTGCTAGTGAGAGACTGCTTTGTGGAATGAAGTGAGTACTGACCTATGGAGTCACTGCGTCCAGACAGAGCAAGTGCTCTTGGGAAAGTCACACCACCTCTCTTGGTTTCAGCTTCCTGATTTAGAAAATGAAGGATCAGCTGGGCTGGTGGCTTACACCTGTAATCCCAGCACTTTGGGAGGCCGAGGCAGGTGGATCATGAGGTCAGGAGATCGAGACCATCCTGGCTAACATGGTGAAAAACCCCGTCTCTACTGAAAATACAAAAAATTAGCCAGGCATGGTGGCACGTGCCAGTAGTCCCAGCAACTCAGGAGGCTGAGGTAAGAGAATTGCTTGAACCCAGGAGACGGAGATTGCAGTGAACCGAGATCACACCACTGCACTCCAGCCTGGGCAACAGAGTGAGACTCTGTCTTAAGAGAAAAAATAAAAGAAAACGAAGGATCACAGTCACAATGCAAGATCCTAGAATGCCTCAGGGCCTACTGTGTGAGAGGGGACTGTCCTGTCCCTCTTTTATGTCTTAGATATTAAAGTTCTATGTAAATTTGATGATGTGCACAAGATTCTACTTAATTTAAAAGTTTTTCATGTCTAAGGGCACTTGAGCTAGACATTCTCTGAGATCCCATGCCTTGTCCGTGCCGTCATCAGCACCAATGAAATATCTGTAACTGTGCACTTGCAGAGGTCTTGGCCTGGTGCCTGGCAGGAAGCTGGTGCTCAAAGATGGCAGCCATGAACCATTGCCCACTCATAATGAACCCCCATGGAAGGGTTCTCTCCTGGACATGGTGAGGGGTTTCTGAGAGCAGGGTTAGGAATGCTGCTGGCTGATAGGGCTTGTAGTCTAAGAGATGACCTTTGGTTTTTTTCTTGAGGATTTGACATCTGAGGCCATACCCTCATGCCATAAGATTTGTCTTCAGTTACAGTTCCAAACTTTCTGTTTCCCCTGTCTCCAACACAGATGAAGAAAACTGGAGTGAGTTAGCCTGCAGAATGATTTTTTATTAATAAAGTGGTGCAATTTGGAGTGGTATTTCAGGTCACCTTAAGCTCTCCGGTAAAACCTGGATTTTGCATTAAGTGGAAACTATTAGTATTCGGAAATGCTTTAGCATGAGAGTGGCCGTGTGACCGTGACCTCTGTGTTTATGTAAACGTGTTTTCATTACCACCGCGCCTGGGGTGGAAAGGGGGAGCTGGAAGAAGAGAAAGCCACTGCTTGTTAACGCTGTCCTTGCGAATGTTCTTTGATTAGCAGAAGCTCAGGTCTAAGGGGGTCGAACACTGCATGCTGGCTGTGAATCACTCCCTTCGCAGCGTGTGTGCCTGGCTAGAGGACACCAGGGCAGCGGATCCTGGCCCAGGAACATGATGTGCAGACTCGTTTGCCCTCCACTTGGAGCTTACCTCCAATCGTCCTGGATTCTTTTGTCCCACCCCCTAGGAACTAGCTTGGAGGTCAGCCAACTATTGCCCAAAACTGGCCCACTACCTATTTTTGTACAACCCTCGTGCTAAGAATGATTTTTGCATTTTTTAATGTTGCAAAAAAATCAAAAGAAGAATATTTTATGACGTGAAAATGCCACGCGATTCTAATTTCAGTGTCCATTAATAAAGTTTTATTAGAACACAGCCACACTCATTCATTCACTTACGGTCTGTGGCTGCTTTCCTGCTGTAATGGCAAGGTTGAGTAATTGTGACAGAGACCATATGACCTCCAAAGCCTAAAAGAGTTGCCATGTAGGCTTTTGTAGATACAGTGTGCCAACCCCTAACCAAGTCCAACATTTGTTCCTCTTTCAATTCCTTTGGCAATCACTCGTCAACACCTCAAGACTTCCTCCATAACATTTAGGGAATCCACCCTCACTGCTCACTACTAGTTAAGAACCCAGCATCTCCAAACAGGACGCTGGCAACAACTTCCAGATGAGCCTCCCAATTTCCAGACTCTGCTACCTGGGACATCTCATTGGTGTCTCCAGAGTGCGGTAGAATAGCCTGGCTAAAAGCACAGACTCTGGAGCCAGATCACCTGGCTTCAACCCCAACTCTCCTCACTTATTTTATGTATGGCCCCAGACTAGTCGTTTCAGGTCTAAGCCTCAGTTTCCTCATCTGTAAAATGGGAGATAATAATAGTACCTATCTTATAAGTTATTTTAAGGATTATTTGCCGTATTCATCCGTTCTTGCACTGCTGTAAAGAAATACCTGTCACTGGGTAATTTATAAAGAAACGAAGTTTAATTGACTCGCGGTTCTGCGGGCTGTACAGGAAGCATGGCTGGGGAGGCCTCAGGAAACTTACAATTATGGCAGCAGGCAAAGGGGAAGCAGGCACAACTTACAAGCCCAGAGCATGAGGAAGAGAGAGATGAGGGAGGTGCTACACATTTTTAAACAACCAGATTTCATGACAACTCACGTACTATCACAGGAACAGCCCCAAAGGAGAAATCTGCCCATGTGATCCAGTAACCTCCCACCAGGCCCCACCTCCAACACTGGGGATTAAAGTTTGACATGAGATTTATTTAGTGGAGACACAGACCCAAACCATATCCTTTGCAAAGCTCTAAAACAGTGCCTGGAACAATACCAGTATTTTTTGTTTGCTTGTTTTGTTTTGTGAGATGGAGTCTTGCCCTGTCCCCCAGGCTGGAGTGCAATGGCACAATCTCGGCTCACTGCAACCTCCGCCTCCTGGGTTCAAGTGATTCTCCTGCCTCAGCCTCCCGAGTAGCTGGGATTACAGGAGTGTGCCACCACACATGGCTAATTTTTTGTATCTTTAGTAGAAACGGGGTTTCACCATGTTGGCCAGGCTGGTCTCGAACTCCTGATCTCATGATCCACCCGCCTCAACCTCCCAAAATGCTGAGATTACAGGCATGAGCCACCGTGCCCAGCCAATACCGGTATTTTCTATGATCATCCGTGGAAAATTCAAGTTTCACCATGTCATTCCTCCACCCAGAAGACATCAGTGGCTTTTCATCACTGGTCAAATGGTGCCCAAACTCCTGAGCACAGTGTACACAGGTCCTCTGTGTTCTGATCCCCATCAACTTGTGTCCAGCCATAGCTCTCTGTACTCCAGGCCTCACAGGTTCTGCTGTAACAAATCGTAGTTGCTCACCATTTCCCCCATACCTTTTGCTGTTTCTTGTCCCCAGCATTGCCTTCAGAGACTCCGCTTCTATTTCACCTCCTCCAAGAGGTCTTCTCTGACTGCCCACATCATACTTTGTGCAAGGCTCCAACCCCACTTCCTTTGTCAAATCCAGTCTGTTGTTGACTTGCTCTGCCACCCTTAGCTGGTGAGCTACTTGAGAATGTAGGGAGATCTCAGGGGTTAACTTGGGAGAGAGGAGAGACTATTTTCAGAGGACATATCAGGAAAGGCTTCTTGGTGTAAAGCCCTTTTAAGATGAGCCTTGGAGACTGGGTAGGACAAGAGCTGGCTTTAGTCATTGCCTGACTGTGCCTGACTCATTTAGGTCTTTCCTAAATGTTTGTTGACTGAATTAAGTGCTTGGTAAATGACTTTAATCCATTCATCCCTCCAGAAAACTGTAGCATTATATGAGTTCAAGTTTCAGCTTGAAAGATAATTTCATGCCCTGCACCTTTGAATTAATGATTTCAGACTGAAATATGGTTCCAGGCACCCAAGAAAACAGAGAGAGATGTTTGAGGGGACTCCTCATGCCTGCAAGATACCGAGACACAGTGACCTGCTTCACCCCCCTGCTCCAAAACCCTCAGGGCTCCTCCTGCCTATATGACAAAGGCTAAGCTCCCAGAAACCACTTCCAACCTTGTCTCCCCTCACTTCCCTCCCTGCACCCTGCGACATGTTGCACAGAATCACGACGGCCTCTCCTGAGTAAGTTCAGACAGACTGTATCACGGACAATGCTTTGCCAGGCAAGTTGTTACCATTATTGGAGGGAGAGCTGAATCGGATAATTTATGTGGAAACACTCTGCCTTCAAATGGGAGTCATACTTTTTCCCTTTTTCAAAAAGGGCATTCCTCTTGGTTCTCCCCCACTCATCCTTCAGGGTTAGCACAAATGCCAGCCCTTGCAGAGTGCTCCTCCTCCCACTTGTCCTCCCCTCAGAGGAGGCTCTCCCTTCTCCTGTTATTTTTACTTCTTAAAGCACTTCCCATCTACCTTGCTTCATGGTTGTCAATGTATAGATCTCATCACCTTTGCAGTTGTATGAAGGCAGAGTCACTGCCTGTCTTCTAAGGTCCATGGCCCGACCATGAGGTCTGACCCCCAAGAGATTCACACAATGTTGAGTGGGGGAAGAACTCTTTCAGGTTACTAAGTTTCCTCCTCTGTAGCATCAGGGCACTGGTTCCACCTTCTCACTATCCCTCAGATCCACTTTGGAAAATCTGTTTTGGAGATGAAGAAACAAATTCCAAAAGGCTGGCTTGTTTACAGTCTCACAGCTGGTGAGTAGCAGAAGAGGAAACACCGTCTCTCTCTCCTGCCCACGTTAGCTCCATTGTCCTGCAAGGCTATGAGCTAAGGACAAGCAGCCCTACAGCACCATTTCCATTAGGAGATGTTAACACAGCTCTGATGAAACTAAAACTCAGTTAACATAATTAGAGACCTCCACATCCTGCTACTGCTTCCTTCTCTCCCCTCATCATTCCTATTTCTTACCCCCAGAAGCACTTAAAAGCTGTTTAAGGTGAACTGTGTTTAGACATGTGGCTGTCACTATTGTTAAGGATGTTTGCAAGGGGGTCTCAGTACACCCTGCACAATCACTGTCTGCCAGGATCTCTGTGTCTACCTATGTTTACATCACGCCTATCACTGGCACATCAGCAGCCTTTGACAAACAAGCTGGGAAGTGCGGGAAGAAAAGAAAAAAGTTGTTTGTGACTGATGCTATTAATTATCGCTTCGTTACACCAGGCACTCCTTAAAATGGCACAGAGTGGCTCTCGAGGCCTTTGCACATGTGCATGTATTTGGAGACATCCTCCCCCATTACAACATGATATAAACTGTAATCATGATGCAATAGACATGAAACTAAGCAGTTCTCACCCACATGGCTGTATAATACCATACCATCTGAGCAGCTGTAACCAAAAAGATTGGACTTACTTATTATCTAATAAGGATTTCAGTTGACCCAGTTTAATAGGTGCTGAGAAGACAATGTGAAGGCTAAATAAAAACAATGCTGGATGAAATTGAGGCTTCCTTAGTAGAAGCAGAAGGTCCAGATCACAAACAGTAAAGACTCTACCATATTTAGCAATGGGCAGACCACACTTGCTGGATTGTGTTAAACCCACAAGGCCTGCAGAAACCCTGGAGGAGGGGGAGTCCAGACAAGGGTAGCCAAGATGGTAACAGTCTGGTAACCAGTCATATGAGACATGTGGAAGGAATAAAATGTGCGTAATCTGGAGAACAGGCTGCTACAGGGAAATAAGATCACTATCTTAAGATGTGTGTTCTCTGTGGCTCCAGATGCCTGGGCTAGTGTGGTACAAATGGAGACACTTAATTATGACCCTGAGATGACATAGCAGAGGACATCATCAGAAACAGCTAATCCACGGTGTGCCCAATTTTGCAGCCTGGGATACCATTGAAATCTTAGGGAATATAGCTCAAGTCCTATAGTGCTGCAACCCTCCCAAAGAGTTATGTGAGCAACCAAGAGGTTACCTCTCCTGGTCATCTCTGTCTCTAGGCTGCTGTTTCTGTTAATGCTATCTGTTCCCTGTCCACAGAAGTTCAGGGATGAAATGAACACACATGCACATATCACTCTACAGAGCAATATGATCTAGTAGACTCCCCTAAAAATGGGAGAGGAAGATGCCGGAGGAGGGGTTTACATTGTCACACCAGCAACTTCAAATGGGGCAGTAAGCATCTTTATTATTTTTCCTTTTTTTTTTTTTTTTTTTGTTAAGAGACAGGGTCTCACTCTGTCCCCCAGGCCGGAGTGCAGTGGTGTGATCATAACTCACTGCAGCTTTGAACTCCTGGTCTCAAGCAATCCTTCCAAAGCACTGGGATCCCAGGCACGAAGCCACCATGCCTAGCCTAGCCAGCATCCTTATTCTTTTTTTTTTTTTTTTTTTTTTTTGAAGGAGTCTCACTCTGTCACCCAGGCTGGAGTGCAGTGTGATCTCGGCTCCCTACAAGCTCAAGCTCCGCCTCCTGGGTTCACACTGTTCTTCTGCCTCAGCCTCCTGAGTAGCTGGGACTACAGGCGCCCACCACCATGCCCAGCTTATTGTTTTTTTTTTTTTTTTTGTATTTTTAGTAGAGATGGGGTTTCACTGGGTTAGCCAAGATGGTCTCGATCTCCTGACCTCACGATCTGCCTGCCTTGGCCTCCCAAAGTGCTGGGATTACAGGCGTGAGCCACTGCACCCAGCCCATCCTTATTCTTAAATCCTGAAATCCTTGTCCTTTGGTCTCCCCACCATCCTGGAGTTTCACTGAACCTTTACTTCATCCAACCCAAGCCTCTCCCCTCTTCCTGGCTTCTCTCTTTTACCTTTCCCCTTTCTTCTCTTCTCTTTCTTCCTGTCTTTTAGGGAAAAAAAGCCATTCATTCCTCTCCTTGTCACATACAGAGCAGCTTTCCCGCTCCATATCTCAGCATCCGACAGTGATATTGACAAAGTGACCACATGCCCAGTGGGCTTACCAAGATCTTCCATAAACCTAGATATTGCCTTCCACAAGGAAGTTCTGGTGTTAAATGTTAAGAAAGCAGCATTTCACCAATCCTATGAGAGCCTGAGAAGGAATGTTTTCATGAACAAGTAAATTTGGAAAATGGTGCATATTGAAGACCCTTCTTGGAGATTCACAACACAAAGGATCTTGTCGAAGTGTCAAGTCCTCCAGTAAAGACCCATGTTTAACTCTGTGTAACACAATATTTCTGGAGCTCATTGGGCCATGGGTTAATAAGGACACTGCTGATGACATACAAAATATGCCTTAGGATGTGCACAGAAAAGGCCCAAGCCTGCCCAAGGAGACATGTGAGGAGGCCCTGGGAGCAGAAATGCTGGAAAGAATGAGTCCCCTTGTTGCAGCAGGAAATCTTTCCCTAGCCCCACCTCACTGAGTGACCTTGGGCCCATCCCATCTTCTCCAGGGCCTCAGAATTATAGGCTGGCTGGGCTTCGTGCTCTTCCTGACATTATTTATGACATAAGCCTGGTCACCCCTGTCCTGTAACTGCCTCACAGAGGTGCTCTAAGGATAAATAAGTCCATTATCTGCAGAATGCTGAGAGCTCCTTTGAGGGAGGCTTTACATAAATGCACAGTTATTCTTGTGCTTATATTAAGTCAGTTATCAACCTTTTGAGCCAGTCCAGTTTTCTGCACAGGTTGTATGGAATAGTAAGAGAGAAACAGGTGATGCATCCTCGAAACAAGTGGTGTAGCTTTCAGTCCAGTTTGAGATGGCATGTCTACACACCTCTGTGCACACACAGCACACACACACACACACCAGGGAGACACTCTGAGGATTCAATATTTAAGTTAAACATTATTGTTTGTCTTAGTCCATTTTGTGCTGCTATAACAGAATATCACAGACTAGGTAGTTTATAATGAGCAAAAATTTATTTTTCATGGTTCTAGAGGCCAGGAAGTCCAAGATCAAGGCAACAGTATCTGGCAAGGGCCTTCTTGCTGTATTATCACATGGCGGAAAGCATCACATGACAAAGGGGCAAAGAGAGACAGAGACAGAAATGAAACCACTCCAGCAATAACAAACCCACTCCAACAATAGCAGCATGATTCCACTCATGAGAGTGAAGCCCTCATGATGTAAACACCTCTTAAAGGTTCCACCTCCCAATTCCATCACAATGGCAATTAAATTTCAACGTGACTTTTGGAGGGGACAGATATTCAAGCCATAGCAGTGTGTGACTGCTATCAGATTCCTTCATCTCTACATGCTTTTGCTTTAGTCATGGGATCCTCCTTCTAACATGTTTACAAAGTGTGCATGGGAGGCATGTAGGAGGAGATGGCCTAAGTCACACAGTAAAGAGGAAGTGGGTAAAGTTCAGGCCATGATGAAGACTGTTGCAAGGATTCTTCCAAAGCTGAGTCCATGACCTTTTGGCTAAGTTATAATGTTGGGTACCACCAGCACTTGACTTCTATTTAATATAATTCTGCTAAGCATACTGGCTCAATTTCTGACCCGAGTAACCTATGCCACTAGGGACTGGAAAAGCACCTTTCTCCTGGGGCAACAGCCCCAAAAGCTGAAATGAAAAGTCTATTTTTCTATTGCCATCTTCTGCAAGGTGGCCCAACAATTCAATAGGAAAAACTTAGTTTTTTCTCCTCATCCTTCAAATATAAAACACACCCTATCGAACTGTCTAAAATGTCCTAGCACTTGTAAAACACATCTGCTGTTTCTTCTGATTCTGTAGAATTATCTTACCTTTGTCAACACCCAGGCAAGACCAGAATTAAGCTTTTCATCTGAAGCAGAGTTTGACATAAGCTTAGGGCATCAGATCTCAATGGAACAAGAAATGAATCCTTGAAAGCACCAAGAATATAAGAGAGGGACCCACACCAGAAGTAATCGAGAGTATCACAAGGGGACAATGATTCCTGCAACTGTATGCAAACTGGAGGAGAACTAGCAGCTGAACCTGAAGATGTCTGACCTTGAGGGTTTTATTTAATTCCTATCCAAGGATGCCAACAGGTCTCAGAGATGGGGGGGTGCACTGCCCCTATGTTGCCCAAGGTTAGAGACACAAAAGCTCAGAGGGTTGAGTAGATGACTGTCATCTCCCCAAAAGCCATGATATCTTTTCAGCCTATCCCTTCCCTGTCTACAGCCAGTTCTGCACACATTCCCCGCATCTTCCTACACCAAGTGTATTAGTCTGTTTTCACACTGCTGTAAAGGTACTACCCGATGACCAGGTGCAGTGGCTCACACCTGTAATCCCAGGACTTTGGGAGGCCGAGGCGGCCGGATCACCTGAGGTCAGGAGTTTGAGACCAGCCTGGCCAACAAGGTGAAACCCCGTCTCTACTAAAAATGCAAAAATTAGCCAGGTGTTGTTGTGGGCATCTTTAATCCCAGCTACACGGGAAGCTAAGCCACAAGAATCACTTGAACCTGCGAGGCGGAGGTTGCAGAGAGCTGAGATCGCACCACTGCACTCCAGCCTGGGAGACAGAGTGAGACCTTGTCTGCAAATAAATAAATAAATAAAAATAAAAAATAAAAAAAAAAGATACTACTCGAGACTGGGTAATTTATAAAGGAAAGAGGTTTCATTGACTCAGTTCTGCATGGCTGGGAAGGCCTCAAGAAACTTAAAATCATGACAGAAAGGGAAGCAGTTATGTCTTACATGACGGTAGGAGACACAGGAGAAAGTGAAGGGGAAAGAGCTCCTTATAAAACCATCAGATCTCGTGACAGCTCAGTCACTATCATGAGAACAGCATGGGGAAAACCAACCCTGTGATCCAATCATCTCCCTTCTTTGACACGTGGGGATTACAAGTCCCTCCCTCCACATGTGGGGATTACAATTCAAGATGAGATTTGGGTGGGGACACAGAGCCAAGCCATATCACCTAACAAAGGTTTGTTTCCCCAAAAGTCTCAAGCCAAACTCAGTGAAGAACTGGACATAAGAACAGTGGGAGACTCTGCATACATTCTGTGTCTAGCTGAGCACAGCAGCTATAAAGAAGAAAGTTCTATTTCCTCAGGTGGCGAAGCATGGTGGAGCTGGGCCTCCCACTGGACTGGGGTCTGTGCCCCTTGAGGATAAAGGAGAGAATCAAGCTCAGTGGGAAAATGGGAACATTGAAATCAAACCTCACCAGCTGCACAGGTTTCCTAGGGCTGAGATTGCCTTTACTGATTATAGAAACTTCGTCAAACTTTGTATAAACAGAAATGCACAATAGGAAGAGATGCATTTTTCATGGGCCACAGTTTGCAGTCCCCCCAGGAAGTGCTTCCTACACTTAGGGCCACGAGTCGTTGACATAGACCCAGATTCTCTCCCCTGCAGCTCCTCTTTGCTGGGGAAGGTTGGGATCAGCCCCATGATGCTTGCTACCAGAAATACATGGTGACCAGCAGGGAAAGTGGATAGTAGCTCAAGAGGACACACCTGTCTGCTCCTTCAGCTCTTCCCTCCTGAGTCAAGAGGAATCAGAAACATCCACTCCAAGGGGAAGAACCTGTAACTGGATCAGCTACTGTGCTTTCAAAAGAGCTTAGCCGCTGGGCACATGTGACCAGGGAGCATTTGCAATGTGGCTAGTCAGAAATGAGGCACACGATAAGTGGAAAATGCACACTGGATTTTGAATACTATGCACAAAAAAAATGTAAAATATCTCATTGATTTTTATATTACTTTTTTCATATTGCTTGTATTTTAAATATATCAGGTTAAATAAAATTTGTTATTCAGAGTAATTTCACTTCTTTATTTTTACTTTTTTATAATGTGGCTCCTAAATAATTTAAAACTGCACATGGGGCCTGCATTATATTTCTATTGGACAGCCCTGAACTGGAGGATAAACATCAATGAAGGAAACAGACAAGGACTGCCAGGTCATTCCACTCTGAGCACGCCATGTATGGAAAGTACTTAATGACAAGTGTGCCTCATTTTATTCAGCAAACTTGAAGGTCAACATAAAGAAATGGGAAGACAGTAGGCCTAAGCACCAAGAGTCCAGGCCCGGGAACTCCACCAGCCAGATGTGGGCCAGGAGTGGGAGTCAAACCAAAGCACAGCCTCCAATTAGCCCATCATCTCCCACTTCTTCCTCTCAGAAGATCTGGACTTTCCTGATGCAAAAGACCCCACGGCCAGCATTTCCTATCCAATCCCCACCGATGGCTGTTGTAGGCTTCTGAAAAATCAGAACAGGTTAAGTTGCTCAGACTCAACCTTTGGGGTCCTTTCTGGATATAGTGGGAAATGTGGGATTTGTGGTTGGACAAATCTGGAGTCAGATTTCAGTTCTGCTGTTGACAAGTCCCACGTGCTTAGACAAGAAACTAAACCTCTCTGAGTTGTCATTTCTTCCTATGTAAACTAGGTATTAGGATGGTGCAAAAGTAATTGCAGATTTTGCCATTACCTTTAATAAAATAATTTATTTTATTGTATTAAATTTTTGAACTTTAATAAATTTATTTTATTAGATTATTAATAAAAGAAATTATTTTATTTGATTATTAATAGAAATTATTTATTTTATTTGATTATTAATAAAATAATTTATTTTATTTGATTATTAATAAAATAAATAATTTATTTTATTTGATTATTAATAAAATAAATAATTTATTTTATTTGATTATTAATAAAATAAATTATTTGTTTTATTTGATTATTAATAAAATAAATTATTTGATTATTAATAAAATAAATAATTTTATTTGATTATTAATAAAATAAATAATTTATTTTATTTGATTATTAATAAAATAAATAATTTTATTTGATTACTAATAAAATAAATAATTTATTTGATTTGATTATTAATAAAATAAATTATTTATTTTACTATTGTTTATTGATTCTATATATTTATACATTTATTTTATTAATAAAATTAATCAAATAATTTATTTTACTATTGTTTATTTTCTATATATATTTATATAATTATTTCATTATTACTAAAATAAATCAAAGCTCCAGTAAAAACTTCACTGGACACATTCAAGTGCTTACACAGAACCTGGCACATAAATGGTACCTATTATGGCTCTATGTTCTATGAAATTGTATATTCTTCATTTTGTTGAATTAATCTCTATTTTAAATGCAGTAGAGGAGCTGGCTGTGTAAAGGACACTTCCTCTAAATCCTCATCAAATGGCAAAGAGTACTTCCCTAACGAAAAGAACTGCTCCCTGATTCCCTGTCCCAATATTCTCCTATGCATTGGGAAACCCTCCTCTCTTCAATAATTAGTTTTTATGCATCCAGATTTTTTATACCTGAGCTCTCACATTTACCTCAAGCGAGGCACATGAGTATCCAACTCTCCATAAGGTTCCCAATGCAAGACTTTTTCTGTATCCCAGGTGGCAAGGCAGAGAAAGAAAATCCCCGAACCAAGCTTTCCCCAAAGGCCTGGTGGGGCTGGGAGGCAGAGACAGCCCAGGAAGAGGTCTTCACAGGGAAGTGGAGAGAGCAAAGGAGGAAGAAAAACAAACACAGTTTTAATTAAACACAGTGTATCTAAATCAGGGAGGTATGTTCAGAGAGCAAGGAAGGGTGAAATGGAATTTCTAGAAGAAAACAACTTTCTTCACCTTCTTAGTTTCATTAACATTGAAATGAACCCCCTGAGGAGCAGGAGCCAGGCCCTACTGCAGGGGAGGAGAGAAAGCTGCCCTGCGCCTCTATGGGGCTTTGTACTCTTTGGCACTGGATCCACCAACACAGGGCACCCCTCCTGGAGCCAGCTCTTGGGGGCATCTGCCCTGCCTGTGCATCTGGGGGATTCATTCTGGCCATAGGCAGCCGAGAAGTGGGACCTGTGTGGTGGGTGTCAGGGATGGGCAGGGACTCTTATCTGGGCCCATCCAGCTCCCTGCCTGGCTCTCCCCACTCCTTTGCAGAGCCATCCCCACTGCTGGGATGTTTGGGGTGCAGCAGGAATTGCCAGTCTCTGCAGCTCTCCTCTCCCCGGCTCAGGAAACTTGACTTCATGCTTGCCTGGAAACCCACCTTCCAGCCCTGCCCTCGCTGAGACCTGTGAGACGGAAGAGGTTCTAGGCCCACCTCAGGGTCTCAGCAGGTGAGTCTCACTTGCCGCTAATTTGGCCTCAAGTCTGATAGTTGAATGGCTCCCTAACCTCTGGCTGCTGGTCCCACCCTGCACCCAGTTCTTACCACAGTGCTTCTGTCTTCTTCCTTCTCTCTGTGCCAAAGCCTTGAAAAGTGTCCTGAGTCCCTTTCTCTCCTTTGTCACCACCCTCTAGTGCCCCCTGAACATCAGCCCTGAGACTGGCTCTTTGCCAGGAGAAGTACCCTGCCCCTTCTTCCTCATCCCAGTGCTTTTCACCACCTATTTGGAAACTATTATAACTGCCCAATGGGTTCTCCTTGCCCACTGCCCAGCTACGGCTGATTTATCAAGACAAGGGACTTGCAATAGAGAATGAGTTTAATACATAGAGCCAGCTAAACAGAAGACTGGAGTTTTATTATTACTCAAATCAGCCTCCTTGAAAATTCAGAGGCTAGGTCTTTTTAAAAATAGTTTGGCAGGCAGGGGCTAGGGAATGGGGAATACTGATTGGTTGGGTCAGGGATAAAATGATAGGGGATTGAAGCCATCCTCTTGCACTGAGCCAGTTCCTACGTGGGAGCCACAAGACCAGATGAGCCACTTTACCAGTCTGGGTGGTGCCAGCTGATGCATCAGAATGCAAGGTCTGGAAAATATCTCAAACACCAATCTTAGGTCTTAGAATAGTAATGTTAGCCATCAAAGCAACTGGGGAGGTTAGGAATGCTATGGCCTCTGACTGAATGACTCCTGAGCCATAATTTCTAATTTTGTGGCTAATATGTCAGTTTTACATAGTTCAGCCTATGTTCAGGAATGAACAAGGACAGCTTGGAAGTTAAAGGCAAGATGGAGTTGGTTAGGTCAGATCACCTTCACTGTCATAATGTTCTCACTGTTATCATCTTTGCAAAGGCAGTTTCACTATTTGTCATCTCTTGCTTTGGCATAATGCCTGACCCACAGTACAGGGTTAATAAATGTGTGTGAAGTGGATGGATGATTGGATAAGTGAACCTGACTGGGGACTTGGGAAGGCTTCAGGTAGAGCCAGCTTCGCGTACTTGAATGTCATCCTTAATCTGTGGCCTGCTAAGAGTCTCCAGTTTTTGTATGGATAATGCCCGGACTATGACAACTTGCCTTGAAACTCCCTCTATTAAACAACCAAAACACATTCATAGCTATTGTTGACCTAAAAGGAAGAATCTGAGGCCACATTAGTGTAAGTAGAAAGGTATTTGGGCCAAACTTGAAATTGCAACTCGGGAGCACAGAATCAAGTTGTCCTGAATATACACTTTGATTAGCAGCAGTTACAAGTGGATTTTTAAAGGCAAAACAGGGGACAAGGAGTGGATTGATACAAAGTTGTTCGTCAGGAATTCTCACTGGTTTACAGAAATAACATTGATTAGTGATTGGCTAGACATTGTTAAGCAATAGGTTGTGGCTGATAGTGTCTGGTGTGGCATTATGAGGTTAATTTATAGCCTGTAGTAATAGCAAGCAGTTTCAAGAGAAGAATACGTAGCTCAAGGGGGAAGTAGGATGTGATTGCTGTCTCATTTTAATATCTCTCTGGGCCTGCTAATTAAAAGGACTCCCATTCCTCAGATAAAAGTTCTTTTCTTTTCTCACCATCCAGTAAACAACCAGTCCCAATATTGATGCTCAATGAGACACTGGCCAGCTGGCTGGTAAAGTTTAGCAGCATCTCAACTGACTTGATCCGCTCTGCATTTAGAGCAGGGACTGGCCAGTGCAAAGAAGGAGGAGGAGGTGCTACTTTAACTACACTTCCCCCATTATTTGCGATTCAAAAACTTCCATTGAACAACCTCATTGAACTGGCCGTGCAAATTTCCTAAATATTTTCTAAATGAATGACCATAAATTTGAAAGCAAATTCAAGGTCCCTGGGGCAATGGAAAAAGTCTACAAGGAAAATCCACAAGGTAGAAGAGGGGCCTTATCCAGTATAACCCAAGAAGAAGAATCATAAAGGGGAAGTAGTCAAAACAAAGCTTTATATCATTTGGTTTTGCATAATTAATAAATGTCTGTAATCACATTTATTTGTATTTCATCTAGTTCCATTTCAACATCAAATTTTGATAATTCATGGTATGAAAATGGAAATTAAAAGTTCAGCACTATGATTTTTCTATGAATAATTAGGAATAGAAATAAGAAGAAATGGAGATTCAAAGTATCTTGGCTAATTCTTTGTACATATCCCTTCCAGAAGTCAAGATTAATTCTCCTTTCCTTGAGAGTGAGCTAGACATAGTGATTCACTTCTATCAAATAGAATATGGCAAAAGTGATGGTATATGACTCCCAGGTCAAAAGGAGCATTATTGCTTTCTCCTGGCTATATCTTGGATCACTTGCTTTTGAGGAAATCAGCTGCCACATGGTAAGAAAACTCAAGCAAACTTTTTCAGAGGTCCATGTGGCAATAGCCTGCCAATAGCCAGAGAGGAACCAAGGCCATGTTAGGAAGTGAGTCATCTTGGGAAGAACTTCTCTAGCCCTGCTCAAGCTTCAGAGGATGTCAACTTAGCCAATGTCTTAAATGCAACCTCATGAAAGATGCTGAGTCAGAATCACCCATATATAAGCTGTTCCCAAATTCCTGTCCCACATAAACTGCAAGATAGTAACCACTACACTTTGGGTAATGTCATATAGAGCAACAGATAACTGATACAGAAGATGAGATACCTTGATGCTCCAAACAAGATTAAAACTGACGACCAAAAGTTGTGGCAGACTTTTTCACACCAACCAGAAGCTACAGCTACTGTCTGAATGAAAGGAAAAACTTGCCTCTCTCGGCTTGTTTGGCTGGGTCCTCTTATCCCACACATTAAGCCCATAGGGACTCTTCCATAGCCCTTCCTATGGGAGGGGCTACGGAAGATCTCCTAGCCAGAGATCTTTCCCATGGCCTCAGACAAAATTTTAAAGAAGACCCAACCTGCCAATAAGTTAAAACATGCTGCTGTTATCACCATCAACCCTCTAAGCAAATCCCTCCATTTTTGGTAGTTGGGAGTAAAATTCATCATTCTATAGCCATAAAACAACACATTCCAAGAGCATCTTTTTGCCTTCCCAACTTCTCTTATAAGTTGTTAATACAGCTTGAGTCGAGTGTAAGTTATTCAGTATACCTATTTGGGAAGCAGGATATTTCTAGGGGTCATCAAAAGGGAGGAAACCCTCCTTCTGCCCTATGAATAACTCCCCTTAATTTTATCTATATGGCGGGGGCAGTTAGAGACAAGAGAGGACCTATGGTTTCCATGTATTGAACTCTGCTAACATGAAGTTCAACTATATCCCCACCTCCTCCCTCTTTGCTTGTTACTCCTCCAGTTTTTGCACATGTAAGATGCCCTCCTTCTGAGTCCCTTTCCTAATGGCACAGCACAGGCAGCTTTTGTGAGTAGCTACTTCTCCTCCCAGCAGGCAAAATAATGTCTGTCCTAGTGAAAATTAACTAGGGAGGCCAAAGGCCTGTAAATTGCCATAGGACCAAACCAGATCCACTTTCCTGCTTTTTATATAGTATCAGCAAGATCAATGACATTTGTTCTGAGGCCTGACAGGTATTAAATTCATCTCATTGTGCTTACTTTGTTTGTCCAATGAACATGCCTAACAATAACAGAGAAAGGACTCCTCCAAAGCCCCAAAGAAATCCAAGTCTGTATCAGAGTCTATCTATTGTGGTTAGAAGTGCTCAGTGAGCTGCCTGTTGATTTCCTCCTTAAGTATTGCCAGCACTGGGGTTTCTGAAACTCTGCATCTTGAATGGCATGAAATGGAAGGATAAGTTTGTAGTGAATAAGAAGAAAGAAAAGGAATTGACACTGATTACGTGGCTACTATGTAGTAGTTATTGTACATGTAATCCTCACAACAACCCCTCCAGGGGGGTTATTACATTGCCCATTTTGCAGATGAGGAAACTGAGCTTCAAGGTAGTTATTTGTCTTAGATGATGTCTTAGTCCATTTGTGTTGCTATAAAGGAGGACCAGAGGCTGGGTAATTTATAAAGAAAAGAGATTTATCTGGTTCGTGGTTCTGCAGGCTGTACTCAAAGCATAGTGCCAGCATCTGGTTCTAGTGAGGGCCCCAGGTTGCTTGCACTCATGGTGGAAGGCAGAGGGAGTTGGCATGTGCAGAGATTACATTGTAAGAGAGGAGGCCAGAAAGAGAGCGGGGAGGTACCAGGCTCTTTTTAACTACCAGCTCTCACAGGAACTTATAGAGTGAGAACTCACTCCCCACCCTTCCAGGAAGAGCATGAATCTATTCATGATGGGTCCACCCCCATGACAAAAACGCCTCCCATTAGGCTTCACCTCCAACAGTGGGGATAATATTTCAACACGAGGTTTGGAAGTGACAAACATCCAAACCATCACAGACAACATATTTAGTAAAGTGGTAGAAACAGGACTTGAAACCAGGTCTGTAGGCAAAGTCTATGTGTTTTCACTAGTGCCTTTTTAGATTATAGGAAGGAAAGACTGAAGACCCCCGGTGAGGGTTAGAAGTGAGCAAGGGTTCAGGGACATGAAGGATGCACTTAGCTTTCAAATAATCCACAGATTTTTGGCACCAGCTACATGAATGCCTGGTAGATTTTTCCTTAGTGATTTCCTCTATTTGTGAGAAAAAAAAAAAGGAAACAATCAAACCAGAAAAAAAAAATGGAAACAATCTTTTCCAAACGAGGTCCAAATGAGAATCATGGATATCAAGAGGTTGTTGGTTGAGCCAGTGTGTGTCTAGTGACCCCCAGCACTTAAATCTCTATGCTGGGTTCCCATTCTTAACACTCACTATGTGCACTGCAATTCTTTTGAAAGAACAAAAGCTATTTCTTTGTGAAAAATAAATGGCCATCAAATTAGTTAAAAAGATACTTTAAATTGTGAATGTTTTAAAATTATACTAACCTCCTTATGGAAATGTTGTTAGGGGAAAAGTCAGTAATCTACACAAACACACCTTCCTTTGTGGGGGTAAATTAGGGAATATAAATAATCTTGGGATGTATGTTTTCCCAGGGTGTAGAGTGTGTTGTATAGAACCCCACTGCCCCATTGAATGCAGCAGGGGATACACAGAAGAATAAGACATGATTAAAATCTCTGCCCCTTGAAATACACATGAAGACTTGAGAGCCATGTGAGAGCTGGCACGGGACAGCATCTGATTAGTCACCCCAGGGGAGGAGCAGACAGTAAGCTCCACACATCCAGAGGGGACAGACCATTCAGCATGGGTGTGGAGGCCAAGAGGTTTCTATGGACGAGGTCAAGGAAACCATCATAAATAAATTTTAGGCATGGATGGGGTGAGACAGAAGGACGAGAAGGAAGCCTTCCTCATGTCACATGCATGTCTAGAGCCACTCTTTCTGTCCAAGCTCTATACCTCTTTGTGAGTATATTGGAAACTTTCCAATTATAAGCAAAAATGATTTTGAGGACACGCATGTTATAAAACCTAGTAGAGTTGGCTCTTCTTATCCATGGGTATCATATTCATGGGTTCCTCATTGCATCCATGGATTCAACCAACCACAGATTTTAAATATTCAAAAAAATGAATGGCTGCACCTGTACTGAACGTGAACAGACTTTTTTCTTGTCGTTATTCTCTAAACAACACAGTATAATAACTATCTACATAGCATGGACATCGTATTAGTTATAAGTAATCTAGAGGTAATTTACAGTATGCAGGAGGATGTGTATAGGTTACATGCAAATACTATGCCATTTTATATAAGGATCTTGAACATCCATGGATTTTGGTATATGTAGGAGGTTCTGGAACACATCCTCCACGGATACCAAGGGATGACTGTATAGTGTTGGACATATAGTAAGTATTCAAAACCGCTTTTGAATTTTAATGTTCCAGTCCTTGAAAGACTGTTCTAATATTTCTGCATATGCTTGTGTGTGTGTGCACTTGTGCATGTGTGTGTTTGATGTGTAGATAGGTGGATGGAATGTCAGTCTTTCTAGAAAAGCTGAGGTTCAGGGAAGCAGAAGGACTCCTCCATCTCCACGTCAGTGCCCAGGCCCAGGATGTGCACTGGCATTGCCACTGCAATGTAGCTCAGTGGACTCTTCCGCAGGGGCTGCTGCAAGGTTCTCCTCTGTTCAAAAGCAACCACCTAGATAAACTAAAGCAACTCCCTAAATGCCGCTCAAAGATTTTGATCTCAAAGAATGTGGAGGGAAAGATCATTAAAATAATCAGCAAATAGCTCTCCACTTCCAGATCCACAAAGCCAGGAATCCCATTGGCCTGCAGTGTTGCTGAAGTAACCTCCCCAGGATCTCTGACTGCCCAGGCCATCAAGGCCAGGACCCAACATAATGAAAGCACCTAGGCTCCAAACCCTGAGCACCTCTCCCCTCTGCTAGGCGTGAGATTATAGCTGAATATAACGGGAGGCTGGAAGAGAAGTTATCCATCCCTAAAGAAAAGCCTCGGAAAATGTCCAGTGGCTTCTAGGCCGGTCTCAGCAGATTCCAGAGCCACCCAGCATCCCCCACCTGCCAAGGGCCTCCCACCTGTCCCACCCTGGCCTGGCTGTCAAAACGGATGCAGATTCTCCACTGCCGATCTCACCCTCCTGGCTGAGAAATCTCCAAGATCTACACCCTAATTGCTCTTTAAAAATAAGTTACACTTTTCACTTCCTGGAGTCTGCCAAATGGCTAGTGGGGAAGAAAAAAATGTAAAGCAGAAAAAGGTAGAAAAAACAAAGCCACATTATCAGGCAGCTTTGATCTTAAGACTGTTTCATTACTGCACTCTGGGTTAAAAGGAGAAGGAGGAAAAAAAGCAACACTTCAGGCAGGAAATGTCTATTATTCAGATATGTAATATAATTATGTGTCTGCATGGCCCGTTTATCAGCCGGCGTTTTCTGGGAAGGATGTGGTGGAGTTAGACACATCGTCTCCTCTCCTCACCGGCTCCCTCCCACCCTACAGCCCCCTTCTCCCCACTCTTCCTTTTTTTTTCCTCCAGGACACTTCCAATTTCCCAGGTTTCGTGACCACTTACATGTCTTTCCTGAGTGTTTTTATATAGCGTAGGAAATTGGGTAATGAAAGCCGAGTCATACATTTCTGCTTTATGTTTCCAAAGAAGCAAGTGTGACTGTCAGGTTTACAAAAGATTGCTTATGTTCACTGGCGTGAAATGGGGAGCCAGCGTTGGGAGCAGAGAGAGAGAAAGGCCGGCCAGGCTGGGATGACAGCGGAGCATTCATCGTCCACGCTACAGCAGACAAAGCGCGGTCCCTGCCTGACAGGGACCATAAATCATGGGCGGGAGCTGCTGTACCTACAGCTTATACCATTCCAGATGACAAACACACAATAATCCACACAGCACAGGCTTTCTCCTGCTCGCCTCTTCCCCACCCAGTGCCTGTTCCCTCTCCTCTTCCTCACCTTCCTCCCACTGGCTTCCCTCATTTTTTTCCTTGTACCCCCTGGGGCTTCCCACTCCTCTCTCCCCTATGCCTGCTCCTGGCTGCCTTTGCCTCTTCTCTCCCCAGCTTGTCTCACTTCCTTCCTTTCTCCTTGTTCCTTTTCTCCCTCCTGCCTGGTGTGCTCACGTCTTTTTTGGAAATGTCTTCTTTGTTCCTCTTCTCTGTTTCTCCCTCTTCTGCCTCCCTTCTTCTACTCCTTGTTAATCTCCCTTTGTATATGCAACCTTTATTTCCTTTTTTTTTTTTTCTATTTTTTCTTGCTGTCTCTCTCCTCTACCTATCCCCTGCCCTCCCCTCTCCTTCCCTTTCCTCTCCTCTCTCCTCTCTCCCTCATCCCTTCTGGTTTACCCATAGCCCCAATCTGCTAAGAATAATTTGCCCTCTACCCTGCAGATCCCCTTGGTATGGAAACAAAGAGAGGAGAGGGCACATTCCCCAGCAGTGGGAGCCTCAGCACTGGGGCCATGCTGGACCCCAGAGGGAGGCCAACCCTGGGGACAGGACAGGGCCTCTGGCTTATGACCACCTGACCCAGGCTGGGCTTCCTCCCAAACAGCCAGAGCAACTTGACATCCGAGTGCCAGGGCAGAACCACAGCCAATCCACAGAGCAAAGGAAAAGGCAGTGGGCACAGTTCCATGTTTATGAGTTGGTTCTTCTTCCCCAGGTCAAGGAAACTCCTTCCTCACTTAATGCTGTCAAGGGTTTAAGCTGAGGAAACTCCGGAAGGGCATTTTCAGTATTGGTACCTGCTCTCTGTGCGCATGACTGTGTATGGGAAGGTTGGTGAGGCAAGGAGCGTGTCTCTGTGTGTCAGAGCTCCCCTCATTTCACAGCTGTGCCAGGATTTTCAGCAAGAGCCTTGATATGAAAGACTAAATCTAAGAGGCTTCTCGTACACACCTTGTTCCATCTGTTTACAACTCAGCTCCCTCTGAAAGTTGAGATATAAGGAAATCCCCCTTCCTCATGCCCTCCGTTCCCTGAAGAACACCCTCCTTTTCCCTGAGTGATGAGATTCTTGTGAGACAATAGGTAAAGTGAAGATAAATCATTTTGATGATTTTCATTCAACGATCCCTGGATCAGGGTTAGGGGCTCATTCATAAGAGGACTAGCTTGGCTAATAGCTCATTTCTGATTTAACATCACATGAAGCACGGGGGTTATTGTTTACAATCTGAAATGCAATCTAAGTTTACACTGCAGTTAATCCAGTATTTTTAAATGCCAAACTACTGGTACCCAAGAAATCATCTAGACTCAGTCTTGCCAGGCAGCTGGAGCTTCAGACTTCTGGGACCCAAAGAGGCTTCGCTCAAGGTATAAGGAGTGGTTCACAAGAATGGCTTCCAGCTCCCAGCCCAGGGATAGCTTCAGATGATCTGGGCTGTCAGAGAGTGGGCTGTCCACACAGCAAGTCAGAGACCCTCACTGTGTTTGCCCTTCAAGGTTTGCAGAACCTCGCAGTACAACAGGAAGAGTCCGTCTGACTCAGAGCTGGGCATGAGCTGGAGGCATGGAGGGTGGTGGTCTCTCAGGAGGTACTGGAGTCCAACTGGTCCTTTTTCCCCAGAGCTCCCGTGGCAGTCCACTGCCAAGATCCTGCTAAAAGGAGAATGGCCCATGTTGAAGAAAACTGGGTGACCACATTCCAGGATAATTAATGAAGCCTAGTAAGAAAGAAACCAGCAATCAAGCCAGAAACAGAAAACGATCCCTCTCATGCCTCCTCCCTGAGCTATGACTTGCTGGGAAGGGAAAAGGACTATCTGGCTGGACAACCCTTAAATGGATGCGTCCTAATTAACGGAGGATTTAATTCATCAAAGTGACAGCGACTCTATTTATATAATCTCCTTCAACAGGGCTGAGGGTCGGGCTATGGGGTTTCTTACCTTTCCCTTTCCTTCTTCCTTCTTCTCTCTCTCTCTCCTCTCCCTGCCCGCTCCTCTCCTCCTGCCCCCTTAGCTTTTCTAATAGGGCCATGGCAAGATTTAAAGAGGAAGGTAATTTCAAGCACAGAATTGTTCCACCATCTCCCCAGAGTCTTCTTAATAGACCCCCTCAGCCCTCCAATTTGGCCTGGAAAACAGCACAGTCCTGTTCCAGAAGCAAGGATGACAGCAAGTGCTGCCCAGAAGCCTGGTGGGGGAAGGGAGAGGGCCTCCCTGCAGGCAGGAACGTGCATTACATACCACACCACATGCCACGCTGTCACAGATCAGACAGCGGCCCTGGCAGACTCTCAGAGAGCCCCTCATTTTACGGATGAGGACACTAAGCTGGGAAGAGAGGGAGTGCCATGCTCAAGGCTGCACACTGATCATGGAAGAGCAGGAACCAGGGCTCCCCCTCCTCCCCCAACTCTGCTTGCTACCTCCACAACTCCACGTGTGGCAGCTGCTGAGAACACTCCCCTGGTGAAACAGCTCCCCACCGTGCTGGCTCCTTCCTGTGGGTGGAGGCGTCCTCTTCTGTAATCATTTTTTATTAGGATTAACTCTGTGAATTGTCATTGTTAAAAATAGTTACCGTTTATGAAATACTTACCATGGGTGAAGCCCTGTGCTACGTGTTTTCCCTAAATTAATCTTGTCCACATTGTAAGGTGGGTACTACCTTCTCACTCATATTTTAAGATGAAGAAACAGCCTCAAAGAGATTAAATGACATGCCCAAACAGAAGGTGACTAACCGTTAAGCCCATTCTTCTAGCCACAAGCTATAATACCACTTTTAAATCGAAATGACTCCCAGAGGGCATTAAATTAAGCTCTTTACATTTTCCTGTGGATGAATGCAACTGGAACTTTGTGTTCAAAAAGACATTTCCCCAGCCCAGAGCTCCCTGCCACTGGAGGAAAAAGCAAAGTTTCCCCCTCGTCTCTGATTTGCCTGAGGCTCAAGTTCTGCTCCCCCAAAGTAGATTCCAGGGTAAGGGGGATCTCCTTGTAAGGCTGACATGTATCACATAGCCAAACTGCCAGGTAGTGGGCAGCAGCAGCTGTCCACAGGTCACCCCCAGAGTCCACAGAACCTTCTGGAAAACATCTACTTCCATCCCTTTTCTTACCCTCAATATAGAATTCCACCCAGGCTTGTCCCAGGCTTGTAAGGGCCCATGTTGTAGCTGAATTAATTGGGCCTATTAGAGTCCAGAAAAGAAAAATGAGTCCCGGTCCCTCCTACTCAGGCCATTAGTCACTCACGGCAGAATCCTAGGTCCAAAGAACAGTTCCCTTCCCAAGGAAGAAGAGAAAGTGGGGGTGGAGAGGGAGAACACAAAACAAAAACGCCAGGAGGCCCCTGGGCAAGGGAAGTCCCTTTCTTCTAAGTTGGGTCACAATCACACCCCATCCGTCAGCACCAGGATGAAAGGCCTATAAAACCAACACAGCACCTGAGACTGTATGAAAATATATATCCTGATGTGTCAGGAATACCTGGCGCGCCTTTAACCTCAACTTCAGATGAACCAACACGCCTCGGAGCACATTTATATGCAAAGGCATATAATATGTCCCCTGTATCTAATTATCTGTCAACCTGAGGCAGTTTGTTTTCCAAATCGGCCTCTCGGCTGTGACTTTACGAGGTCATAAAGAAAACGATGCCACTCTGCACTGAAACGCAAGGAGAGCCTGGATCAACAAATTATACTCCTTAATGGTGTCTCTTGGCCTGGAGAGTCAGGCCTGGCAGGGAGAAAGGAGGCACAGTCCCGCTTCCCTACACCCTGCCTTCTGCTGAAGAACAGAGAAAGGGGTGCATGAAGCATGAGGTAACCCTAAGAGGCCCCATAGCATCAGACGCAGGTCAAGTCTGAGTAGAAGTGACTTCCTTCTCCAGCTCAGCTTCCTCAGTTTTTCAGCTCTTTATGTGCAACGTCTGTCTGCAAAGTCTGGACACCTCCGGAGACACAACTGAGCTGGATGTCTCTGCAGTCTTCAATATCACCTCGGGCCTTCTTGAATTGTCCTGTGCCATGGAGCATCTTTTGCTCCTGGGACCCCAAGGATTTTTGGTTGCAGAGGGGAAAACTTTAATCCATTCCATGTGCAACAGCTTCTGCCTTCAGGCATCCAAACATCAAGATCCTATATTCCACAAAAAAGTTGGTTGCAACCGGGTGCGGGGGCTCATGCCTGTAATCCCAGCACTTTGAGAGGCCGAAGTGGGCAGATCACCAGAGGTCAGGAGTTTGAGACCAGCCCAGCCCACATAGTGAAACCCTGTCTCTAGTAAAAATACAAAAATTACCCAGGCGTGGTGGGTGGCACATGCCTGTAATCCCAGCTACTCGGGAGGCGGAGGCAGGAGAATCACTTGAAACCGGGAGGCAGAGGTTGCAGTGAGCCATGATCGCGCTGCTGCACTTCAACCAGGTGACAGAGTGAGATTCCGTCTCCAAAAAATATGTTGGCTGGAAGATATTTTATTCCACCGTTGTATCTGGGAGAAGAAGGCTTGGGTGACTCCCTGAAACTTCTAAGCAAGAGGAGAAAATGTATCCTCCCAAAGCAGGGAAGGTAGGTGGCAGCAACAGCAGCAGGAATGCTTTGTCGCTGGTGAGGCCATCTCTCTCCCGCCAAGCTCAGCACCACATGCGCGCACGCGCTCACACACACACACACACACACGTGCACACACAAAGGGAGAGGGCGGAGGGGTGGTCTCGCACACAGTCTTCAGCTCCTATTAGTCCTCCTCTGATCTTTAGCAGATTAATTAGGAAGTTTGTCAGGAACCAGCCGTGAACTCCAGCCGCTCCTCTCTGGGAGTGGTAACAGTGCCAGCGAAATCTAAGCTGCAGGAATTCCTCTAGCCACGCTGCTCCTATGATTAATGATAGAAAGGAATAAAAAAAAGAGGGGTCAACAGCTGAGTGCAAAGCAAGTTGCTAGACAGGGAGTAATTAAGATACTTGGGTAAATATGATTAATAAGCTCAAACTGGCAGGGTGTGCAGTAAACAAGGACTAACCAGATGGTCCCCTCTCTTAGGAGAAGGCTGGGCACTTAGAAACAAGGGGGAATGGGGGTGCGGGGGAGACTGAAGGAGGAGGGAAAGAAGGGCAGCTTGGAAGGTGTGATTGCAATGTTACTTTCTTTAGCTGACCCTATCTAGAGGAAAAGGTTGGGTCCCCCGGGAGGGATCAGGACAGGGAGGTTGCTTGGGTAGGTACTCTGCCGGCCCTCTTATCACAGGCAGCAGACACAAAGCTGGACATAGAAGGATTCCTGCTCAGACTCAAGGCCGCACTTCTAAAGCTGCTCTGGTCCTACTCCCTTCTCCCCCTACCCTTCTGCCACCCCTGATTCCCTGCTTTTTCCCTCATTTACCAGCAAGCTGCAGACAAGACATACAGTACACAGGTCAGTGTCACCAGATTCATTCACTTTGGCTGCAAAGCACCACGCACCCCAGACCAGGTACCTTCAACAACAGAACATGCTGTCTCACAGTTCTGGAGCCCAGAAGTTCAAGGTCAAGGTGTGGACAGGGTCAGTTCCCCCTGAACGCTGTAAGGGAGCATTTATTCGAGGCCTCTCCTCCAGCTTCACATGGGCTGCTGGCCACCTTTGGTGTCGCTTGGCTTGTAGACGCGTCGCCCAGATCTCTGCCGTCATCTTCTCATGGTGCTTTCCCTGTGGGTGTGTCTTTGTCCAACTTCTGCGTTTTCATAAGGACACTGGTCAAACTAGGTCAGGGCCAACCCTAATGACTTCATCTTAGCTAATTATAGCTTCAAGGACACTATTTCCAAATAAGGTCACATTCTGAGGTGCTGGCAGTTAGAACTTCAACATTTGAATTCGGGGTACACAATTCAATCTTTAGTAGCCATTTATAAGGTTTGAAAGCAAACCGGGTCCTACTCAGAACTGAATTGGGACCAAAAAAAAAACACAAAGCTGTCATAGCAATGTGGGAAGGAGGATGTGGCAAGGACCCCCATCTCTCAGCTCATTGCTAAAAATTATGCCTCTCCTAAGTCCTAAACAATACCTTAGAAAGTGCATCCTTTGGTGTGTGATGTCAAGGAGACACTTGACGCTTCCAGAGATGATGTTGAGAAAGAACCATGGTTGGGTGTCCCCTAAGATCCTAGTTAACAGGAAATATCTGCAGGCCCCAGAAAAGAAGACTCAAAAGATTTACCTTAAGTAAGTGGAGATGTGCTAATACATTTCATCTGCAGCTACGGGCGGCTCCACACTAAGGACAAGGCACTGCTGGGGAGACATAATTATATCCTGCTCTGAAGGAGCCTGCAGTCTGTATTCCTGCGTTAGTTCCCTGTGGCTGCTGTAACAGATGGCCACCAACTGGGTGTCTTAAAACCACAGACTTATTCTCTCACAGTTCTGGAGGTCAGAAGGCCAAAATCAGCATTGCTGGGATGAAATCAAGGTGTCAGTGGGACTGTGCTCTCTACAGAGGTGCCGGGGGAGTCTGGTAGCCCCTACATTCCTTGGCTTGTGGCCTCATCCCTCCAGTGTTCAAGGCCGGTATCTTCACATTCACATCTCATGCTCTGTCTTCACATTGCACTTCCTCTGTGTGAAAAGCTCCCTCCACCTCCCTTTTGTAAGGATACATATGATTTCATTTAGGGCCTGGCTGGATAATCCAAGACCATCTTTCCATCTCAACATCCTTAACTTAATCTCATCTGCAAAGACCATTTCTTCCCAACCTTCCATAATTCCCATAAAATTTTCTTCTTCCAGTGACTTCTCTCAACTGATCTGCATGGAACTAGACAGCCCAGTCTTTTCCTTGATCTCACAGTTAAGGAAAGCCAGGCCCATGGAGGGCAAAGTGTACTTCTTCACAGAAAGTCCAAAGTCAGGATTGGGTGAGGGCTTCGTGGGGACTTAAACTCTTCCTATAAATCAGTTCCCTATCTTTTTTATATCACGTATCTATTTAAAAAATTTTTTTAAGAGGGTGTTGAAAATGATAGTGTTGCCAACTTTTTTATTTGGCCAAGTAAAAACATTTAAAAAAAAAACAGCTACCATATATATTTATACTTCTTAAAGAAAGACATCTTAATTTTAAAAAGCAAAGTAAGAAAGATTAATCCCAGAACAAAGTATAGTCCTCCCAAAAAGACTATTGGCAACTCCGCACGCTCCATACACTCCACATTGGTCTTCATTTTATTGTGCCCAAGGTTGTAACAATTCATTAAGGACCTGCTATTGAAAAAGATCCTTCCGTGCAGCATAAACCTATTTTCAGTGGATGATTCAGTTGGGCTTCTCCCAGGGGAAGTGCCCACAAATGTGAACCCCACAGAGACTCAGGAGAAAAAGGAGGAGCTTCATCAGCCTTGCTAAGAGGAGGCCTTGTTCTCATCCTCCTGCCCCATAGGAAACATTCTCAATCCCCAAAGGCAAGTGCGGCACTGACCAGACCAGTCTGGGGGGCCAACCAGACCGTGCAGCCCAGCTGCCAGGGCACCCTGCCTCCTCCCAACCTCTGGCAAGTCACAGACCTTTCTCTCAATTATGGAGCTCAGCAAACATCCTCAGAATGTTTCTTTCATTATGGGGTTTTGTCTTCGCAGAGATGCACTTGGTAGGAGTGCGATACTCTGGCTGGTGAAAAACTTCCTGGTGTCTTCCTCTTTCCCCCTGAAATAAAGTAATTATAGAACGGGTGTGATGGCTCACGCCTGTAATCCCAACACTTTGGGATGCCGAGACAGGCTGATCACTTGAGGTCAGGAGCTCCAGACCAGCCTGGCCAACATGGAGAAACCCCGTCTCTACTAAAAATACAAAAAATTAACTGGGCGTGGTGGCGGGCACCTGTAATCCCAGCTACTTGGGAGGCTGAGGCAGGAGAATCACTTGAACCCAGAAGGCGGAGGTTGCAATGAGCCGAGATCACACCATTGCACTCCAGCCTGGGCAACAAGAGTGAAACTCCATCTCAAAAAAACTTTTTAAAAAGTTTTTAAAAAGTAAAGTAATTATAAACCCCCCCAAAAAAAATGAACAGCGTCTTCACAGAATAATGCTGTGGGAAAGACTTTTTATTGAGAACTTAACTGCCCTTCCAAAATGCCAGTCTCCACCCCTTTCCTTGCTAACTGCTTTTCTCCCAGACAGGGTGACAATTCTGCTCTGAAGTCCCAAATCTGACCAGTGAGCATGTGTGGGAGTAGTTCAGCAGACATCTAATTTATCCCCATAATGACATGGAGATACGCCCTCCCTCTTTCTGGGGCATTACCACTTGGCAGGAGGAGATTTTATTCTCAATAGCTCGTTTATTTTCCTCCCAATTTGCCATTTGTAACAATAGAATCAGGATAAAGCAGATAAGATCAGATGCTATACCAAGTCAGGACCGACGCAACCTCACAGTCTCTTAAAGGGTGGCCAGGACAGGGCAGCCACTGTCATCACCTGTCTACCTAAGGCTCTGGGCAAACTTCTCATCCAAAGGGCCATGACAGCAGTAGAGCAGTGGTTGCCAAGACGGTTGGATCACCTCATTCTTTAGTGCAAGATGAGGTCCTAAGCTCTAACCAGCCCCCATGAAAACTTACAAAAAAAAAAAAAAAACCTTTAATTAGGGAAATGAGCACAAGAGAATCAACTCAACAAAAGTATGGGCACCGGATGTATGCCCAGCACTGCACCAGGCCTTGGAGAGGCAGAGTTTCTGCCCTCAAGGAGGTCACTGTGCAGGAGCCCGATGCTGGATACCCACAAGTGCAATGTAAGGGCTGTAATAAATGTGTACAGTGAGCGTAAGCACGGAGGAGGGGCTCTGTTTTCAGTGTGTGTTCCCCAGAAACAGACTCCAAAGCAAAGCTTCAGGTACAAATAGATCATTCGAAGTAAACTGAAAAACCACTGATAGCGGAGTGACAAAGTGACCCAGGGGAGGGAAGGAAGCCAGGCAGGGTTCATTGTCACCAGTTGCTACACCAGATGGGGGAGCTCAGCTCCACGGGAGACCTCTCTGGGCTATCTTGCCTCAGAAATATCCTGTCCAGGGGTGGGGAACCAACAGTCATTGGTAGAGGGGTCTCCTAGGGAGGTAACCCACAACATTTTCAACCTGTCCCATGCAAGGGCAGAGTGAGCAGACAGAGAAAGCCTTCAGGTAGAGTAGCTGGTGCTGGCCGTTAGAAGTCACACTGCCAGTGCAAACATTGTAAATGCCACAGGGACTCGGGTGCAGCACCCATGACAGCTGCTATAGACACGTGTGTTCCACCTAAAGTGAGGAGGAGGTCAGGAGGCTCCAAAGGAGTGTGGACATTTGAGCTGGGCCTTGGCAGATGCACCAGTGATGGCTAGGCAGAGATGTGCAGAGGGCATCAGGGAGGGAGGACATTTGTTCCAAAGTAAAGGGAAAGTGTGAACAAAGCAACAAAGCCTGGGAAGTGCATGATTTGTTTCAACACCTTCAGATGGCATGGGATTCTAGCTGTTGTGTAGACAGAAGGTCCAGCCAGGCAGCTGGAGAGTCTCAGAGAGGCAGACTAGGGCCGGACTGTGAAGACCTTGGCATCTCCTGCAGACACACAGGGAGACATCGTGGCTTTTAAATAAGAGAGAGACACGGACACAGGGAAGTCTTCACGAACTTGCTAGTCCCATGCCAGTCAGGACAGGCCGTGAGGACTTCACGTGTTCTCTGCAGGGCCTGGTACATTGAGGGGAAAGAGTGATATCAATGCAAGGCTCGAGTGTGGTGGGTGAACACATGGACTCAGTAGCACTAATGAAACTAACTCCTCATAAAACAAACAGCCAACAGAAGCATTTAAAAGAATGAAAATAAAAAGGACTTTCCAAATTGATGGTGTGCATCAGGGTGTGTGGGACCCCACACTCCTGGCCTGCAACAGGCTCTTATTTCAAGGCACGCTGGACTTGTCCCCATGGGAATATCTGCTGGGCCAAGCTGATCAGAGCATGTCTTCTCTGTCTGCAGTCACCACCACCTGAGACCCAAGAGCTGGCATCAGTACCCATGCTCCTGGATTCAGACTACCTACCTTTGCAGGGGGTAGTGGTACAGGGACAAGAAATTCCCTGTCGCTGTTTTTAAAAAGTTTGGCCTATGGTTTTGTATATCATCAGAGCAAATTGAGTTAAGGAAAGAAAAAGGAATTGAAGGTTTACCCAATGCTGACGCATACCCATTTTCATTCATTCTAGCCAATCTTGGACATTACTGATGTATTACTGAGATTTCATTCCAGTTGCTCCATTGTAAAGCCAGTTGGCTAGAGGCTTTATTGAGATAACACCCTCACAACTGCTATCACAAAGTTCTAAGTAGGACTACCAATTTCAAAATAGAAACCAGCAAATGAAGTTATTAGAGATCAGGTCTGGCCCTGAAGGCTTCTCTACAAAGGAGGCCTGTGGTAGGCAGACTTCTAAGAGGACGCCTACTGATCTTCACCTCCTGGTATGCACTTCCTTGTAAAATCTCTCCCCCTTGAGTGTGATATGGATCTAGTGACTCACTTCTAATGAACAGAATACAGCAAAAGTGATGGGTTGTCTCTTCAGAGATTAGATTACAAAAGGCTGTGAGTTCTGTCTCATATTCACTTGCTCTCTCTCTCTCTCTCTCTCTTTGATGAAGCAAGCCACCATGTGGTGAGCTGCCCTACTGAGAAGCTCACATAGCAAGGAGGGCAGCCTCCAGCCTGCAGCCACTGAGAAACTGAGGTCCACAGGGACTGAACCCTGCCAATAACCTCTTGATGAGCTTGGAAGTCAATCCACCCCCAGTTAAGCTTGGAGATGACTGCAGGCCCAGCCATCACCTTGACTACAGCCTCACGGCCAACCCAGAAGCAGAGAGCCCGGCTAAGTGATGGCCAGGTTCCTGACTCACAGAAACTATGAGATAATAAATGTGATTTGTTTTAAGTCACTAAGTTTTGGGGTAACTTATTACATCACAATAGATAAAAATGTTCATTGTCATTTTCTAATATTATTTTCAAGACATTTCTATTATATTTTGTAGTATGTCTATTATTATTTTCTAATATTATTTTCTAGACATATTTTCCATAACTGTTTTCTAGACATATTTTCTAATTTATTTATTAGAAGAGACAATGAAGGGAGACACACTCAGAAAGATTAAGACCAAGAGAAGGTTGAAAGTCTTGCCGTTGGTATAATACATCTTGGCAGGGGTGAGCCTTTCCATGGACAGCTGGGTCTCTACAGAATGTTAGAGCAGAGACCCTGGAAAAACCCTCCACTCTTTGATGTGTTCGCTTATGTTGAAATTCTGCAATTAGTCTTTTCTGTACCTTAAAGTTCTTTCCTCTTATTAAATACACTACACTTGGAGTCAGACAACACAAAATCTCATCCCAGGTTCTTACTTCATTAACTGTGTGATTCTTAATAAGTCATTTATGTATCCCTCAAACTATGTTTAAGGAACAAAAATATGAATTTTGGAAATTTACTTTTCTATGTCCATGTTTCATTTTAGAAGAGGAATAAATAACACCTGACTTATAGAACTCATGGGACACTTTGAGGTAGTTAAATGTGGTAAGATGGTTGCAAGTGTCTTTTAAATAATAAAGAACTCGCACGGTGGCTGAAGCCTGTAATCCCAGCACTCTGAACGGCCAAGACGGGCAGGTCACCTGAGGTCAGGAGTTCAAGACCAGCCTGACCAACATGGCAAAACCCCATCTCTACTAAAAATACAAAGTTAGCTGGGTGTGGTGGCGGGTGCCTGTAATCCCAACTACTTGGGAGGTTGAGGCAGGAGAATTGCTTGAACCCAGGAGGCAGAGGTTGCAGTGACCCAGGATGGAGCCATTGCACTCCAGCCTGGGCAACAGGAGTGAAACTCCGTCTCAAAATAAATAAATAAATAAATAACAATAAAGAACTCTGTACAGAAAAGGAACATTTTAAGTCTCTTTTGTGGGCTCTCCCATATGGGACACTCTCCAAACTATCATTAGACTGCTATGTTAAGTAAGATAGACTTTTATAAGGCCTTTTCCTGGAAGTAGCTTTTAGGGAGGAAGTTGAAGTAGAAGAAAATCAGCCTTTCAGATGCACTGATTTAATCTTCCCTACAGCTCATAAGGCAGACACTCATTATTCCCCTTTTACTGATGTTGAAACCAAGGCTTAGAGACCTCAAGAAACTTGCTGTTAGTCACACAGCGATTAAGGGACTGAGTCACACAGCGATTAAGGGACTGAGTCCAGAGTCAATGCACAGTAACCTGGAGGGCCAAGCCCTATTCTGTAAGATGCATTTTCTTGTACTCTCTGCTTCGCACCTTCCAGAAGAGCAATTTCTGGCCTTTCTCCTTCTTTGTTTCTATGTTCCCATCAAACATGCTGTGACACTTCACACAAACAGCCACGTACACAAATCAATTGCAATCAGCTGTATTTCTCTCCTGATGTTAAAAGACTCGTAAAGGAAAATGCACTTGTTTCAAACACCCTTTTCTGACACTAAATCAACTCTCCACCATTGGTGGAATTTCTGCACAAATTGAGCTGGGCCCTCATGAGACCAAGATTTACCAGTATAAATCCCAGGTTTGTAGGGGCTGTCTAGTTGCATTACTAGAAAGAGCTGATCTGGCGGCTGAGTTTTCTGTGCATGGGTTGGTTGCATCTTCTTGACTCCTAATTCAAGCCAGGACACTTGGCAACTCACTTTCTAGTAAGTGATGTGGAGGCTGCCAGGGGTGGGTGTGGTCAGTGCCAAGAGCTGTCCTTACCCCATCACATCTCACCACTGCAACCCAAGGAAATGTCAATCAGAACTACTGTCTTCTGCAGAAACATCCAAGCTTCCTAATAATACATTGCACAGGAATCATGGTTCTCATGGGATACTCACCAAATCTGTTTCATCCATAGCGACTTTGCTTCTTTGATGCCTATCAGGCATGCTGACATCTACAGAAACTTCACAGGTTCCAGGGCTGCAGTTAACTCTGTGACCCTGAACACCCACAATTTCTCCTTGCCTTAGTTTCTCTTATTTAGATCTGCCCTCCGAATCAGCTTCCTTATTTATACAGTGAGAATATGAATATCTTCTGTACTTCATAGATATTAGAAGAGTTGAAGGGGTCTCCAGAAACACAAACCCTTTCCTTTTAACTATCCCAACAAGGTCATGGAACTTTTTCTTTTGTCTTTTTGCCTATCCTAACCAATCTTCCTAACACCAAGCCAGAAGGTTTTGTGGCAAAGGAGCACAGTCATGATCAGATTTGCATTTAAAACACAGGCTGCCAACTAATTTTATTTCCATATGAACATAAACGAGTTGGTAGTAGATGTAATGCAATCAAAAAGAAGACACTCAACATGGTTTACATTTTGTTATGTACAGCAGTTTTATGCTTTATTTTAAAAATGAAGGGCCAGGAGTGGTGTCTCACACCTGCATTCCCAGCATTTTGGGAGCCCTAGGCAGGCAGATCACCTGAGGTCAGTAGTTTGAGACCAGCCTGGCCAACATGGTGAAACCTCATCTCTACTAAAAATACAAAAATTAGCCAGGCATGGTGGCAAGCACCTGTAATCCCAGCTACTTGGGAGGCTGAAGCAGGAGAATTGCTTGAACGCAGGAGGCGGAGGTTATAGTGAGATGAAATTGTGCCACTGCACTCCAGCCTGGGAGACAGAGTGAGACTCCGCCTCAAAAAAAAAAAAAAAAATGAAGAATGGGCACAGTGGCTCACGCCTGTAATCCCAGCACTTAGGGAGGCCGAGGCAGGTGGATCACCTGAGGTCAGGAGTTCCAGATCAGCCTGGCCAACATGGCCAAACCTTGTCTCTACTAAAAATACAAAAATTAGCCAGGCATGGTGGCACACACCTGTAATCCCAGCTACTCGGGAGGCTGAGGCAGGAGAATCGCTGGAACCTGGGAGGTGGAGGTTGCAGTGAGCCAAGATCATGCCACCACACTCCAGCCTGGGCAACAGAGCAAGACTCTGTCTCAAAAAAAAAAAAAAAAAAAAAAAGAAAAGAAAAGAAGATGGATGATGTCACCAAGAGAAAAAAACAGTTGGAGAATTCAAACACTGGCGCATATTCATGTTATTTATTTTAGCACCTCCAGTTTCCAAAGAGAAACGACCACTACCTAGAAGACTTCTGGTTGACTGTGAAGTCTTGCAGGAGATATGCTTATGGCACCAGGCATTTTGGTGTGGGTCCCAGCAGGTGGGAGATGTGTGTCTGTAAAGTCGGCAGTGATTCAGGGTAGTGACGGTAGGACACCAGGCACTTGATTTGGCCTACAGGTGGTTCGGGAAGGTTTTTGTCCCCAAAGAGAAGTCTGAGAGAGACTTTCAAGGGTAAATGGGATAACCAGACAGAGAAGGTGAGAGCAAACATTTGAGGACAAGAAGCAAGCCTGAGCAGAGGGAAGGTTCTCGGAGTATTGGAAAGGGAAATAGACCCGGGTGGCTACAGCAGGGACTCGACTCTCTCTCACCAAGGCCACTGAAGGTTTCTCACCGGGGCAGCAAATGCTACGATGAGAGCTGCATTTAAAATGTGAGCTCAGGCTGTGATAGGGTATGTGTTTTGAGGGATATTCTGGAGCCCTCAGCTGGCCTCTAGGAGAGAATCAAGGGTGGGGAGCTGTTCCAAGGTCAAGTGCAGAGTGGGGATTGGCAGGATTCCTGAGAATCTTTAAGACAGAAACTTCACTTATCACAGGCTAGACATTCACATTCTACCTTAATTGCAAGTGTCCCTAAGAACTAAATATTGACTGCACTTGCATCTCTGTTGCTTTGAAAATGCAAGATTTGTAAAACTCAATGACACACATGATTATTCAACCTATATTATCTGCTGACTACTCCAATGGAGACAGAGGAGTTTGGCTGAAGCAAACAACACCGGAATCAACAATGGGCATGTAAATAGATCCCTTGTTAATGAGTTTACTGATCTTCCCATACTTCTGACCTTATCTAGTTATCTAGATCTGCCCTCGTCCCTGAGAGTTCTGCAACACACCCAGAAATGGCTTAGAAAATTTGAAGGTGTAGTCAATCAACCAGTCGTTCTGTCCACGAACAAAACAAGAGACTGGATTGATTGGAATTGAATGATTTTCCTTTTCAATCTCTTTTGCTGTTTGACATGACATTGGGTAGTTAGATAATAAAATTATTCCTTTTATCATGCAAGAAATTATAACAAAGAGCTGGTACTGTCTTGAAAAATGCTCTGTGAACGGTTATACACGAGGAACAGGGGCTCCCCTGGGAACCAGCACAGCTCTAGCACTAGGTGGGAGGGAGGCAGGCCAAGATTGAGGGCAAAATTGCAACTCATTGGCACAGCACATATTTTTCCAATATAAAAGCAAATGGAGAATCCGTGAATAAACTGACTATATAAAAGTGTCCCTTTATATTACCACCTTACCTTTCCAAAGGGAAAACTAGGGGGGAAAAAGGTTTCTTTCCACAGTACTCGTGTAAAAATATCGTTTCTTCTAGATAATTTTATAGTACCAACAGCAGCCCATATCTATTTAAAATACATACGCAGCCCCATAGCCAGACCCCCTTGCACAAATGATCCGGTAACCAGCATCAGCCCGACTGCAGAAGCAGCTGCCACATAATTACAACTTCTCATCACACGTGTGGTGAAACAAGTTGTGGCGTTTGGGAAAGGTCTGCAAAAATAGGTGTCAGACCTTAACTAATAGTGATTGTCCTTCCATTCTACTGTAATTTACATTTAATTCACACATTTCATTTCCATTTAAAATATGATTACAGTGTTTTGAAGCACATCTCACCTGTCCCCTCGAATTATAGGGAAATGAAAATAACAGGGAACAGCAGGAACCAGGAAGACTGCGTAGCCCTTGGCCGCGGGATCACCTCCAGCACGCGCTGCCTCTCAGGGGTCAGAGGGAGAGCTGGAAAGAAGTGGGGGTGTTAGAGGAGAGGGGAGAGAGGCAGAATGGGGGAGAGAGAGTAAAAGGATGGGAGGGGTGGGAAAGGGGGACAGGGAGGGGAGAGGGGCTTGAGTGGCCCATTAAGGGGGCCCATTAAAGGTCTTCTGAACTCTCCATCCCGCTTGTTTTATGAATTCATTATTTTCTGGCAAAGTGCCCACCTTCTATTTTATTCATTTCAGGTTCATGACCTAATCCTAAATACACGCAACAGGAAGCAGGTGCCTGTTAACTCTGAGGTCTGGTTTTCTCTGCACTGGAGGCAGCAGAAAGAGGAGAGAGGAAAGCAAAAGCTTCAGTGGATTGACTTAGCGAGGCCAGACAGCCTACTGGATATGAACACCCTTCAAAACACACCCCGTCCCTACCTCCGTCCTGTACCCGGGGCTTTGCAGCTGTTGGCAGCAGGTGAAAACGTCAGAGGAGCAATTTATAGAACCAGATTCTTTAGGAATTCAGTGACCAAGCCCCTCCAGGTGTGGCAGAAGATGGGCTTGCCTTGTAATGAATTCCAGCCAATGGCACCTGATTCACAGCAAGGTTCTTGTCCCTGCTCAGAGGCAAAGGCAAGGAGCCCTAGTTTATTCATGACAATACCCAAATGCTGTCCTAAAGCTCTTGGGAAAGGCAATGCACATTTCAATAGACTCAACAAACATTTATAGAGCACCTACTGTACCGTAAGTACAGCAAGCAAGGCAACAATTATTTCAAGTCTTCACTCTTCCCAAACTCCCTTACCCTACACTTCCCGCCTTAATGTACCTTTTATTTTCTAGAAAAAAAAATAGACGCCAGAAGTGGGAAACTTCTTGTGTTCCTATGACTAAGCACACAAATCTACTTATGCCCCCACCCCATACCCCTTCCCTCTTCATACAGCAGAATCATCATCCATCCTCCCTGAAGCCAATCCTTGCATTTGGGCTTTGCATATCATATTCTTCCACCTTGTTGGGTTTTTATATTCATTCTGTTTATCCCTTTCTTTCTTGTATATTTAACTTCTCTCTGAATTGGATCATTCCCAACGGCTTTCAAACATGCACCTGTCTCTCAGATTAAAAAGAGAAATGCCCTCAACTCCTCACCTCTATCCAGCTTTGAAGGAATCACTCTCCTGCCATTCAGTGCAAACTTCTCAAAAGCATTATCTCTACTGTGGCAGAAGTGGCATGTTGCCCAACAAGTGCCATAGGCCTCTTCCTATTGTAGAAAGTTGGTGGCTGCCCAGGTAGAGATTATATTTACAACCTCCACTTGCATCTAAGTATGGCCTTGTAATTAGTTGCGCCAGTGAAAATGAGTAGGAATTGTGTGTCACTTCTAGGCAAAGGCTTTAAGAAGTAGCTTCCTCTAAACTTCTTCCCCTCTGATCTAATGGATCTGGACAACTGCAATGTTGAGGTCCCACTAGGAGATGATGCAACCATAAAAGGCAGAGAGGCAGGTTCCCTGAATCACATCATGAAGGAACATTTTCCACTGACCAGGAACACCTGACTGCAACTATTAGGAAATCTATATGTTAGCTTCTATTTTGTGAAGACACTGAAATTTGGGTATTTATTTGTTGCAACAACTAGTATTTCTTTAACCAATAAACTTACCTACCAATCATTCCTCAGTCTGCTTCAATCTAGTTTCCAATTTGTTCCTAGGAAAAAGATCTCTATAAAACTATCAGTGGTTTCTGGGTTACTTAATTCAATGGATACTTTTTCATCTGAATTTTACCTGATCCTTCAGCAGCATTCCACATAGTTGTACATTTCTCTCTTAACAAGCTTTCCTTCCTTGGTTTCCATGACACAAAACTCTTTCAAGTTTCCACCTTTCTGTCCAGTTGCTCCTTGGTCTCCTTCACAGGCTCAAGTTCTACTTCCTCATCTCAGAACTCTACCAACTTGAGTGCTGAGTTTATCCATGTTAAATTAACTGTAGCTGGACTTGCCCACCCATCATAAACAACTAGAAAACTGGGGACATTGCATTAAAAACTAACTTTAGGGTTTGAAAATAAGCATCACAGACTGTGAGCTCTGAAAAAGGGAAACAAACAAGATAAGCCTACGGTCATCCCAATTTTTTGCCAGAAGGTACCTTCTGCTCTGCGTTAAAGAGAAAGAGAATATTAGCAAAGCACAGAGACTTCCATGAGTGGGTAATCATGAGAAATCAAAGTTGGAGAAGCCAAAGTGGCTTGAATTTAAAGTGTAGAACATCAAAGAAGGAGCTACACAGAGAAAGGAGTCCCCTTGAGTCATTTGCTGAATACTAAGGTGAGGCTTCATGAGGCAGGCAAAGAATAACTATTAGAGTGCCGTGAGCTAAACAATTCCCAGAGATCACAAAGGGCTGGGATATGTTTAAGTTCTAATCAGCCAGACTGTCAGGGCCTTGTTAAGTTCTCAGGACACTCAGTAGAGTCTCCAAAAAGGTCACACCAAATAAGTAAAAATACACTAGTCCTAGAGTAAAGGCTGCTCTAAACCCAACCTTATGAAGCTTAAAAACGAGCTTTAATAAATTAAGCTGATCAGCAAGGAATTTAACTGCAAGCCAAAACAAACTTCACACTTTATAAATGAATACAACAGAATCTAGACACTTAGTATTATGTTCTAAATGTCCAGAATCCAGTCGAAAATTATTATACATGAGAAGAATATTCAGGAAAAAAAATAAGACCATAGAAATAACAGAGGTAATGGAAGAGAGGTAATAACAGAGGTAATACAGAAATAACAGAGGTAATGGAACAAGCTAACAAAGATTTTTAAATATCTGTATAAATATGCACAAGGTTTTTAAGCAAAACACGAACTCAATGAGGACAAAAGGAAATATTAAAAAGGAATAAAATATAGCTCATAGAGGTGAAAAATATGATACCATAGATAAAAATTTCACTGAAGATCAGACAGAAGATAGGCATTGCTGAGAAAAGACAAGCAAACTTAAATATAGCAATAGAAACAATCCAAACTAACAGAGAGGGTAAAAGGCTGGGGAAAAAATTAACAAATCCTCAAATAACTGATGTAAATATCAAACAGTCACTATGTAATTACAGTCCCAAAAGAATGTGGAGGGTAGAAAAAAGTTTTTAAAAATAATGATCAAATTTTCGAAATTTGATGAAAACTAACAAATCCAAGAGCTCAATGAACCCAAAGCAGGATAAACACAAAAGTGTATCATAATCTAATTGATAAATACCAGTGACAAATAAGCCATGTTAAAAGCAGCAGAATAAAAGGACATAGTATACACAGAGAGAAAACATAAAAATTACTGCATATTTCTCATTAGAAGCAATGCAAACCAAAAGACAATGGAAAAAGAACTTTTACATACTAAAAAAAAAAACTGTCAACCTAAAATTCTGTATCTAGGAAAACATATGATTCAAAAATAAAGACAAAATAAAGACTACCAAACACGAAAGTTGACAGACTTATTGCTAGAACTATATAGCAAGATGTAGAAAGAGGATTTTTAGGCAGAAGTAAAATGAAAGCAGGTGAAAACTCAGATCTGCACAAAACATGGAAGAATACTGGAAAAGATAAATATGTTGGTGAATATGAAAGACGTACATAACCAACATAATTTTGAAAGAAAGTACATCACTATAGATCCCACAGACATTAGAAGGATAAGAAGAATATATTTTAATGACTTTATGTCAACAATTGGCAACCCAGATAAAATATTCAAATTCATATAAATGTTCAAATAATTTCAAATTATTAACTAATAAGTTGAGTTAACAAAGTCACAGGATACGTCAATATATAAAACTCAATTGTATGTTTTATAGTAGCAAGAACAATTTGAAAGTAAAACTTTTAAAGTGCCATTTGCAATTGCGTAAAAATATAAAACATTTAGGAATAAATTTAATAAAATCCGTGTAAGTCCTATATGCTGAAATTTTTAAAATATGGCTAAAAAATTTTAAAGAAAACCTATATCAATATACAAATATATGATGTTCATGAACTGGGAAATTCAATGTTGTTAAAATGTCAGTATTTCTCCAAATTGACCTACAGATGCAAGACAATCCCAAACAAAATCCAATCAGGTTTTCTTGTAGAAATTGACAAGCTAATATTAAGATGTAAATGAAAATTCAAAGAACCTGGAATAACCAAAATGATTTAAAAATTTTGAAAAACTTACACTACCTGATGTCAAGACTTATTAATAGGAATCTATAGGAACCTAAACAGTGTGACCTAAAATGCTGATATATTCATAGATCCATGATACAAAATAGAAAGTACAGAATAGACCCATTCATATATGGGTCTATTTTGACACAAATAGCATATAATTTAATGGGAAAAGGTCAGTTCTTTCAACAATGGAGCTAGTACAACTAAATATACATTTTTAAATGAACCTAAGCCTTTACCTCACACCATTCACAAACATTAACTCAGCATGTGTCATTAACCTAAATATAAAAGCTGAAACTACAAAACTTCAGGGAGAAAGTCACAGATTTCTTAATTCAATTTCATCAAAATTACAAACTTCTGTTCTTTGATGGGTACCCTATTAAAAAATAAAAAATGAAAAAACTAGCCACTGATTGACAGAAGGTTATAGATATATATGACAAAAGAATATTATATTTTTAGAAATTTAGTGACTCCTAAGTGTACAGTGTTTATAAAGTCTACAGTAGTGGATAGTTATGACCTAGGCCTTCACATTTACTCATTACCCACTCACTGACTCACCCAGAGCAACTTCCAGTCCTGCAAACTCCATTTGTGATAAGTGCCCTAGACAAGTGTTTTTTATCTTTTATCCTGTATTTTTATTGTACCTTTTCTAGGTTTAGAGATGTTTAAATACACAAAGGCTTACCATTATGTTGCAATTGCCTACAGCATTCAGGACAGTACTGCTTTGTACTGGTTTGTAGCTTAGGAATTGTACTTGTTTGTAGCTTAGGAACAATAGGGTATACCATATAGCCTAGGTGTGTTAGTAGGCTATACCATCCAGGTCTGTGTAAGTACATTCCATGATGTTCACACAATGATGAAATTGCCTAATGATTCATTTTTCAGAACGCATCCCAGTGGTTAAGTGACATATGACTGTATATAGAACTTCTACAACTCCATAATAAGGAAGACAGAAGCCTCCATAAAATAATGGACTAACTGACACTTCATGGAGGACACAACATTATTAGTCACCAAAGTAATACAAATTAAAATCACTACAAGATACAACTGCAAACCAGGTAGAAAGACTAAAATTAAAAAGATCGACAATCTCAAGTATTGGAAAGGATATTTGAGAACTGGAGATTTTATAGTTTGCTGGCAAAGGTAGAAAATGATGCAACCACTTCAGCAAACTTTTGACAGTTTCTTGTCAGGTTTACATTGACCCTAGCACACAGAATTTTCAGTGCTATTATTTTACCCAAGACAAATGAAAACATGTCCACACAAAGGCTTGTACATGATATTCATAGCAATAAAGCATGGAAAAAATGCAAATGTTCATCACAGGTGAATGGTTTACACTATCTGTGGCATATCCACACAATGGAATACTAGTCAGCAATAAAAGGAATAAGCTTATGATACAGGCAACAGTTTAGATGAATCTAAAACACGCATTTCTAAGTGAAAAAAGCCAGACACAAATGAGTCCATGCTGTATGATTCCACTTATATGAAGTCTAGAATAAGCAAAGCTAATCTCCAATAACAGAAAGCAGATTGATGGCTACCTGGGGCTAGTGTGAGGGAAGGGCATCATTTGACTCCAAAGGGAGTTGTATTAGTCCATTCTCACACTGCTATAAAGACATACCTGAGATTGGGTAATTTTTACAAAAAAGAAGTTTAATTGGCTCATGGTTCTGCAGACTGTACAGGCTTCCGCCTCTTGGGAGGCCTCAGGAAACTTACAACCATGGTGGAAGGCAAAGGGGAAGCAAACACATCTTCACATGGCCATCAGGAGAGAAAGAAAGAGCAAAGGGGGAAGTGCTAAACACTTTTAAACAAGTGGCACTTGGGTGATGGTGCTAAACCGTTAGAAACCGCCCCCATGATCCAATCACCTCCCACCAGGACACTTCTCTGTCTAACACTGAGGATCACAACAGAACATGAGATTTGGACGTGGACACAGAACCAAACAATATCAGAGGTGCAAGAGAAATGTTGGGGATGATAGAGAAATTAGTTATCTTGATTGTGATGGTGGTGGTGGTTACATGGCAGTATATACATTTCAAATCTCCTCAAACTGTACGTTTAAAATGGGTACGTTTTATGGTATGCAAATTATATTATGCCTCAGCAAAGTTGATTTCAAAATAAACATATGCAATTAACATTCAAAAATTTAAAAAGCTCTAAAGCTTTCTTAATATTTCCAAGATAAATATCAAAATCCTCAATGTGAACTCCAAGATGCTGAATGTCTAACCCTCTCTACCTCTCCTCCATCACCCACAGCACCCATCCCTCTCTCTATCCCAGGCATTCTGACTTTCTTTTCCCTCTGGAAAAGCCAGAATCTCTCCAAATGCCAGATTTTTTTTTTTTTTTTTTTTTTTTTTTGAGACGGAGTCTCGCTCTGTCGCCCAGGCTGGAGTGCAGTGGCGGGATCTCGGCTCACTGCAAGCTCCGCCTCCCGGGTTCACGCCATTCTCCTGCCTCAGCCTCCCAAGTAGCTGGGACTACAGGTGCCCGCCACCACGCCCGGCTAATTTTTTGCATTTTTAGTAGAGACAGGGTTTCACCGTGTTAGCCGGGATGGTCTCGATCTCCTGACCTCGTGATCCGCCCGCCTCGGCCTCCCAAAGTGCTGGGATTACAGGCGTGAGCCACCGCGCCCGGCCCCAAATGCCAGATTTTTTTAAAACCTGGATTAATCATAATCCTTGATTCATGATATACTCTCATTATGGGACAGGCATGGCCTGCTTTATTTAGTTAACTACTAACATTGTTTTTTGTTTTGCTTTGTTTTTATAATGGCTTTTTTCTCACCTCACTGTTTCTTTCTAGGCAATCTTACCAACTTCTACAGTTTCAACAATGGAGACTTCCTTGAGCATCCTCAGATAATTCAGATCCCACCTAAGTTACAGAGCCCTATGTCCAGCTGCCTACCTGGATGTCTCAAAATCACCTCCAACTCAACGGGTTCAAAACCAAACTCACTTTCTTCCCAGCCCTTCTCAGCAAATAGTCCACTATCCATCTACTTCCCAAATAAAATGTAAGCAGCCTCCTTGGCTCATCCCTCTCCTTCATTGTATTAGACCCAATAATAACAATTTTACCTAACTGCTCTTTTAATTCATCTATTTCTCTCATCATCTCATCTTTTTTTTTTTGGTGGGGTGTGGACAGGATCTCATTCTGTTGCCCAGGCTGGAGTGCAGTGGCACAATCACAGCCTCGACCTCCTGGGCACAGGCGATCTTCCCACCTCAGCCTCCTGAGTAGCTGGGACTATAGGCACATGCCACAACACCCAGCTAATTCTTATCTAGTTAGTTTTGTAGAGACGGAATTTCACTATGTTGCCGAGGCTGGCATCCAAGCTATCACTTCTCACCTAGAGTGTTGATATCACCTCCCAACCCCCCTTCCCCACATGCTCTCTTACCACCAACAATATAATAGCCACAGTGCAGCCAGAACAAGTCTTTTGAAATATAAATGTGATCATGTCACATGAAGTGGGGATCACACACCCCACTTCAGCCCAAACTCCCTAACAGGACCTGTGGGATCCTACATGGCCTATACCTCACCTCCCCATGCAGTCCCATCTCACATCAAACACCCCACCTCTCTCTGCATCCCAGCTATGCAGCTTTCTTTCAGTCTGGAAAAACAATCCCCTCTCCAAATGCAAGACTTTTTTTCTAATCTCAGGGAAACAGAATCATACCAATCATAATCTTTACTTAAAGACCCATCGTTGCCCATAGATGGCTTGGCTTATTTATGTTCATGTGTTTATTTGGGCAAATAATTTTAAATAACATAATAGGCACTCACAAGCCCATGACCAACACAAAAGCAAGGGTCTTGTCAATAATCTGCAGCTAATCATGTGGTCTCTTCACATCTCATCCTCCTGGTTATTAACCCAGGAAACCATCATCTTGACTTTTATGTTCATCATTCTCTTGTCTTACTGTTTGGTTTTATTGCATGCATATGTATATATACACACATATATGTGTATATTGTATGTATTTATATATAATGTATGTATATATTCCTGTACATATTTTATATATATATATATATTCCTAAAAATAATTTAAGTTTTTTATGATTCTAAAATAATAGACCCTTATGGTGTGCATTATTTGGGGACTTGCTTTTCAATTTATTATATATTAAGATTTTAAGAATTTAAAGTTTTAAGGTTCCATATATTATATAGTTGTATGTCACAGTGGTTCATCTATTTTGACTGAAATACAATATTTCCTTGTGTGGATACATCATAGTTTTTCTTAATCCACTTTCCTTTAGATCACCAATCATGTGGTTTCTTGGGTTTCTTTTTTCTATTATAAACTGTGCTGCTATGAACATTCTTGTACATGCCCCCTAGGTACACTCCTTGGGATGTATTCCAGGGTATTTCAGAGTTTGGCTTTAGGAAGAAATTCCCAGCTGAATGCCAAAGTAGTTCCATCAGTTTATATTCTCACCAGCTACGTAGAAGAGATCCTGTGCTTCCATATTCTCTGCAATACTTGGTATTGTTAACCTTTTCATCACTGCCAACCAAATAGTGTCAGATGGTATCTCCCCTTCCCTGATTACTGACTGCATTGAATAAATCTATATATGTTTATTCACTGAGTATGCTTTCTTCCCTATGAAATGTCTTGTGTCTTTTTATGAGGTTGTTTGTACTTTTCTAGTTGATTTTGTGAGAGTTCTCAATATACTCTTGACTCTAACCTGTTGTTATTTATGTCTATTATGAATATGTCCCCAAGCCCCAGGCCTTTGCATAGCTGCCTGACCCGACTGGGACACTCTTCCCTCTCTGCTTCATCTAGCAAACAACTGTGCAGCCTCACATCTCACCTCTATGGTCATTTCCTCAGGGAAGACTTCTCTGACTTCCTTGATGTGATCAAGTCCTAGTTTGTGCTCCCATAGGACCAAGTAGCACTCCTTCTTAGCATTTCTATGGCTCTAATATTTACACATATGTGTGCAATTTTTTAATGTACACTTCACAAGGGCAAGGCTGCATCCATTTTTGCTTACAGTTTATCTATTGGGACTGCCATGTAATAGGTCCTCAATAAATGTGTTTAGATGAATGAATAAATGCCACATTTGCATGTGTGTTTTCCCACAACTGCTCCAAATGCAAACCCTTACCGTCTCCCCCTTCATCTTTCATTCAACAGCCTTTATTCACCTCTCTTCTTGCTTCTTTCCATCTTCCTTATTTTCTATAAGCATTACCAGACCCAAGGAAGGAACTTAGCATCCATGTGCCTGTTTGATTCATTTTTCATTCCATGGGAGGAAGAAGTAAGGTAAAAAGGGAACAGTTCTGAAAGGCACACCAGAGGGTGGGTAACAATGACTCTCCCACCCAGTCACCAGCTTACAGGGATACTAGGATTCTGTATCTTATTAACTCGTGGCAAGAAGGCCATTGATGTGTTGCATGCCCACTTGGTACACTCCTTGGGATGTATTCCAGGGTTTATGAGATTTTAGCTTCAGGAAGAAATTCCCAGCCGAATGTCAAAGTAGTTGCATCAGTTTACACTTCCACCAGCAACGGAGTGGGAACGAATAACGGAAGCATCCTGTGCTTCCATATTCTCTGCAGCTCTTGGTATTGTCAGCCTTTTTGGGGTTGCTGGCACCAAAACCCATTTTTGGAGAGTGATGGTGAATGGGATGTGGCTCCAGGAGGAGGAGGGGTAGGCACCTTACACACCTGTTGCACAGCTTCGTTAGAGGCAGAATTGTTCCTTCCCAGCACATTTGGAAAGCCTTGACTATTCCACCAAACATACATCTGACAGCCCTGTGTCCAGACCCTCACCTGCAAGTTCTAGGCAGGTCCTTCAAACAGGACTTTCAGAAACCCCTCAAAGACATCTCCTGACACCCATCCTCCCCTTGCCTTCAAATCAGTCTTGAATAGGGTTGTAAACACAGACGCTTCCAAGCCAGACTCTCGGCAGTGTTTCTTTGGTTCTTTTTCATATCTGTCAAGAAGGAGGAAAAATGGCAGAGAAGATATTCTTGAATTCTTCTCCATCAGACACCCCCTCGGGAGGACAAAAACTGGCCCCAGGAGCTGCATCTGGGTCAGCAGAGGTTAACTCCCCCGCCACAAGAGGGAAGAGTGAGCCTCAGTGTATCTTTGCTATTTCCTTTTTCACTGTGTTGGTAAACATTCTGGCCATTCTGAAGTATTATTTCCCCCTTTAGGACAATGTACTTGGGTTTGGGTTCTTTTTGCTTTGTTTATCCAGTAATCATTACAGCAAGAGGGATGCACCTGTTCTGCAGGCCCATTGGACTCCGAATGGCTTTTCTCCCAAGAGGAGGCATGTAGAAAAACTAGCCTTGGCACTGGAAGCACACTGCAGTAGGAGCGTGAGCCGTGCAGAGAAGACCAAGATGCAACCTTGAGCCATAATGCAAAGTGGCTCAGGGCTGGAAGAGGGAGGCGCGGCACTGCCTGGAACGAGGCTGGGGCTTAGAGAGAGAAGAAACTTGCCCAAGGTCATGCTGCCAATTAGTTTTGGAGCTGGAGTTATAATCACAGGAAGCAGGTCTGTGTGGTTCCAAGCCCACGCTCTCCCCAACCTCATTATATTGGGGAGCAGCTGAGAAAAAAGAGAGGGGGGAAGCCAGCATGGCAAAGTCACAGAGGTCTGTGCCCCCATGTGCCCACATGCTTAGGGCTTTCTTTATGTCTGATCTTTAGCTGTCTCTTACTGTCAATCAGTGAAATTGACTTACCCAAGAACAGGCAGGAATAAATAAATAAGACAAGAAGACCTTATGGTGACAGAAGCCTGCAGAGGCTGCCAATGGGGTAACTGGGAGATGAACAAGTCCAGAGGAGGTGAAACGGAAAAAAGAAAATGAATAGTTTCTCTAATTCATGCCTTGAGCTTCCCTCAGCAGTAAGTCCCCCCTCCATCACTCTAATTCCTCCTCCTGTCTCTCCCTCCTGGTGTAAACCCTAAGTGCATTTGATTCTGGAGGGAAAAGAACAGGATCAGATGCCCCCAACTCTGGCCTCCTTCATCCAAGATGCCCCACACTGGGGAGAAGAGAGGACACCTAGACAGGCTTGTACTGTCTTTTGTTTGGAGTATCGGAGTCACAGCTTGACACAGAAGCTGCTCCTAGGGCCCTGGTGACTTCCTCTGTCATCTGCTGCCTCTTGTGCAGGTGTGCATATTTTAGCTTGGAGGAGCCCAGGCATGGAAATCGCTCTCCCTGTGCCCATATATTATCAGTATTTTTTAACATGTCGCTTTCCAAGCAGGTAATGCATTTGCAGAGACAGTGATCTTTCATCAGGAGATTACGATGATTTGTGTTCTCTGTCTAAATTCCACCATAAATTTCCAAGCCAGCGAGGCACTGGCTTGTGGCAAGAGCTGCCTTCCGAGATGTGGCAGGCTATCTCTGCAAACCTCAGGCTCGTAGCCGTTTGTCCTGATTAGGGAAAGGCTTTGAAATTCTTCCTTGTTCCTCACCTTTATTTATTTCAAATCGCTCTTCCAGCAGGTCACCTTTGCAGCTGGGTTCAAGCCTCAAACTATGTTTACTGGGCTGGTTGCAAGCAAAAACATTTAAGCAAATCAACTGCCAGAACTGCTGGCTCTGCTGAAATTAGCAGTGTGGCCCGGGTCAAGTCGCTTAACCCCCTGGGCCTCTGCTTCCTCATCAATAAATGGAAAGTATAATCCCTACTTCACCGGGTTAATGGGAGGATTAAATAAGGCAGCATAAATGAGCATCCTCTCATGGTATCTAGAAAACTATAGGTGAAACCCATGCACTCGTCCTCAATCAATTCCCAGACAATAACATGCAAGCCTCAAGCCTAGACTGTGACCACACCCCAGGTTGGATGGTCCCTTCAGTAAGCCCTATCCTCTCAAGGTTGCTATGAAATTCCCCACAGTGCCTCTAAACAAGATGAGTATTAAGTAATTTAGCCTTGTATATTAGTTTTCTCAGGCTGCTGTAATAAAGTACCACAGACAAGCTGGCTTAAACAACACAGATGTATTGTCTCACAATTCTGGAGGCTGGAAGTCAAAGATCAAGGTGTCGACAGGATTGGTTTCTTCTGAGGCATCTCTTTGTGGCTTGTAGAGGCCATATTCCCCCTGTGTCTTCACATCTTCCTTCCCTCTGTACCCATCTGTGTCTTTATCTATTATTCTTTTAAGGACATCAGTCATATTGAGTGAGGGCCCACCAAAATAGCCTCATTTTGACTTCATCATCTCTTTAAGACCCTAACTCCAAATACAGTCACGTGCTGAGGTACCAGGAGATAGGACTTCAACATACAAATTTGGGAAGAAAGAGGAGAAGACATGATGCAGCACATTTTAATAAGCACAAACACGTGATGCATGACTGTGTGTCTCAGCACCAGAGTGCAAGTGATGGGACTCCCCATCTCCAACACTAACAATGCCTTCCTTCCATTTCAGGATACTACTTTGTTTTCAGAGTCCTGTTTCAGTCATTAAAGGTGCCCCTCTATTGACAGATGGAAAAATGGAGGGATAAAAACATGGGAGGGACTCACTCAAGGTCACACAGATAGCAACAAGAGGCAGAGCTAGGTCTGGAACCAAGACGTGTAGCTCCTCCCCATCTCAGTGTGCGACTCTGTACTGTCACCTTAAAAAGTTATTCACCACTGCAAGGAGCAAGTTCCAAAGAGCACAGAAGAGTTCTGACATCTGATGCGCAGGTGTCTATGGGGAGAGCACACTACCTGTGACACCCGGCTTGCTGGCCATCAAATTTTACCTCCCCATTGAGTTCAACACAGCGAATGGTGTCTACCAACTCACCTGTGGAGGATAATCTTTCCCACCCAGGGAGCCTTCCCTGATGCTAGGCCTAACTGAGCAGTTTCCCTGCAACTTGTTTTTTGTTTTGTTTTGTTTCATAGAAAACCCTTCCCCCCAACCCCGCCCTTTCTGACACAGATTGCAACAGATACAGGAGAACAATTGGCACTGTTCAGGCAAACGCAGGAAGAAAGGAACTCAGCTGGTGGCACCAACAGGTATAAAGGCCCAGCCGTGAAAATACACAGCCAACAGCAGCCATCTTGACAAAGTTTTGGGGGAGAACGGTGCCGATGAGGCACTGAAGCAGTTTCACGTCATCAGCTTTGTGTGTCCAATCCAAAGGTAGATAGACACATGGATGGATGGATGGATGGATGGATGGATGGATGGATGGATGGACAGAAGGATGGAAGAATGCATGTATGTATGCATTATAGATGGATGGATGGATGCACATATGCATGCATTATGGATGGATGATGGGTGCATGGATGGGTGCATGTATGTGTGCATTATGGATGGGTGAATGCATGTATGTATTATAGATGGATGGATGGATAGATGGATGGATGGGTGGATGCATGTATGCATGCATTACAGATTGATGGATGGATGCATGTATGCATGCATTATGGATGGATGGATGCATGTATGTATGTATGCATTATAGATGGATGGATGGATAGATGAATAGATGGATGCATGTAGGCGTGCATTATGGATGGATGGATGGATGCTGGATGCATGTAGACATGCATTATTATGGATGCATGTATGCATGATTATGGATGGCTAGATGGATGCATGTGGGCATGCATTATGGATGGATGGATGCATGGATGCATGCATGCATGTTGGCATGGATGTGAAGTGGCTATGTTTTCTGGGGTATATACCCAGGGTTCATCATCTGGTGCCAGGAAAATTTAGGACACAGACACACATGAGGAGTTTAGGAGCAGAGGTTTAATAGGCAGAAGGAAAGAGAAAGAAAAACAGCTCTCTCTATAGAGAGAGAGGGGTCTTCCAAGCAGAAAAGATGGGCTGGTGGCTGATGTGCCGGATTTTGTAGTCTGGCTTGAGGAGGTAGTGTCTGATTTACGTAGGGCTCACAGATTGGTTTGATCAGGTGTGATGTTTACATAGCACACAGAGAAGGCTGGTCCCTCCACCCTAATCTTATTATGCAAACGAACTCTCCCCTTGGCCAATGCCATCTTGTCTGCTCCTTACTGTACACGTGGCTGGCAGAGAAGGGAAGATGGAGCCACCATCTTGAACATGTCTAGGCCCTAGTTCCTGCCTGAATTCACCCGTACAAGCCCCCAGCTTTCTTGTCTATGTCTGCAGCTTGACTTTACATGCTGCTTTTGTTAGAAAATGATTTGTGGCTGCTCCCCATTAAAAAGAAAAAACCTTACTGAGCACTCCCATACCTTCACTATCTGCCTAAGGGATTTCTTAACTCCTATATCAGATGAATGGATGATATATGTATGCATGCATGGATGGATGGATGGATGGATGGAGGGAGAGAGAGAGAGATGAGTCTGAGAGACAGAGAGATCTCCACAGTGACAGTACTTGTCCCCAAGTTCCCCAGAGCTTTTTTTGTTGTTGTTGTTGTTGTTTGTTTTTGTTTTTTATTTGTTTATTTTTGAGACCCAGTCTTGCTCTGTCGCCCAGGCTGGAGTACAGTGGCGCGATCTCGGCTCACTGCAAGCTCCGCCTCCCAGGTTCATGCCATTCTCCTGCCTCAACCTCCTGAGTAGCTGGGACTACAGGTGCCCGCCACCACGCCCGGCTAATTTTTTGTATTTTTAGTACAGACAGGGTTTCACCATGTTAGCCAGGATGGTCTCGATCTCCTGACCTCGTGATCCGCCTGCCTCGGCCTCCCAATGTGCTGGGATTACAGGCGTGAGCCACCGTGCCCGACCTCCCCAGAGCTTTTTATTCACCAGAAACAGTAGATGTTTTGGGAAGGGCAAGTACTTATTTGTAATGGACTTCCTGTGGGTCAAGTGGGACTCAGCTGAGTGACATGGGAAAAGACCCAGATTCAAGACCAGCTCTGCCACTGGCCAAGCCTCTTACTGTCATAGTGCCAGCTTCCTCAGAGAAATTGAGAGGCTGCCTGATATGATTTTGAAAAGCATGGGCTTTAGGGCCAGGCAGGCCTTGGTCCAAACCATTTACTAGATATGTGATGGTCACCCCACTGCTTAGCTCCTCTAAGTGGATCTCTTCCCTGTGGGTTAAAGTGGAGATTAAAATGCCTACCTTTCAGGGGTACTGAGAGCAGGATATGACGTAGCAAATGTGAATGCATTTGCTGCATCACCTGGTATCCAGTGTATCCTCTTCCCTACCTGGGGTAGCCTTACTGTAAGAGCTACGTAGAAGATTGGCAGCAACTGGAGTTTATGAGATCTCTATTCTCTGGTGCCACCAAAATCACCACCTGTCCTGGCCACTCTCAACAAGGTGGAGCCCCAACCTTCCCATTTCTTCTCCTACTTCCCTCCTCTGCCTGGCAGAGTCTCCTAAGACAGCTACCCAAAGCCCTATCACCACGCAGCAGCCAGGGATCATGGGAAGCAAACAAGGGGGTTTTCTCACTGTAGCAAGACAGGATCATGCTGTCTCCGGGGCTGGTTTTGGCCAATGACAGCAGCATCTCTTCCACAGCTGTATGGATGCGCGCCTCAAGCCTCCTCAGCCTTCAAATGATGGAAGCAGGCCCAGGTTCTCTAAATGCAAATTTGTCTTCTTAATGCTCTCTCAGGGCACATCAGCAAGTCTGGATGAGAGCCCAGGGCGGGGGAAGAGATTGGAGAGAGGGAGCAGAGAAAGGTCACTTGCATAGAAAAGGGTTATGACTTGCACTGAAATTGGCCCCAAAACAACAGTCAAGAAAAGTTTTCAAATAAGCTGGACCCAGTGCCTGGTAAGAGACAGGGCTTCTGAAGTGTTTGATGATTGAGTAAGTGAATGTCCAGCCCTCAAACCACTTCCAGGATTTGCCCTAATTCCACTATCTCCCCCCTTTAGTTTACTACAGTTCTTTGTACCTCTATTGTCATGCCCAAATCAGCTGAATAGTCATTCATTCTAATTCTTCAATAAACTCTAAGTACCCTGAAGGCAGGGACTGTCTAATTCCTGGTGCTTTGGAACTCCAGCAATTACTTGAGAAACTGCTCAGGAATTGTTTGCCAATTTAATTAAAGATGGTATGTTCCAACCAGAGCCCTGATCCTGAGTTCACACAGGCTTCCAAGTTCCTGGGGGCATTTAGTCCAAATTAAAGTCATCCTTGCAGCGATCTTACTGAAAGGGGCTGGCTGCAATTCCCACATGGAAAACCCAGAAGTTCTGATGCTTTAGGGCCTCCAATTTCATCTGTTTATTTATTGTATAATGATTGAGTACTTGATCTTGAACATACATTACTAAAAAAGCCTCTCTGGAAGTTTAACCACAAAGTGCTGCTACAGGAAATGAGAAGACACCCAGAGCCGGCTTCACTGTCCAGCCTGTTTTTTGGTTAAAGGGAAATAGTCTAAGAGTAACCCCAATTTAATTTTAATTTTTTGGGGGCGGAGGCGGGATCTTTCAAACCCTAGCAAGCTAGACCAGAATGTAACACTTGCAAGCTTCTAAGTGGTAAAAAGTAGATTCAGAGAATCCAGGTTTAGCGGGGACTTTAAAATCTGTGTGAGGCTTTTTCCATATTGTCACCATCTATAACCTCTGGTCTTTAAAAGAGAAAGCCCTATATTTTCCATACAAACAGGAAGTTGTATAAGATTTCTAAGCAGAGACTGATAAGCATGGTCAAAAGAATGTGAATAGCTCACAGCTTAGCCATAAAAGCAATAGAAAAGTCACCTCTTACCTAGTGTCACCAGCTCCCAAATGATGATGAGACAGCTACCCTCCAACCACAAACCACCATTCTTCACTAAAACTCCTAGCAGGGAACTGAACTGAGATAACTGCAGGTACCTTCTCAGAAAAAAAAAGAAAAAGAAAGAAAGAAAGAAAAAAAGGGGAGGAAATAAAGCATTGATTTAAAGCAGCACAGAATTAAATACCCAACCCTCATATTCCTCCCCCTTCTTCTCCTCCATCCACCACACCCTTCCAGAGGGAGGCTTTGATCAGTGTCTGCTCCAAGAAGGGGAGGGGAAGTGGAGGAACAAGAAAGCAACACTCAGTAAACAGTATTATTAACCCATAGGCTTGTGATAAATCAGGCCAGGAAGGTGACCTCAGCGGGCTGGAGTAATCCTGCATGTCACGATGAATTTATGAGGCCAATTTTATTGGCCTGCATGACCCAGGCTCCTTGGAGATGTCTCTGTAACAAATCCAATCCACTTCATTTATGAGCTGTGTACCGTGTCAGCTATGGGGCCAAGCCAGACCACCCTGACCACCCTCTCCGAGAGGGCGCCTACGAGTGTGGTCTCAGAGAAGCAGTGCTCCCAAGCCATGCTGTCACTCCCAGAGAGGCAGCCAGGACTGCCTGCCCTAGGAGTTGGCACTTTCCGACTGCTTGTCCCGGGTTCTCATTCCGGTTCTGCCCTAAGAGCCAGCATGGCCCTCATCGAGGCCCTTCCCCTCTCTGGACCTCAGTTTCTCATTGCAGGATGAGAAGATCAGGTTGCCAGTATTTCTCAATGGGGCACTAGAAGCGTTTGGAGAGGAAAAACCCTGTTCACTGCAAGACGGCCAGCATCTCTGGTCCCAAGCACCACAGGTCAATAGTTCTACCCAGTCATTGGATCATCCAAAAGTGCCCCCAACATGTTCCCAAGTGCCCTCACTTGACAGTTACTGGGAGATAATATCTAAGGTCCCACCTTGGGCACAGACATCTTAAATGGGTCTGCAAAGGGGCCCATCTCCCTTTGCCTCCCTAACCAAAGAGCAGAAAAGCTGATGCTCCTGCTAGTGGCAGCTAGAGGGACCTCGGGTCCAGCCGGGAGCCATCCCACTGAGAGGCAGCAGCAGGAGAGAGGAAAGTCCTTTCAGCAGTGGGCCTGATGCATACGTGGCCTTCACCTGCTCTAGGTCGGCTCCCAGCGCTGGGCGGAAGGCGTTTAAGTCTATTTGACTGTCCCTGTCATCGTAAGGTTTACGGATGGTTAATTTATTCTTTATAGCACAGTCATTGATGGCTGTTAAATCACAAATGAGAGCCAATAAAGGGTGAATTGCAGCTGAAATTACACTGTTTATATGACAGCAGAGTGCCGGCTAAAAGATTCATATGCTGCTGATGAAGTATGTTATAAATTTTAATTACCATAGTTTGTACAAATGACATGTTTGAAATGCTATTGAGTAATGTGACCCTGATAATGAAACTATAAAATAAATCATTAACTTTCTGAATGAGCTTTTTTATTTCAGTGCTGCACAGAGTAAACTTTTCAGTTTATTCCAGATCAGTCTTTTTATGCCCCCACCTTCTGCCTCTGGCCTAACCGACTCTTCTCCACCCAGGTTGGGGACAGAGGAGTGACAGGAGGCCTGGGAAAAGCCTGGGGAATCTTCCTGGCAGGACTGACCCCAGCAGACACAGCTCAGGGGCTGGGGAAGGGAGAGTTAGCCAGGAATGGGGGTCCAGACATGCACCTTAAATAAGCCCCATAAAGTTGCCCACCTGTGAGAAGAAAGGACTTTTTTGAACCTGCAGACCCTCTAAAGATCCCCATCCACTGGCAACTGGGCTCTGAGACTGAAGCACCCAACAGAGCCACCTGCAGCAACACCCCAGATGCATCAGACCCTTGGGGAGACAGGCTACAGGGCGGGTGAGAGATTCACGAGAATACTGGGTCAATTTTCCCAGCCCACAGCCCAATTAGGAGTCCAGAAGAGAGAAGGCAAGATGGCATTTGGTGGATTTTCCCACTGCTAAATCATCCCTATTTCAATACATTGGTCCATCATGTTGATGAATAATCCCCTCACACTACTCACAAGGCACATGTCACTGTGGTTAGACACATCTTGCAGAAAAGAGCCTGCAGCTCCAGAAGAAATCTGAAAGAGGAAGTCACACCAAAAGCCATTTTGGGCAACTCCCCACTCCAGGAAATCAGGGCTGAAACTCTCCAAGCAGGCATGTCCCTCTTAGTCCTGCAGGGCAGGAAATGCTTTGGTAGCTTAAGCAAAGTCATGTGCTCACGGGTCATCAGCGCATCAAGAGAACTTGGACATCCTTTAGCCCTAAAACTCTCAATGTGGTGGGGGAAAAAAATGCAGGGGAAGAGGTTTGATTCCCAAATATATAAATTCCAGAAGAAAATAATATAATACAAGTGGCCAAGAAACATATGAAAAAAATGCTCATCATCACTAATCATCAGAGAAATGCAAATCAAAACCAAAATGAGACACCATCTCACATCAGTCATAAGGGCTATTACTAAAAAGTCAGAAAATAACAGATGTTGGTGAGGCTGTGGAGAAAAGAGAATGCTTATACATTGCTGGTGAGAATGTAAATCTGTCCAGCCACTGTGGAAAGAAGTCCAGAGATTTTTCAAAGAATGTAAAACAAAGCTATCATTTGACCCAGCAATTCCATTACTGGGTATATACTCAAAAGAAAATAGGTCATTCAACCAAAAAGACACATGCACTCATGTGTTTATTGCTGAGCTATTCACAATAGCAAAAACATGGAATCAACCCGGGTGCCTATCAATGGTAGATTGGATAAAGAAAATGTGATACATATACACCTGGAATACTATGCAGCCATAAAAAGAATGAAATCATGTCCTTTGTAGCAACATGGATGGAGCTGGAGGCCATAATCTTAAGCAAATTAACACAGGAACAGAAAACCAAATATCATACTTTTTCACTTGTAAGTGGGAGCTGAACACTGAGCATACATGGACATCAAGGTGGGAACAATAGACACTGGGGAATGCCAGAGGGTGGGAGGGTGAGTTTAAAAACTACCTCTCGGGTCCTGTGCTTACTACCTGGGTGACAGAATCTGTACTCTCAACCTCAGCATCACACAATATTCCCATGTAACACATCTGCATATATATCCTCTGTATTTAAAATAAGAATGGAAAAGAATGAGTTCATGTCCTTTGCAGGGACATGGATGAAGCTGGAAACCATCATCCTCAGCAAACTAACCTAGGAACAGGAAACCAAACACTGCATGTTCTCACTCATAAATGGGAGTTGAACAATGAGAACACATGGACACAGGGAGGGGAACAACACACAGTAGGGCCTGTCGAGGGGTGAGGGGAAAGGGGAGGGAAAGCATTAGGACAAATACCTAATGCATGCAGTGCTTAAAGTCCAGATGATGGGTTGATAGGTACAGCAAACCACCATAGCACATACATACCTATGTAACAAACTTGCAAGTTCAGTGCATATATCCTAGAACTTAAAGTAAAAAATCAAATAAAATAAATAAAATAAAGTTGAAATTTAAAAAAGAAAATATAAAGTTTGAAAAAACCCTCAGGTGTTTCTTATGCACCCTTTCAGGGAATACCCAGCCCAGCCCTCTCACTTTGCACCTGAGGAAATGCACACCCACTGGAGCAGGCAGAACTGGGTTTATCATCCACCCACACAACCAAGGCTAAGAGGAGAACAGAGCTTTCTCACTTGATATGGCCAGATTCTCCCCAAGGCCAGAGCTGGACAGGCAGCAGCACATCACTGATGGCAGAAATGCAGCCAGCATCCTCTCTGCTCCCCTTCCTGAGAAAAGTCACCAAGTGCACCTCTCCAGGGAGGCAGGGCCCATGTGAAGAATTGCTCTTTCTTTTCCTCTATTTCCCAGAGCAAATCTGCTCTCTGGAGTGTGCAGCACAAAAAGAAAGTCAAACTCCAAAGTGCATGCTATGGTGGTAGCCTCTCAAAGTTTCCTCCCAGTGGTGTATGGATGATGCCTGGGCATGACAGTGTGGCTTATTAAGAAGTGCTGTCATTCAAAGGCCTTCCACCTGCCAGTGATGAAAGAGAAGTGGCATTGGCTGCACATCTCATTCTATAGATGAGCAAATGGGAACAAACCCAAAAAGTGATTTGTCTTAGGTCACAGAGCACGTGGATAGCCGGAGCAAGAAGAAGATCTAAATATTTTCATGATTAAGCTGGGAAATTCAAAATATGACTAGATATTAGATAATATGAAGGAATTATTGTTAATTTTTTAAGGTCTGATAGCAGTATTGCAATTTTTTTCTTTTTTACTTTTAGCAATGTCTACTAAAGTGATAACAGATGAAATGGTATGATAACTATGGTTTACTCCAAAATAATCCAAGGTGAGAAGAATAGGGGGGCAATGGTTGGATGAAACAAGCTAGGACATGAGTGGATTCTGCTAAAGCTGGTGATAGGTATTTGGGGGTTCATTATGCTATCCCTTTTCTGTATATGCTTTAAATTTTCCATAGTAACAAAAATTAAAATTAAATACCTAAATGCCCTGGCCCCCAAAATCCACCACAGTGTTCATTCTCTCGTGCATTCTAAGCAATGCCAGGCTGGAACTAAAGATCAGCCTTCCTAGCTCCAGGGAGCGTGTTTCCAGTAATATGTAGGAGGATGTGAACTTTTTCCTTTCCCTTTGCTGGGGGAGAAAGTCTCAGCAAGGAGGGACTGGCCTCAGGATACAGCCAGTCCACATCATTGGAGAGAGAGGCTCCTGAGTCTGGAAGCTTCCTGGCACCAACACAGCCAGAAGCGGAGGTTCTGCCCAGGCAGTACTCAGATCCATGCTATTTACTTGATCAGGTCTCTTCATCTCTTGAAGCCCTGGTTTCTTCATTTGTGAACCTAAAGTGATAGCCCCAGTTTGCCTATGTCAAAAGATGCAAGGATCAAATTAAATAATGAAGGTGGATTCCTAGAGCGATAGTAGAGTATCTGTATCTAAATCCCATCTCCACTTCAGATTAGCTCTGTGGTTCAGACAAGCTTCTCCATCTCTCTTGCCTCAGGGTCCTCCACAACAAAAGTAGGGTTGTTGCAAGGATTCATTGAATTAATATATGCAAACAACTAAGAACAATACAAGACATTATGTAAGTGATTATTATTATTGCTCTATAATGGTATACTAACATAACATGTCAATATTATTAAAGGAACCATGGAGTGTTATATTAGAAAGGAACTTGGGAAGTTATTTATTCCACACTCCACTTTTCAGAGAATCAGAAAGGCGATGTGACTTATCTGGAATCTCGTAACAAGGCAGGGACAGAATGGATCCTGGAGCAACACCAAGGCCAGTGTTCATTCTGCAACCCCACTACATCCACTCCACGAAGCAGGTGGCCATTTCTTATTTCTTATTGCTCATAAGGAGGCCCACACAGAGTCACATCCTCAATCCAGATCTTGTGCTGGACAAGCAAGCCCAGGAGTCCCAAAGCCCAGTGCCTCACCGGTCTGTAATGGCAGAGGACATGTGGGTTGGAGGAGAATCCCCAGCTCCTTGTTCCACACCTGATCCCTGGAGAGCAGACCAGGGCAGCCATGAGCTTCAGCTGTGTCCCTTGCCTTCCATGGTCCATTCCTGAAGAGTGGGCAGCACTTCCCATGCCTCCCCTCGGACTTCGCCGCCACCACAAAAACATTTTCAAGGCGATGGTGCAAGCTGCCCTACTTACCATTAAGAGAAAGGACCACATTATTGCTGTTATAAACCATTGATTAAGGTTTATAATAGCAATAATCCCCTCGAAATTCATTGTTACTGCAGTTAATGGCCAGTTTATTAGAGCGTTAACCATCCTTGGCAATGGGCTGAGTCGTTTAATGTGGGTAACGACCAATTTCTCAAGGATTATTGCTTAAATAACAATTCTTTGGGAGACGTATGTGCCACCACAAGGTGCGGCTCTGGCTGGAAGCTTCTCCTCAGAAATAATTGTTAATTATTTCCTCAGGGTTGCACCACCAGCACTGTACCTAACAAATCCCAAACAATGAGCTTCTTATGGCAATGCTTCAGAGGCACCAAAGAATCAAACTGTTGGACCAGGGCCTAGAGCAGGAGCTGTGCCCTTCTGTGAAGGGATCAGAAACAGAGCAGCCACCATGATGGCTTCTGGCCTCCCAAGCAACAGCACCACCGGGAAACAGTATCTGGCTTTTCATGGAGACGACTCCTTCCTCTTCACGTGACTTCATTTCCAGAATTTTCTACCTGTCCAAGCCCTCCACCCATTCCCTTGACAGGTAGGGGAAAGTAGGGCCAGCCAAGAGGCTGGAGAAAGGACCAAAAAATGGGAAGCAGCCGGGCATCGTGGCTCATGCCTGTAACCCCAGCACTTTGAGAGGCCAAGACGGGTGGGTCACTAGAGGCCAGGAGTTCGAGACCACCCTGGCCAACATGGCGAAACCCCATCTCTACTGAAAATACAAAAATTGGCCGGGCCATGGTGGTGCACACCTGTAATTCCAGCTACTCAGGAGGCTGAGGCACAAAAATCACTTGAACCTAAGAGGTGGAGATTGCAGTGAGCCGTCATCGTGCCACTGCACTCCAGCCTGGGTGACAGAGTGAGACACCATCTCAAAAACAAACAAACAAACAATGAAAAGTGGGAAGCATGACCAACCGAGGCCTCATAATGGTTTAAGACACTCTGGAGCAGAGTCTACACCAGGACCTAGGAGACTTGGTCAGATGGGGCAGCAGGCACTGAATGGTACCCACTAATTTGCACAGTGCTGAAGTACTGGTAGTCTGTCTGCAGCCACTGGCTGCTTTGGGGTTTGTTTCAGGCAGAAAGAAAACAACCGGGGCCAGATTATATGCTTTAATCATTAAATACAATGATAAAGCCAGGGGTCTTTTTAATTATCCAGGTCTCTTTATTGTACAGGTGAAAACTAAGGGCCCAGAGAGATTAGGAGGCTTGGCTATGTCACACAGCCACTTAGAGAAGAGCTGGAAGTACATCTTGGTCTCCATTTTTCCTTTATCAACCTCAAGACAACCTTTTTGGACAGATCCAAATGAGGAAATTTTTCTCAAGAAATAGGATCACAGCCCAATAGGGAGAGAATGCAGAGACAAAGCACTCCCGAGCTCATGAGCACTTAAACAAGAGTCTCAGAAGAAGCCAATGATCTGATCCTCCCACTCCTCCTCCTCCCCAACTGTCTTTTTATGTATAACTCAATCCAGGTATTTCATCACATTAACTATTTTCTATCACTTTATATTAGCACTGGTATTTCAATAACTTTTATTTTTTTGACATGATCTGAGAGCTACTGATATGATTACACTCTAATTGCATTATATTAACTAAAATAAATACTAATAGGGTGTGAACCTAACATAATAAGATAGCAAATTGCTATCACAGTGCCAGGGCAGGCAAGAGAGAAAACTGCTGATTCACTCAACAAACACATATTAAGGTCCTGTTATGTGTGGAGCACTAAGGCAACTTCCTTTTTTCTCATCATCTCCAAAAACTAACTTGGTACAATAACAGAAAGTGAGGTGTCAAAGCCTCCTTGAATCTATGAATCCTTCAACCTCCATGTTTTGACTGAACAGCAAGAATCATTACCCATATATAACAGCAAGGGGGAGAATAAACGTCTCTCCCAGGAGCTCAGTGAAGTAAATGTCTAGTAACTCATCATTGCCCTCACCCTTCAGACACATAGATCCACCTTCATCCTGGAGGCCAGATAAACCCACAAGGGTCGCTGCAGCTCCCAAGTATCAGGCATGTAGAACCCGGTTGAGACAAAAGGTAGAAACTTCTCTCCCCTGCTCTCTCGCTGAGGCTCCCACCAAGGCTCTGACATCATGGTGGAGAAATTGGACACCATTTTCCACAAGTTATAATGTTTATGAGTCCAAATGTCATCTTTTTCTGAAATCATCAAACTGAATTCATGGTTGTGTAGATTAGAGAAATAATCTTGTTAAATCACAATAGTTCTAGATGTTCTACCCAATTTCCCAATGGCACTACTGTCCACATGTTTATAGAATATTACAAAATTTCTATTTTCAGCCATGCAAGATAGTAGTATCAACTATGAATCATGCTTAAGCACCATATAGATCCACTGTCTCAAGTAAATAAGTTAATATATATGTAAAGTGTTTAAGAGTGCCTGTTTGGAGGCTGAGGCAAGAGGATTGGACTGCTTGAGCCCCGGGGATAAAAAATACAGTGAGCCATGTTCACTCCAGCCTGGGTGACAGATCAAGACCCTGTCTCAAAAAGAAAAAAAAAAAGAGTGCCTGGAACATAGTAAAGGCTCAACAAACATTAGCAGTTACTACTGTTGGCTACTATGTAAAGCCTGATACCAAATGTGATCAAAATCAGTCTATAATTTCCCACACAAAATCATAATAGAAATACAGTAAGTTCAATCACTGAAATGAAACCAATGTAACGTAATGTGTTCAGTAACTCTCTAAATTGTCAACACTTTACCATGAGAGTATATCTACATGTGTGTATCCGTGATATGATACATAGAAACAATTTCTGTGAGGGGCTAATACAGTTGATCCGTCACTACCATCCTTGCCTTCAACAAGGGCAGAATATCCAGAATAGGTCTTCAGCCCATCAGCAAGATGCACTTTTCTCCACCAAGGCTCCAATAGTCTACCATGGGTTCCCTCTGATTCTTTTCATTCCTCTGCTCTGAACTCAGTTGCTCTCAACATTTTTTGAGCATTTTCAACGTGCCACGAACATGGAGATGCAAAGAAGAATAGCATCCCTGCCCTGAAGCAACCAAAAGACAAGGGCCAAAGAGCTAACAGGAATACAAGGTAGTAAGTGCTACATCCCCTAGACTGTGAATGGAGGATGGAAGAGAAGGGGAGGAGGCAAAGGGAGGCGCTTCCTAGACTGCGCAAGCACAGCCGAGGAGCCATTATTCCTGCCTAGCAAAAGGGAACACCACCCAGGAGGTAACATTTGAACTACAACTAGAGCTAGCTTACCAATGTGTGGGCTAACCACTTGTTTAAGGAACCCACAAAGCAGAAACATGGAGGAGGGAGAGAGAGGAAGAATGAGAGGGAGGAAGGATAGTTCAGCTTTGATGACTTAGAAATTTAACTAGAAAATTGGGAGGGGGGTTAATTTCAGCATGTGTACGTTTAATGTCATATCAGAAAACTTTTTTAAAAGTGTTAGTAACATATTAACAGGTGGGCATTAATACTGAGGGCCTAGAAAAGAATTCAAGTATTCAAACTGAATTTTATAAAGCAGACATGGAAGGAGGGTCAAAGAGAATGCAAACATAGAACGTCAGGGCCTGAAGAAGCACAGAGATCTCATTAGGCCAGTCTCCTGCTTTGAAGCTTGCCTCAAACTATCCAAGCAGATTACTAGCTCTTGACTTCACTCCCAGGAGCCTTTTTCCAATATTTGAAGAAGGAGTTACATCTCTTAGGGGAGCACCTTATAGCTGAGAGGCATTTGGGAAAAAAAAAAAAAAAAAAAAGAAAAAATTGGGGAAAAGCCCAGACACTAAGCTCAAGTGACCCTGTAGCTTACGATCAGGAGAGAATAGCAATTTCTTACTGTAGCTGCTTTCTTTTTCTGGCTCCTGAAATCCCATAAAGATGCTATTGAGCCTCACTGCCTGTTGGTATCTCAGACAAAGAGCTGTCACCTGAACAGAATGATTTTCCTTCCCTTGACAGTGGACTTTCTTTGGAGGGCAAGGGGAAATGGTAAAGGGATGTTCTTTGGTTTTAAGTGGGACTCTTTCAATGGAGCATTACCTTTCCATCTTGTTTTACTTTTTATCTTTATCTCTAAGTTTTTATCATCATTCTATTTCTTCTTTGTTTTTCTAGCTTCGTTGGGTCCCTAAGCCCTCCTGGCTCACAGTATCAGAACAGTCAACAGTGTTCTGACCCATCCTTCCTTCCTGCCCCAAGTCAAGCCATTGGAGTCACATTACAAAGGTGGAAGAGTTTTCTGCATCATTCCATATGATGAATCTGGAACCCCAGAAGCAGCAATTCAGATTTTCTCAGGGGCTCAGGGCTCCTCTGTTTCTCCCAGGAATCCTTTGGTTAAAGTAGGTAGGGGTGAGAGGTCAGAACTAAATTCCCATCCAGCAGGTTTGACAGGTACATAGCATGTAGCAAGACTAAAAGCCCCAATTCCACTCCCTAATTAAAAACATTTTTCATTCCAAACCTATAAAAGGCAGATGTGCTGCATTCCCTCAACCACAGATCGCTGCTCTATATTGAGTGCGGCAGCTCCAATCCTTCTTTCCCAGGGCTTGAAAATAGAAGGCCATCAAAGCAGCGTAATCGGTGTTTCTTCCTCCACCTCCTCCTCACCCCCTCTATTTCCTCTTTTGCCGAAAAATATTCATTTCCATCTTTGCAGGGGTTATGTGTTTTAAGCTTCTTACGACACCTCCATGCTGAAATGGAGTGGGATGGTAGCCCATCTTCCAGGATAGACAGAAGGCAGCTCTTATACTTTATTATTCTAAAATGCCTTTTAACCTGGATTTTTTTTTAAACAAAAAAGAAGTTCAGGCAGCAGACCTGGCTTCATCAGCCGTACCGTGAATTTATTCAGGCCCTCTTCAGTTCAGGCATCTAGAAGCCAACTCTTGGGAAGAAGAATGAGTGAAGCGCTTGCCAAGAGGTGGTCAGAAAAATGAAATAAACACTTGCTTATAGTGTTTTTCTACCTTCGATGACTCCTTTACTCCTGAAACGCCTGGAGTTAAGACACTCAGTGTGATTACCTGGTACTGAAAGTTGCAAGTCAAATTCAGAGCATGCTGCCAATGTTTATTTGTAAATCAGCTCTCAGAACCTCTGTTTGAGTAGAGGGAGGGAGAGGATCCTATATCCATTTGTTTTTGTTCATCTGTTTCCTTAAAGGGTTCTCAAACGCCTTTTGTTTGGGATCTTCTCTGCTTTACTCCCAATGATTCTCTATATTACTCAAGGACAGGATCGCCAAGCATTCCTTCAGAACTGTTTCTCCACTGGGTCCAGCGAATGCCCTGAATTCAAAGTCAACCACAAGGAGAAGGTTTTTGGTGGATAAATGTGAGGCTTTCCACTGGCTTGGGCCTCTTGCCATAGTTGAGGTGCTCTCTCGTTTTGTGCACTTTTTCTGGGTTCCAACCAAATGGTCTTATTAAATGTTAAAAAAAAAAATTGCAGTTGTGAGTGATATCAAATACAATCAATAAACCTGAAGGAAAAGAGATCCCAAGGCATTCACAAGACACTTTTAAGATTTAATTGTTCCACAGAATTTTAAGCAAGTAGTAATAAGAAACTAAATTGCATGAAACCAAATATTTTGCTCTAGGCTTCTAATTCATCTCACTTGCTGGTTCCCAAGGGCTGGTGCCAGCACTGTGCAGCCCGGGACTTTCCAGTACAGACAGGGATTGTGCTTCATGCAAGCTAAAGAACTTCCCTGTCTCTTTGAAATGCGGCAGTTGATCAAAGTCTTCCTTACGATGAAAACGCCTGGGATCAAGGACCTAGCTGGCTGAACAGGCTGAAAGATATATTTTACTAAATACAGGGCCCACTTTCTTGTTTATTTCTTAAAAGTGAAAGATCTTGAGGGTTTCTGGAAAAGTCATGGGGGAGGGGAATCTGGTACCAAGAATGAGAGCTGCATCCAGGCATTAGCAGGCACTGAGAAGCAGTGTCAGTTGCTCCAGGGAGGTGCAGCGCAGTCCTAGCAGCTGCAGAGTCTGGAAGCCTCAGGCTGCTTCCCTGTACTTCTCAAAGGTTGAGAGGACCTGTTAATGAGGCGTATCTGCTTCCTCTTGGCTAGACCACTTGGGATAGAAGGAATCCCTCAATTCCCTAAGAAAAGCCTGCCACAAACACTCTACAGACACACAGGCAAAGCACAGGCAAGAGCCCCTCCCCTCCTATCACAGTTCAAAGGATCTTTTGTCCGTTCTGACCAGGGATACCATATCACAAAACAAGAAGACACTTCACCATAGGGCTAGCAGCCGGGGGGCCATGTTTAGTACTGGCTGTGACTTTTAGAACTGTATTGCTCCCAGCACTCTGGGAGACTGAGGCAGAAGGATTGCTTGAGTCCGAGAGTTTGAGACCAGCCTGGGCAACATGGTGAAACCTCATCTCTGCAAAAAATACAAAAATTAGCTGGGCATGGTGGTGCACACCTGTAGTCCCAGCTACTTGGGAAGCTGAGGTGGGAGGATCACTTGAGCCCGGGAGGCAGAGGTGGAGGCTGCAGTGAGCTGTTATCATGCCATTGCATTCCAGTCTGGGTGACAGAGCAAGACCTTGTCAGAAAGAAGAAAAGAGAATAAAAAAAAAGAAAGAAAAGAGAAAGAAATGTATTGCTGCAGAGGTTTAGATGAGGGGAGATGGGCGGTTAGGGATGTGAGATTTGAGATTTGAGGAGCTGAGTGCTTGAGAATAGTAGGCAGTTGAGTCTGGTAAAACAAGCACAGGCTCTAGGGTTGAGAAGACTTTTACATCCTAATCTTGGGAAAGCTTACTTTCTCTAAGCCTCAGTTTCCTTATCTGTAAACAGAAACAGCAATAGTTCCTACTCCATAAAGACAGTGTGGTAGTAGTGAATAAAGAGCCCAAGCAAAGTAGCTTGGGCTATCCCTGGCACTTAGTAGGTGCTCAGTAAATAGTATATATTACTTTAATAATAATTCACAATTATGGGCTGGAATGCAATAGCATATAGAGGGAGGGCATCTGGCCCGGGGTTCAACGGTCTTGAGTGCATTAAAGGAAAGTGAGGGTCCAGTCTCCTGCCAAGAGGAGCCTCTGTGACTGAAGAGCCTCCCAGCCCCCACACCCCCCATGTAACTCTTCCCAGTGGGGCTTTTGCTTGAGTCCAAACTTGGTCTTGGCGCCTTTCCAGAGGCTCAATTCAAGAGAACATTATAGTAATAATATAGCTCCCTATTATACATCAGCATTTAGATAAAGAAGAAAAATGTCCTGTGGGTCTAAACCTAAAGTATTTCAGAAAATTGCTGCCACTAGGTGCTCAGAGATCCTGCCACGAAAACGAATGTACACGTTTCTGGTCAATACAACAATCATGCTGCAACTTCATAAAATTAACATAGATGGCTCCAAAATAACACAGCGGAATAGTGGACACCTCCGGCCTGTGGAGCACAGCAGCCCTTAGACAAGCCAGGCACCATCCCCAACCACCTGTGTGGCCTTGAGCAGAAGTACAGTTTGATGTGGAATTAGAAGAGAAGCTTGTGGAGCACTTCTCAGATTGCTTGGCACATAGTAAGTGCTTAAGCTCATGTCTGTAATCCCAGCACTGTGGAAGACCAAGGAAAGAGGATCACTTGAGGACAGGCATTCAAGATGAGCCTGAACAACAGAGAGAGATCCCAACTCTACAAAAAAATTAAAAATTAGCTGGGTGTGGTGGTGGGCACCTGTAGTCCCAGTTGCTCAGGAGGCTGAGGTGGAAGGATCGCTTGAGCCCAGGAGTTCAAGCCTGCAGTGAGCTATGATCATGCCACTGCACTCCAGCTTGGGTGACAGAGCAAGATCCTGCCTCTATTAAAAAAAAAAAAAAAAGATTGCTTTGTGTATTAGTCCATACTGTCTGAGGCTGGGTAATTTATAAACAAAGGAGGTTTAACTGACTTACAGTTCCACATGGCTGTGGAGGCCTCTAGAAACTTACAATCATGGTGGAAGGGGAAGCAGGCACAAGGCGGCAGGAGAGAGAGCAAGCAAGAGCAGGGAAAACTGCCTTATAAAACCATCAGGTCGCCTGTAATCCCAGCACTATGGGAGGCTGAGGCAGGCAGATCACGAGGTCAAGAGATTGAGACCATCCTGGCCAACATGGTGAAACCCTGTCTCTACTAAAAATACAAAAATTAGCTGGGTGTGGTAGTGGGTGTCAGTAGTCCCCGCTACTTGGGAGGCTGAGGCAGGAGAATCGCTTGAACCTGGGAGGCAGAGGTTGCAGTAAGTCGAGTTCGCGCCACTGCACTCCAGTCTGGCAATGGAGCAAGACTCCATCTACCAAAAAAAAAAACAGGTCTCGTGAGAACTCACTCACTACCGTGAGTATAATGCGGGGGAAACCCCATGATCCAATCACCTTCCTCCCTCAACATGTGGGGATTACAATTTGAGATGAGATTTGGGTGGGGACACAAAGCCAAACCATACCACTTTGTCACTGTTGTCCATTGTTATTATCATGACTGCTGTGGTCCCACTTCAAGAATATTGACATGTAAGCAAGCCTATATCAATAACAGACTTTTCAGCTCTAGAAAAAGAAACAAATAGGAGACACCACTGAGCAGGGGGATTCCATGAGCAGCATTACTGGATGTTCCTCCTTCTTCCCTGCCTTGGGATTTTGTCTGAAAGGTTTGATGTCACTGCAGAGTTGTACTTTGAAGTGTAGCACATTTCCAGTGCGATCATGATGTATTATGGTATAAATAATAAATTATAGGGGGCCTGGGTTTTGCAAGAACCCGGCGAAGCATCCTTCTACATACACACACACACACACACACACACACACACACACACACCCCACTTTGGTAAGTGCTGCTAGGACAAGAATTCCACAGAGGTTTCATTTAGAAATCATCCGCCCCCTAAGGCCACTCTCCACCCTAACTCCTTACACCGAGGTTCCGCACGATGAAGCTCCTGGATGACCTGACAAGGTCCAACCTGGGAGGGGTGCACTCTCCAGCACAGCCCAGGCTCTCAGCACCCAGCCAGAAAGCAGCTCCTCAGGCCCTCCCCTAAGTACTGCATGAAGCACAAAGCCCAAAGCCAGAGGCCCCTGCTCTCAGAGGGTCCACAATCATGCCAGAGAGGAAAGTGCACGATACAAGGCCAAGTGTATTTTAATACTGAAGAGGGCAGGCCATCTCCAAGTTCAGGCAGCATTTCTGTGCTGCTTAAAGCAGACAGGCAGGGTGCTAGAAAGCCTCTCTCCTAAAGCCAGTACTTTGTAATAATAGCACTGATGGATTCCAGTGGATTTTGAACTCAGTTATCCAGGGCTCACTTGTATCATGCCTGCATCTCTTACGCATCTGAGGAGCATGGCTGCGCTTGGCTAATTTAACATGGAGCATTCAACAAAGCCTGTTAGAAATGGGCCCCCCACAGGACCACCCATTAGGCTGCAGCCCGCAGCTGCCCTCCACCGCCCACCCCACAACTTGTGCTGAGTGAGTCGCTCCTCTCGTGCCCACCTCTGCTGTAACCTGTTCCCCAATGCCACCAGCCATTTTCCAGATCACTGAGGAGCTGATGACTTGTTCATGTCACATGATAGTGGTGCTTTCAGCTCCTGTTTTCATTGACTCCTGGTCTTCCAGGACAACTAGAAAGGAACAGATCTGTTTGCCAAGAGCCACGGCTTGGCTAGGTCCTTCCAACACCGGGATCCCTCCCGGATTTGCAGGTGGAAGGATGAATAACTTCAGAGAGAGCCTCGTGGGGTGGGAGGGGCTGGCAGGGGCGTGGGATTGCCACGTCTTCATTCCTTTGAGGATGAGAGAGTGAGAATTCCAGGCTGTGATTGTTGTCTCAGCTGTGGGAAGAAAAGAGGAGGGCCTCTCAGGCACCTGGATACACTGGCCTTCACATTTCAGAGCCGCCAGCCTGGGTCACAGGGGACCTGCCCCTCTTTCCCACCTACATGTTATTCCAGCCATAAATCCAAGTGACAAGCTTGAACTTTCCTCAATTGACATGTTTACAAGGGAAGTCCACATTTGACAGGAAAATTAAGCCTATCAATCACTTAACGAGCTCGTTAATGAATGGTTCTCTGATCTCCTCTGGTAGCTGGGTTTATTGATTAGGGAGGGGGCAGCCCAGCCCCCATCCCTTTCTCCCTATGCCCACCTCCCACCCATCCTTCCCTCTGCCAGATGTTGCTGCCCTCTGACCTCCCTCCACCACCCCCAGGCCCCCTCTCCTCCCTGAAGCTCGGCAGAGGGTTCTGGTTCAGGGTTTATCGGGAGGTCAGACCCCCTCCTAGCTCTGTTCTCTGACAGAACAAAGGGAACAGATGCAGGCTCCGGCCTGTAAGCACCCACCCAGCATATGGAAGCCATCTCCTTGGTCTCCGTAATTACCCAGGAGCTTGCTTCTTCAATGGCGTTGTTTTTTTATTGCTCAGAAACCAACCTATTCCCCAACATAAAACACTTTAATGGTGTCTCCCTCAGGGGTTTCTGGGAGAGGTCCTGTCAGGTATAAAATGTGCAGAACCCCTCTGACAGCCCACAGAGCCTTCCACAGTTAAAAGGGGGGACGGGGCCAGGGGAGGCGAGTTGCATGGTGGCAAATGGAGTCAGGGTCCTATTGCATTTGGAAGGCCCCATAGTGTTCCTGTAGAGCTTTCTAGAGTGTTATCAGTCAGGAAGAAGAGCTAGAACTGGTTAAAAACACAACCAGTCTCCTCCTGTTTCCAGCACACATGGAGGTAGGGCCTAAAGTGCAGGTCAGACACCAAGCATTGGTAGAGTAACTATTTTGTGTAAGAATAGATGATTAATGTCAATTACAAAAAAGCCTGCCACTTAGTATGCATTAAGTTAATAGAAGCAATACAGCTCTGATCTTGATGCTGTCTCCAGGGTGTCAGATCTTACAGGCTCACTGAAGGGTAGAAACTTGGAGATAGGAATTGAACAACAGAATAAGGGAGGAAATGAGCTTCTGGTTGGAAATGGATGGATCTCCAACCCAACAAACCCCTAAGCTCATGCCTCAAAAGTGAGATAATGGAGGCCTTCCTGGGTTTCTTCTCTGAAGTGTGTGCTGGGCCTCTTAGTGGAGGTTGGCAGAGCCTATGTGATCTGAACACAAGGATTAACTTCCTGGGGTGGCCACAACAAATTATTACAAACTGGGTGGCTGAAAACAACAGAAATTTATTCTCTCCCAGTTCTAGGGGCTAGAAGACTGGAATCAAGTTGTTGGCAGGACTTGTTTTCTCTGAAGGCTCCAGGGAGAATCCGTCCTCGCCTCTTCTCTCTGCCAAGGCTTCCAACAAGCCTTGGTGTCCTTGGCTGGTGGCCACCTCACTCCATCTCTGCCTCCGTTTTCCCACGGCCGTCCTCCCCACGTGTCTGTGAGTCCTCTCCTCTTCTTATATGAATACCAGTGATTAGATTCAGGGACCACCCTGATCCTGTATGACTTCAAATGCTTGCTGGCCTGTTTGTAAATATCATGTGGCTGGGGCAGCGGAACCCCTTTGACACGCCAGTGTTAGGCACCTAGAACATGGCACATTACAACTAATTACATCACCAAAGATCCTATTTCCCAGCAATGTCATATTCTGAGATTCTGAATGGACACAGATTTTCAGAAGATCGCTATTCAACCCGGTACAGAGGGCAGAACAATGGAGGAGAGAGAACACTCTGGACATTGGGGTGAAACGTTTGCTGGCCTCTTGGTGCAAGCTGGAGAAAGGCTGGAGCCTGGAGCCCTTCCAAAGAGCAGGAGGAAAGCCCGAGGAGTGAGGGAAGTGCTGAGGAAGACAGGAAAGGAATTGTACCCAGGTAAATTGCAAATACTAAAAAATATGGAGATGGCAATTTCAGTGTTTAAAATGTGCTCTGGGTAATTCCAAACAAATTTTAAGGCCATTTTCAGACCATAAAATTCTCCGGTCTAAATCAGGGACTCCCAGGCAGGCCAGGGTGCTCGGGCTGCAGACATCCCCCAGATGGCAACCGGCGGGTTTGGGAGGCTCCCACTAATCTGGCAAATGAGCGATGATTCTTCCCAATGATTGCAGAACGGCCCTTCTCAATTTCTGTAGGTACCTGATCTACTTACGGACTGATTTGCTGTACTTTTTCTTCTTTCTCTGGGGTTCTTTCCCAGAGGGTGGCTCAGTCACAGGAAACACAAAAATGACAAGCCTCACCCAATGACATGCCCCACCTTGTTAGCCAAAGGCTACTTCTCTGGGCCTCTACTTTCCAATCTCCTTCTAGCCAAGACAGCAAAGAGCAATGTGAAACCTGTTCGTAAGTATCATGTGGCTGGGGCAGTGGAACCGCTTTGACATGACAGCATTAAGCACCTAGAACATGGCACCTTGCAAAACTCCTGGGCTTCATGCTGTTCATCATCACTTCGGATGGCCTCTACCTGTGCTGCGGGGGGCATAAGAAGAGGGCCCAGGGCAGGGCAGGATCACATCAGAGCCTGAGGATACAAACATGCTCCACCTGAGTATCAAGAAATTGATTGTTTAGTAAGTTCCTATGTCATAAAAATAATTCTTGAGGATCAAGAGAAGGAGCCTAGTATTTGCATCAGATAGATCCTGTTCTTAAACCCAGCCCCATCACTTACTGGCTCAGCGAACTTGGGCTTTTATTTTATGTCTCAGAGCCTTAGTGTCCTCATAGGTAAAGTGAGAATTACAACAAATAATGTTTGTACTGTGCAGGCCAGACTAGGCCTCGATAAGGTGAATTCCCTTCTTTCCCTGCAGCTACCTGTGTTGAATACTCTACTTTATATGTGTAAATTGTCTCTATTTTCTCATGGGATGGAGTAGGTAGAAGAGCCAATGGCCACCTGGAGAATAGCTCATCAACATGTAACTGACTCTCCCTGCCATGGTGCAGTGATGGATTTCCTGGAACCATTGTACGTAAACCGGGTTTTGGAGAACTGAACTGCATTTCACAAGTTTGCCATGTCAGTGAGCCTTGTGCCATATCATTCCCTAAACACAGAAGCAGACAGCACTTCTTATATCTTGGATGTTGTATTAGTCAGGGTTCTCCAGACAGACAGAATCTATATATATGTGGAAGGGAGTTTATTAGGGAGAATTGACTCACACGATTACAAGGCGAAGTCCCATGATAGGCCATCTGCAAGCTGGGGAAAGAGAAAAGCTGATAGTGTCTCAGTCCAAGTCCTAAAGCTTCAAAACCAGGGAAGCCAACAGTGCAGCCTTTAGTCTATGGCTGAAGGCCCAAGAGCCGCTGGTGCAAGTCCCAGAGTCCAAAGGCCAAAGAACCTGGAGTCTGATGTCCAAGGGCAGGAGGGGAGGAAGCATCCAGCCCAGGGAGAAGAAAGAGAGCCAGAAGACCCAGCAAGCCAGCTTATCCCATCTGCTTCCACCTGCCTTGTTCCTGCCACGCTAGCGACTGACTGGATGGTGCCCACCCACACTGAGAGTGGGCCCTCCTCTCCCAGTCCACCGACCCAGATGTAATCTCCTCTGCCAGCACCCTCACAGACATACCCAAAAACAGTCCTTCACCAGCCATCCAGGCATCTCTCAGTCCAATCAAGTTGCCACCTAATATTCACCATCACTGATGCAAATTTTTCTTGTGTGCCTGAAAACTGAAGACGTGGTCCATGAAAAGATAGTTCAACACTGATCACAGTGGGTTCTGCTCAGAAATTTCCTCCAGGAGACCCCTTCCCCACTGCTGAGCTCAAGGAGGGCCTAAAGGGCATTTGCTCTAAGAGGCTTATGGCCACCTGGAGTAGGGTACAGCGCCGCCCCAAGTAGACCACGCTCCCGTTCATCCTCGCAGCCCCTGCTCCTGACCAGCTCCCTTCCCCTGAAGGCCTGGACTGGCCTCCCTCCTGCCTGATCTCTGGTTTCCAGTTTACTCCCACACCTCTCCACCCTATGCCTTCCACCACATCCCTGCTTCCAAAGGATTTCCTGTAAGCACAGGTCTGATGGTGACATGCAAGGCTCAAAATATACTCAATGATGCCCCATTGCCTACAGGATAAACACGAGCTCCTTAGGAAACATGGAAGAGTTTTCTCCACTTATCCCCAGGTGACCCCTATAGCTCAGCGTCGTGTCTCTCCCTAAACCCACCCACACAGCCATGTCACACTCATATCGCTATCATTTCACTCTGCAGTATGCTCTGCCTCCACCCCCTTCCTACCTTGCCCATGTTCACAGCTCCTTGTCTGCAGAGCTTCCCACATGCCCAGAAGGAAGTGATCACCTTCCTTCTGAACTCCGTGGGTTCATTTATTCTTCTCTGGTGACACCTAGACCATTAGTGACTTGTCTGTGTGGCTTTTCTCCTCGACTAGTCTATAAACTCCAGAAGGGCAGGGACCAAGTTATATTCATGTTTGTTTCCCCCTCAATACTCAGCAGGCTGGGGAGAGATGAAGTTTGTGAGCTCATGTATAAAGCAGAACCCCAGAAGACGAACAGAAATTTTGGTCATTTGAGATCTAAATGACTTAGAGAGGCAAAGAAAGGAATAACAGAGTCTGAGTCACACAGGAGAACACAGGGATTCTAGGGAGCCAGCAGAGCTGAGAGAAGCCCCGCCCAGCCCAAGGAAGGGAGCCTGGATTTGGATCTAAGAAGCAGGAATCCATTTGGGGAGAGCAAGTGAGATGAAAGGGTGATAAAATAGACCCCGGGCTGGGCATGCTGGCCACATGCCTATAATCCCAGAGGCTCAGACTCAGGAGTCCGAGGGAGGAAGATCCCTTGAGCCCAAGAGTTCAAGACCAGCCTGGGCAACAAAGCAAAACCTTGTCTCTACAAAAATAAAATTAGCCAGGAGCGGTGGTGCATGCCTGTAGTCCCAGCTACTCAGGAGGCTGGGGCAGGAGGACTACTTGAACCCAGGAGCTTAAGGCTGCAGCAAGCTAGGATCATGCCACTGCACTCCAGCCTGGGTGACAGAGTGAAATCTTATCTCAAAACAAAACAAAACAAATAAACCCAGGCATCCGATTCATCCTAGATATTTATAGACTAGCTCCTCTAAAATGAAGAAACAGTATGTAATCTCCCCAGCTCCCCACTCGTGCTCCTTCTGAGAGGCCATAAGTGAAAGGTCCCCAAGTAAGTCCACGCTCTCCCCGGCCTTTACCTATATCTCCCTCTCTTTCCTCAAATCTCTTTCTGTTTCTAGGCAACGGAGCTGCTGTCTGGTCTTTCTGCAAAAAGTCCATAATGCAGGTGCTGGACTGGGTGTGTCACGTTCCACCAGCACCGTGACACTGGAGCACAAGCAGAAGCAGCCCCTGAGGACCAGGAAGCCTCTCCATGGGCCTCCTGCAGCTCAGGACCCCCGCCCTGTTCTTGGGGAGACCGTCTCTCACTTGTTCTTTTCTCTTCCTCTTGAGCCCCTCTTTTTTTCTCCCCACCCTTTTTCCACCTTTCACCAAACAGATGTAACTATTTATTCCTTATGTCCTAGTTTTCCTGTAATTTCATAAAGTGCAAATTTGCTGTCCTGCTCCCAAATGCCGAGTCGGTGGTTTGTCATAACAGTCATCAGTAACTGTCGCTTTCTGCCGCGGGCTTAATTAACCCACTCTCTCATTAGCATGTCCGTGCACTTGTAAGGAATGAAAGCCTGATTATTTTCTACAACAGTCGCAGCCAATTACTGCATCCAAATGGAACCACATTAATCAAATCTTTAGTACGGTGGCAAATTCAGAGATATCAGATTGCAAAAGACTGCAAAACTAATATGTCACTGTCAGCGGGGCTGCGCAGGCATTTAGCGAATTGCATTAAATAGATGGCTTCGCTGAAACCGCATGAATTTAATATGTGATGGGATCTGGAAGCTATTAGTGTGACATGGCAAAGGAGTGGGAGCTTTGGCAGCTCTGGACTTTATCCATGAACTCAGGAAACTAATATGAAAACTTCTGTGTATGTGTGTGTGTGCACGTGTCTGTGCATGCGTGTGTGTGTGTGTGTGTGTGTGTATGCGCACACCCCAGCTTCAGTGCACGCATGCGCTTCCTGGGGTGTGTGCAACAAATAGGAAGTCTTATAGGTTGTAGAACAGCAACCACTGTTTTATTTGCTCAAGCTCAAATTAAAACAGAAGAAATGTAGAAGAGGACTGAGGTGACAGCAAGTATGGCCCTGATGAAGTACTTTCAACATCACTTGCAAAGCGGCCTCTCAGAAGTTCAGACCACAGGCTGCTGAGTCCCAGGGCAAGAGCATAGACTAGAAGCCAAGACTCCTGGTGTGGTCCTCGTTGCTGCCAGGCATAGGGCCATGGGACCCTGGGCTGCCACTGAACAGGCCTCAATTATTCTATCTGTAAAAGTGAAGAAAGGTCATTAGGATATAGCATACAGCTATATTAGTATTCAGCATATAGTATATAGTCCATAGTATATAGTATATAGCTGTTGACGGAAAGCAGCATTATTCTCAGAAAGCAGGAACTTTCTAAAGTGTCAATCAACGTGGATCCATTCACCTCCCTCTCTCCATCAGCTTAGTGCCTCCCCGGACTTCCCAGCCACTGTGCTCATTGAAGTGTTCACTCACCAGCACAGTGCCCACACTGCTGTAGAACTCTTACTGCGGAGATCAGGAAATACCAAGACACAAAGGATACCTCCTCCCCAATACAACTAAAAATAGTAGACTTGGGTTAGCTTTTAAGAAGGTCCTGCCCTAAATACACAACAAAAGAAAGGGATCTCTCTGTAAGGCTATTGAACTTGGGTTAATAAAGAAAGTGACTCTCCTGTAAGAAATAAATCCACTTATTTAGTAAGTAATGCTGATCATCAGAAAAGTTACGTCCACCTTAATGACTTGAGCTGCTCCCAAGAACCGTGACAGCCATAGCACTCAATCTTACATCAAGTACCTATGCACTTCTTAGGTGTCAGAAGGACTCACTTCACAGGTAAGAAGATAAAGGCAATTCCCTCACTATAATCACCACAACTTCATCATATATTTGTCCATTTTACTAGTATTTACAATTGCACACAGTGTGGTATAAGAGGTGGACTCATATACTTTATCTTGGAGTGGATTTGGAAAGGTTAGTAGTTGTTGTTGCTTTTAAAGGAAGAGAAGGGCCAGGTATGGTGGCTCATGCCTATAATCCCAGCACTTTGGGAGGCCAAGGAGGGAGATCTCTTGAAGCCGGGAGTTGGAGACCAGCCGGGACAACAGAGTGAGACCCTCTCTACAAAAAATATAAAACTTAGCCAGGCTTGGTGGTGTACACCTGTAGTCCTAGCTATTCAGTGAGCTTAGGTGGGATGATGGCTTGAGCTCCAGAGGTCAAGTTTGCTGTGAGCTATGATCACATCATTCTACTCCAGCCTAGGTGACAGAGAGAGACCCTGTCTCTAAAAAACAAATTAAATTAAAAACTGAAAAACAAAGGAAGGGAGATAGAGTGGGGGTGTACAATGAGACTTTATTTAGTGTGTACCTGAGTGCGTGTGTGTGTGTGTGTCTGTGTATGTGTATATGAGTGCATGTGTGTCTATGTGTGTACGTGAATGCATGTGTTTCTGTGTGTCTGTGTCTATGCGTGTGTGTGTGTGTGTGTGTGTGTGTGTGTGTAAAGGGAATCAAAGAGGAGCAAAGCCACAAAATTGAGTCAAACACTGGAGGGGAGAATTCAAGACTAGTAAAGAATGGCTTTTTAGACACCAACCCTTGTCACTGTATATACCAGTAACACGTATATCGTTAATGCTGTGTCTAGATCAGAGAACTGGAAGCTGAAAAGGCCTGAAGGCCACGTGAGTCTTCACACACTGCCTCCTGCACCTGCCAGCACCCAGAGGCATGGGCACACCATGGTTTCCAGGGAGGAGCTCTTGTGGGTTTTTTTTTTTATTTTTATGGATACATAATAGTTGTACATATATATGGGGTACATGTGATACTTGGATGTGAGTATACAATGTGTAATGATCCAGTCTTGGTAATTGGGATATCCATCACCTCAAATATTGATCATTTCTTTGTATTGGGTACATTCCAAATCTACTCTTTGAGTTATTTTGAAATATACAGTAAATTATTGTTAACTATAGTCTCCCTATTGTGTGGCTGATCACTAGATCTTACTGCTTCTATTTTTGCACCCGTTGATTGAGATGTTTACCAAAGATGAGTGGTGGTCAAGAAGGGTACCTCCCACTTTTGCTTCCACTTGCTCCAGGAAGGCTCTCACTCTCCGTGGCTCCAAAGGCACATTGGAGAGGTAATGTCTAGGCCAGGCCATTCAGCAAATAGAAGACAAGCAAAAACAACAGACCTTATCAGCGCCTCTCCTAACTCCCCTAGCCTGGGAAGCTCTGCCTCTGAGGCTCAGTGAGCCTGGATTTGCATGGAGGAAGGAGGAAGGGAAGGGAGGGAGCCACAAGGAGCCCAGGGCAGCTTGCCTGCTGCACAGGCAGCCAGGGAGAAAGTGACAACAGAGACAGATGAGCCCGGCAGCTAGGGCCTGCTCTTACACAAACTGCCTTCATCAGCAACTTGCCGCTACCATCAGTCAATCCTCTTGCAAAGGTACATTTGTACATTTCCTTTCCCAGTAACCCAATCTACCATCTCCTTTATGCATACATGCTCTGAGGTTTTTTAGGGGATGGCACTGGAGGTGGTGTACTCACCGGGAACCAATCTACCCAGCTATGTACTACAGCTGAATTTAAATATAGGAGGATTCCTTGCATTAGACCCAGTGAAAGAACACCAGCCAATCATTCCCTCTCATCCCCTCTCTTGTGTAAAAAAAAAAAAAAAGAGGATCAGCAATACAAGGAATTAAATGGACTCAAAATTATATATAGGTGGATATGTAGATAGAGACAGCCTATTATTAGAAATAATATGTAATTAATTAAGACATATACAGTTTTTCTGCAACTGTATAATCTCTAGATAATTTACCCAATTCATTTTAGTTCCAACAGAAATAGAACCAGAAGGGTTGTGGGGTGAAAGACAACTCTCTATTTATAACCTGCCTCCAAACACACAGCACACAACACACACACACACCTCTTACTAAATGTTTTTGGAATAGGTCCGATCCTGTTAACTTGCATTTTTAAAAAAAACTATTTGGTGATAATATTTTCTAATAATGAAAACCTTTTTCTGTTCCCAGACTACAAAGACAGATTTTTGAAGCTGACTGAGACAGGCATATTGGCAAAAACATGAACACAACACTCATTCATACAAACACAGACCTCCACACTCCCACGCAGCCACCCACCAAGCCCCACGTGCTCCATGTGCCCAAACAGAAACAAAAAGATACAAACATGCTGACATCACCAAAAAGCCTAGGATGTGTTTCCTACAGTGTTAACTGCTGTGTCCTGAATGTTTCCAATCTTGGAATTTTCTAGCATCCTTGGGCAGATGAAGAATTTCTGTGGGATTTCTCTGCTGACCAGGGGAAAGTAAGCATAGTTAGGTACGAAGAACTGAAATGGGAAGGGCAGGTTGACTGTGGCCCACCCTCCTCCTGTAGCCCAAATTCCCTGCAAAACACATCTGTCCTGAGCCCCATTCCCTCAGAACCCTGTGTTAGCTGACTGATTGCCTACCTAAACATGGTGAAACCCCATCTCTACTAAAAACACAAAAATTAGCCTGCATAGTGGCATGCTCCTGTAATCCCAGCTACTCGGGAGGCTGAGATAGGAGAATCCTTTGAAGCTGGGAGGTGGAGGTTGCAGTGAGCCAAGATCGTGCCATTGCACTCCAGCCTGGGCAACAAGAGCGAAACTCCATCTTAAAGAAAAAAAAAAGAAAAGAAAAAAGAAAAAAAGAGTTAAGAAGCTGTGCATAAGCATCCTACTGAGCACAAGGGCCTTATGCAGAGTGTGTTTTAATGCAAAAAGGAAATTTTCATAGCAGAGATTTTAAACCACATCAAAGGTCTTTGGGAGGAGATATTTTTGGTGGATGCTGCATCCCCTTCTGCATCTGTGGTCTCCACCATATAACTTCGCAGGGCTCTTCCCCACTTTGGATCCTATTTTTCCACTTCTTGGCTTGGCCATGTAATTTGCTTTGGCCAATAAACCATTAATATTTCCATTTGTTGTACCCTTGCTCTTTGGGCACTGCCATGAGAAGGACATGTCCAAGCTAGTCCACTAGTCGCAGGAGGAAGATTAGAGATGTTAGAGCAGAACCGAGGAGGCCTAGCCCCAGCTAACCCCAGAACTGCAGTGTGGTGACAATAAGTGATGGTTCTATTAAGCCACTCATTTGGGGTGTTTATTGCACAGTGTTTTTTGGCATTGGCTGACCATTGCAAGAGCCTTCTGGTATCTTTCAAAACATACCCCAAAGGTGGAGTTCACTGTCCTACAAGCATGATCAGCCTCAAAGAGCCCACCTCCTTCCGCAGTGGCATTCCACAGTGGAAAGAGACAGCAGGTAGCCAGCAGGCCCTGGGCATCCAGAGAGAGAGGGAGCTGGGGCAAGAGGATTTAACACAAGACAACCTTTGCATCTATATTTCTTGCTACAACCCTTACCCATGACCCACATGTAGCCAGAATCTAGGAACCTCATGTACCCGTCTCCCCAACCCCCGTTTACATGCATGGCTCCTGGAAACCATGCAAAACTGAGTCCAGGCCAGGTGAGTCACCCTTCTCACCACACCCCTCAGTGTATACCAGGAGCTAGGATCTTTCATCACTGGGTCCTGTTGTACCAGACCACACCTGCCTGTCCCTCAACACTACCCGCCTCGAGATAGAGACAGGACTAGGGCCAAGAAGAAAGAGAAGCTCAAGTTACAAAACCAAAATCTGACCTGAGATAAATCCCCTGGCCAGCCCTCCCTTAGGGGCATGGTGGAGGGGAATTGGGGGGTATGCAGAAATCCATCCAAGGTAACATCCTTGTGAAAGGCACACAGTGGGTTTCCTATAGCAGCAGTGGGATGCCCAGGAGAGGAGGGCCCTGTGGCACCTGGAGCACCAGCCCTGTCTTCCAGACTCAGCTCTCAGGGCATGCATCTGGCCTCAAACTCTTTTTCCTCAACACTTAGGGCCCCATCTGCACACACCAGCAGGGCAAGGGCAAGTCTTCATTAGGGACACTGGAGACTCAAGATGGTTTGTCTTCTCTGCTCTTTTAACTTAATTAACAATGTGATGGCAAAAGAGGGATAAGGGAGCTAGGGGTCCATGTTGGAGGGAAGAGGAGTCATTACCAAGCTCCTTTCAGCTGGAGCCCTTCCCGGTGGGCTAACCCCAGGGGCTAGCAGGTGCAGGGAGTCTGGCTCCTTCTTTCTACCCCACCCTCCTGGGCCACCATGAAAGGGATAAGGATTTTCTTTCTGGTGACTGAAGCCAGCTTCCCACCTTTCCCAAAGGGATGCAGCCACACCAGCGGTCAGCTTGGCACAAGACAAGCAGGGGCCATTCAAAAGATCAGGGCATTATTTGAGACGAGTCAGTCAAAATTGGACTCCAGTTAGCAGGGCAAGCCCAAGAATGGAAAGAAAGTGGCATTCAAAGGGACTTCAGAGGGACTGTTCCCCCTACTTATAGACTGAATGCTTGGATTCCCCCACAAAATGCATTTGTTGAACCTCCACTGTGGCTATATTAGGAGACGGGGTCTCTAAGGAAATAACTAAGGTTCAACGAGGTTAAAAGGGTGGGCACTGATCAAATAGAATTAGTGTCCTCATAAGAATAGACATGGAAGAGCTCACTCTCTCCCCCATAGGAGAAGCCAGCAAGAAGGCAGCCATCCACACGCCAGGAAGAGAGCCCTCACCAGGAACCCCATTTGCCCACACCTTGATCTTGGACATCCAGCCTTCAGAACTGTGAGAAACAAGTGTCTGTTGTTTAAGCCACCCAGTCTGAGGTATTTTGTTATGACAGCCCGAGCTGACTAATACACCCACACACCCCCAAATTCCATGTTTTGCTTTTTCTTTGCACTATCTCAACACCTGAATCCTTTAGCCCTTTGAGTTCCTTGTTTTGAACAGGCCAAAAAAGCTCCAGCAGCTCCCCTGCAAACTGCTTACAGGACCTTCAGAAATGGGATTTGTCCAATCTTGAATGAAAAAGCTAGAGGAAAACCTTGAAAATGAGTATGAGATTCTTAATGAGAAAACAAAGGGTGTGCTCTGGCAGAAGATATTGCAAGTTTGTCTAAAGATTGGCCAGACAGCACTTTCTAGAGCAATGAACACACCAGAGAGAAAGTTTCTTTAGAACAAATACTTGGAGAGAAACAGTCAGCATGGCCAAACCTGGCCAGAAACTCATCTGCAGTCTGTCTTGTGTGAAAAGTGTCAACTTGTCTTCAACAGAGTATGGTTTTGGTCTTTCTGTATGCTCTAAGATACAAGTGTCTTTAGATGACTCAACTAAATGAAGACTTTTTTTCCCAAAAAAAAAAAAATGTAATGAGTATTTACATGGCTTACAAGAGATGGATTCTGTGTTTTAATTTATACACTAGATTTTGTAACAAGGACATAACAATATTTTATAAACCAAAACATGCAAACTACTATCCACAGGCCAAGACCATTCCACTGTCAGTTTTTGCGTGACCCGTGAACTGAAAAATAGTTTTTCTATTTTTAAGTGGTTGGGAAAAATCAAAATAATATACTTTGTGACATGCAAAAATTATGTAAAAGTCACATTTCACTGTCCATAAATAAAGGTTTATTGGAACATAGCCCTGTTAGTTCATTCATGCTTTGGCTATGATTGTTTTTGCACTATCATGCAGTAATTGAATAGCTATGAAAAACACCAAGTATGAATAATCCTTTTCTAAGGCGAACAACTCTAGTTCACTTTGGCTCTTGCATTCTGTTAAAATAAGGTATCCCTGTATTTGTGACTCATTTTTCACTGTCCATAAATAAAGGTTTATTGGAACATAGCCCTGTTAGTTCATTCATGCTTTGGCTATGATTGTTTTTGCACTATCATGCAGTAATTGAATAGCTATGAAAAACACCAAGTATGAATAACCCTTTTCTAAGGTGAACAACTCTAGTTCACTTTGGCTCTTGCATTCTGTTAAAATAAGGTATCCCTGTATTTGTGACTCATTTCCCATCCACAGTGACTGGATAGTTTGGCTCTAACCTATTGGGAAAGAAGCTTGGGTGCAAAATCATTGTGTCTACTGTCTTTGCAGTAAAGATCAGCCCTGCGTTCCAGGTAGGGAGTGGAGAGGGAGTTCCTGGGTGGTCATTCACAAGAGCAGTAGTTGTTAAGTGAAATGCACCACCCATGCCTGCCTTCTTGAATGTCAAGAAAAGGAGTAACATCTGTTGAGACTGTTTGGAAATTCATCATGGTAGAATGGAAAACACACATGCTCTGTAGTCAAGCACATCTAAGTGCCTCTTCCATCACTTACTGTCTGCATGACCATAAATCAGTCTGTCTGAGCCTCAGTTTTCTCATCCACCAAATGAAAGTAACACCTGACTCATGGAGTTTTCCTGCTGATGATATAATGAGATGAGGTATGTGAACGAAGCACATGGTTTATTAAATGTGTCATGGCAGTTTCACTGTCTTGGGTGGTATGGGAAGGTAGATGAGAGTCCAGGCTCCAGGACAGACAGAATGGGTTCAGCTCTGCCACTTACCGGTTGTATGACCTCAGGCAAGCCACCCTGCCTGTCTGTGCTGTAGTTTCTTTCTTGGTGAAATGAACATGATAATGGATCTACTCTCTAAGTTGACTGTAAAGATTTAGTGAAGCAATTAGGAAGTGGTAGGCCCAGAAAGAGTGTTCAATAAATATCAGTTGTGATCATGACCTTTTGCTGGGGTTGCATAGATGATGCTCTGGTTAGCAGGAATACACTGGCCCTGAGTGGAGACTTCCAGCTCCCCCGACCCTGATACATCAAAACAAACTCACTTATCCAAAGGGACACTGCCCACCTTGACCACAAACCCTCAGGGTCTCCTTCAGGAGGTCAGACATTCACAAGACTTTCTTCTGGAACTAATGAATTGGCAGATAGGTAAGACCCAATAGAACTTCCTATTCTGTCTGCTCCTTGGACCCTTGGATTTGAAGAACAATGTCTAGGCAACTGAGCAGCTAGAGATTTACTGGTATTTAACTCAACTTCTGCCTGCCTGTGACCTTACCTAAGAGCAAATAAGAGAATATTTTGACCCTTACACCATCAGGACCAGTTTGACTTTCCCATACACTAAGTCATTCAGCTCTCTCTTTGTTCATGCTGTGCCACCTGCCAGAAATGTCATCCCCCATCTTCTACACCTGAGACAAAATGCTATTCATCTTTCAATCCTCAGCTTAAATAGTATCCTGCCCTAGAAACCTTCCCTCTTTCTTCTATAAGGCATCTCCTCCTCTCCTACAGAATTTTGTTCAGACTTTGATCCTACGGTAGTTTTCACATTGTGCTAAAGTTAAGGGAGTTTGTGTCTGTGTCCTTCATCTACTCAATGTGTCTTAAGAGCAGGGCCAATTTGTTCTTTGTTATCAATCTCAGCACCTAGCATAATGCCTGGCACATAATAAAGATGCATCAAACATTTGATGATTAAATGAACCCATGAATGAACAAAACATTTATTAGCAAGCAACTGGGAAGAATGTGAAGGCAATTTTTTAAAATTCAGTATGACCGAACATCTCTTGGGTACCACACAGGGACCAATGTGGTTTTAACATGCTTCCTTGAAACCTCATGCCTTCAAGATGGGTGTGTTGGCTATTTGGTTTTTGCTTCAGGTCCTCATTATCGGCTGCCCAAGTCACCTGGCACTTCCAACTTAGACCTGGAGCATTTCCCCATCATGCTCCCGTTAATGTAAATGATCTGTCATCTTGACCAGCAAGGTTAAAGCAAGGTACCTGCTAAAAGAAGGATATGAAGAGCCACAGAGTAGCATGGAGAGTTCAAGTATAATTGTTTTATATGAGAGGTCATGTTCACCTTGTGTCGGGCACTTGGGCTAACAGTTACCAATTAAAAGAGACAATACCATAAATTGTGCTAGCTTTTAAACCCCTGCTATGCCTCCCACTCCCCACCCCCTTTGATCTTAAAAACTTATCTAGACCTCTGAGAATGTGGACTCCTTTGAATTTCTTCTTTTGCCACACAGCACACACTGTGTTGGGTGTTTTTTCTGATTCTGCCAAGTGCTTCCCTAATAAGGTTCATCTGCAGACAGCCACCTGGGTCCACCCCAAAGGTGATGGGGTTTTGTTTTTGTTTTTGTTTTGCATTTCCTATCTTGAGAATAGGAAAAAAAAAAAAAAAAGCAACATAGCTGCAGTGTGCCTCTGGGCCAGAAGGGGGAGGCTGAAGGAAGTGGATTCCTGTAGGTCTGCAAAAAAAGTACATTATGGCGGGAGAAGGAGATGGTGAGGCGAGAGGGGTGGTTAGAAATGCAAAGGGGAGAAGAAAGAGGTGGTGAAATCAAAATAATTTTAATAAAATAATAATTGCAGCTATCATTTTAGTGTGCTCAGTGCTTTACATATGTAGCTGCATTTAATCCTCACAACAACTCCAGGAGGTAGGTACTAATATCCCCATTTTTCAGATGAGGAAATCAAAATGACAAAAAGGAAACCCTTCAAACTTCCAATTTGTACACTAATTTTCAGGCAGTTGGATTGCTGGGCTATAACCAAGGCAGTTCATAAGTAAATACTGGCGGCTTGAGTTTTTTTTTGTTGTTGTTTTTTTATTTTTAATGTTCACTATTCCAGGCCCCAGGTCAGTAACCGAATATGTGGGAAGCCTTAAAAATACCAATGAGAGCATTTGAAATAGCACAGCTGAAAACCACTACTTTTCACACTGGGCTCCATTCAGAGTTCAAGGTTGGACATTTCTCTCCCACACAAATTCAACAGAACAAGAAACCACAAGAATTGAGTGTTTTCCAAGTCTGAACTGGGGAATATGAACTTCAGAAAAAGGCATGAAGATAAATTTATTTGAAAGCACTTCTCTGAATACGTTTGCACCTCAGTTTCCTGGCTTCAAGGCCCTTGGATAGCCCTAGATATTTAACATAGACCAAATCACTGATGACATTCAGTAAATATTCAACAATATGCAGATTGTGGTCAATTTCCTGGTGGGGGTCTAACACTTGTTAGAATTTTCCAGATGGGCTGGGTGCGATGGCTCATGCCTGTAATCCCAGCACTTTGGGAGGCCGAGGCAGACAGATCATCTGAGGTCGGGAGTTCGAGACCAGCCTGACAAACATGAAGAAACCCCGTCTCTCCTAAAAATACAAAATTAGCCGGGCATGGTGGTGCATGCCTGTAATTCCAGCTACTCAGAAAGGCTGAAGCAGGAGAATTGCTTGAACCAGGGAGGCAGAGGTTGTGGCGAGCCAAGATTGCACCATTGCACTCCAGCCTGGGCAAAAAGAGTGAAACTTCGTCTCAAAAAAAAAAAGAAAAGAATTTTCCAGATGAATCACTTCTGTTTTATCCAGATTCCATACCATCACCAACTCCATATCTGCCCTCCCAATGAACTCCATGGATATTAGCTGATAGGTTAAACTTTCTTAGAATGTCCCAAACTGTAGTCATTTTTCAGTCTGATATATCTCTACTACCCGATTGCATGTACCCCTCCATCCAAGGTGTGTCCGACAAAGATTCTCATATGGTAAGGATGTATTCAGTGTTGCTGAAAGAAATAAATAAATGAACTTCAGCAAACTGTCTATCTCTGTATTTAGATTTGCTTTCAGCATGAGGATTTGGGATTTTTTTGGAGAGGGGGGATAGGAGTTTTTATCCTTTTTTCCCATTATATTTCAAATGAATTTGTCAAGAGGCTTAGAGTTTTATTTTTCCAACATGAATCACTGATGATCTAACAAATTAATTACCCATCCATCCTGCCTTAGTGGGTGAGGTCATGGGAGAACGGATGGGTTCAGCTGACCTCCCCTGGACTGTAGTGTCGTGGCCCCCATTTAAGAACTTGAGTTCAATGCCAAAATTGCCAGTTTAGGTTAGATTCAGACCTAAATGTATCTTATTATACACAGAGGCACACAAATGCAATATGTCATCTTTAATGGTTCAGAACAAAGCCTAAAAAAAATAGTGTCCTAGCACAGATGAATTTTATAACCTTTGATATATGGGTTTCATTATTAACAATAATTTCTGTAACTGCATCCAAATTCGGGAAGACACCCAATGAATATTAATTTTATTTTTGATTTATTTTCTCCTCCTGGTTGTTCCCTCTAGGGCAGACCTGCCTTCCCAGCGTCCCTTTGGCCCTGTGATCTTACATCCTCCAGAGTGAAATTCTCATAGTTCTGGGGACAGCCTGATTCCAGGAATATTGCACTTGAGGTTTTGCTATTCTGCTGGAAAATAAGGATTTTTTCCCCATTGCATTTTCTTACCTCTTTATATTTTACAAAGATTTCCCCCACACACCCTTTGTCATTATATTTAAACCTAATTGCAAGACAACTCTCCTCACCTAAGTCATCAACAAAGCCCAATTATTTCTAATGCATGCAGAAGGGGGAAAAAGTGCCAAACAATAAAAAGGCATGCAGTAACCTAAGCCTTTTTCACAGTCAGGCTTCAAGTTCACATGTGAATTTATGCCAGTTTTGACATTAGCCGAAAAAATTAACAGTTCTCAAAAATGAAACTCTCACAAAAGGGGTTTTGTGTTTCAAGCAGAATAAATTATAGTGTGATGTTATTAAAACACTTAGTTGTTAAGTTGCCAAGAAAATCCAGTATATTCACACAGACTCGAGGACCTGTCTCCATGCAAAGTAATTAAATTAGATTTATGGGCTGCATTACATCAGTGTTTGATAGTTCATTTTTCCTTTCTTCATATTTTGCCCTGCTTTGTTAGAGCATGTGACAGATGGTAAAAATAGTGTGAAGTTTCTTGGCCCTGTGCTAAATCCCCTTTCGGTAGTATATCTCTCTTCTGTCAGTTCTCCCCAGCGATGATAAATTAACCTCTCTCTTTGTATCCCAAGTGTGGCAGTAAAGCTCTCTTTGACACAGCACTATCACTTTATCTTAATCTGTGCTGTTTCGAGGGGAGAGGGAGATGATGCAATCGCTACCCTGAGTTTAAAGAGAAGATTTATTGTGTCAGAAAAAGAGAGGATGATTAATATAATATGCATCATTATATTTTTCATTTTGTCTCATTTGTCGTCTTCTTCTCTTGGAAGGCAAGGAGTTCGCCAGGGTGGGCCAACCTCTGGACCGCCTTTCACCTGGAGCCGGCTGAACCCGGGGGCTGGTAGGTTGGGGGAGGTCGGTTCCTTCTCTCTACCCCACCCCGCCCACCCCGCCCCTGGGCCACCATGGGAGGGGTGGGGTTTTTCTTTCTGGTGACTGAAGCCAGCTTCCCACCCTTCCCAAAGCGAGGCAGCCACACATGGGGTCAGCTTGGCATGGGACTCCCCTTTGGATGGAAGATATTCGAAAGGTCTCAGGGCACGATTTGAGGTGGGTCAGTCAAAATATGCCCTAAATCTAAATAGAACTTGGGGTCATCCAGCCCGCAAGAGACACTGTTGGCAGGACCAGAAGTAGTGCCATATATAATGTTTCTGCAGGAAGGGACATATTACTATGATTATTTCCCTCATTTATAATAAAGCTATATTCTCCTTAAGCTGCTCCTTGGCTATGAATTTCTTATATCTGGGAACTGACTTTATTCATTCTGCTCAATAAGCATTCATTAGTATCAATACGTAGCAGGCATCGGATGGATATAAAGGTGTCTAGAGGACCTATTCCTGCCCTCAGGAAGCTCACATTTCAACCAGCAGGCAGCCATTGGCCAACTGCGATGAGCATCTCTCCCTCCTGGGTCCTCCCAGCATGGAGGGTGCCGGGCCTGGGTTGGGCCCTGGGTTGGGCCCAGGGTGGGACCCTGAATCCCACTAAAGGAAGTTCCCCAAATTAAGGGTGCATTACAGATAAGATGGGCATAATTAGAAACCTAATGGGAAAGCGTCACTGAGAGCTGAAAGGGATTGTGGTTTATCTGTTTCACGAAGTGAGTAGTCACAAGCCAGTTTCTCTGCTTTCAAAATTGGGATTTTTCAAGAGTTACCGAAAGTGGGATACCTTATAGAATCCCAAACAACTGGAGTCTTTTCACCCAGTTTTCCTCACAGACTCTGAAAGAAGCAAATGGCAGGTGGCCTGTCCTAGCCATTCTCACTCACCTGTTGAATTCACTCTTTTTCTCCTTTCCTAGGACTGACCCCAACTCCCTCGCCACTCCAACCCTCCCACCCAGGAGGGGCACCAGCAGCCATGTCTGTGCTTACACAGTGCAACCCCACAGGTTCTCTCTCTCCCAGGAATTTGGAATTGAGGTAGAATAACAGCCAGTAGACTGGAAAATGAATGAGAGCACTCAAGATGCTGCGGGCAACTGAAGAAGTTAGCTCTGCAGAGGAATGAAGACAAGAGATGCCGTGAGAACTTCCTGGATCCAGACACAATTTTCCATGCACCACTGTCCTTGAGGCCCATGACATCCCTTTATATCCTTCAAATAAATTCCCCTTTTTTCTTAAAATAGATCAGATTGGTTTTTTTGCTCCCTACAACCAAAAGAGTCTTAAAACACCTCTACTTTCTACAACTCCCTAATACAGTGCTTCTATTCAAGTCAAGCTAATTTCTTTTGTTGTCCTGCAACCATGAGCCTTGCTCATTTCTACATTGTTACATTTGCTCCAGTTGATTATTTCACCGGAGATGCCCTCTCGATTCCCGTAACCTATCCTCCTCCCAACACAAGTGCCTCCTTCATCATGAAAACTGCTCCAGCCCTTCTGATAATCTCTCCCTTAGGTTTCTCCTTATATTCTCTGCCAAAAAATTTAGCAATCAATTGTATTTTGTCATGTACGCTGTACTGTAATGCTAATCTTGTCTCCGCAAAGAGATTGTGAGCTCCTTGCGGGCAACAACATGACTTCTAAGACTTTCTCATATCTCTTAGTACCAGCACTTGGTTTAACTGAAGCACCTTTCCCCAGATGAATCCATGACCATCCAGCAAAGCTGAATAGATGGAATGAAAGAAGAGGAGAACCTAAGTTTAGACAGAGCCAGAAGTGTTTCTTGGTTGCTGCTTCTCCCCAGCATGGTAGAGGTTCTTCACCATCTTGGACAGGGAATGGGACCCCATTTTCAGCAGGCTGAGAGAGGAAAAATACTGCCCTGGGATGTGGAAAAGGTGATGCCATTTGCAGGACAGCCAAATTTATTGCTGCCAGAAAAAGTAGGGTCAACTAGCAGAGATACGGGATGATGTGTATCAACCAAACTTTGGATGAACTAAGCATCCTTTCAACTTAATTTTGGAAATCTAAATATATGGAATGCATTAGCTGATTTTATTTTTGGCAGCAGACTTAACCATTCTAATCATGTTTTGCTCTAGAGAATTTTAAAATTAGTTTGCATTTCCTAAGCACACATCAGCTGGGTGAGGGCTGAGGGAGGGAAAAGAGGGAGAGGGAGATGCTAGGAGAAAGCTTGGTTAGGATTAAAACTTTCCTGGCAGATGCCTCATTAAGTGGATAATCCACATGCAGATATATGAAAGCTGACTAACATTGAGTCCTGGGGCCTAGGAGAATGTGGGAGCACAAACAGGCACCTGTCCACCAAGCCAAGATAATTATAAATATGATGCAGGAGGTAAAAAAAAAAAAAAAAGAAAGAAAAAAAAGAAAGAAAGAAAGAAGAAAAAAGAAGAAAGAAAGAAAGAAAGAAAGAAAGAAAGAAAGAAAGAAAGAAAGAAAGAAAGAAAGAAAGAAAGAAAAAGAGAAGAGCTATTTATTTACTGTTTGCATATTTTCTGGGAGAAGAACATAGCTGCAAAAACAAAATTTCTGAGTGATAGTAAATTTACTCTACTATTTGTAGAGTTGGTCAATATGTTATTAACCAACATGGTGGCAATATTAAATGACAGTGAAATCCTGGCATCCTCTCAGGGTTCAGTGTGCTTTGCAAGCATCCTTTCTTTCTTTATCCTCAGCTGGATGTGGGAGGTGATATGGTCTCCACTTCTTAGGAAAGGTGTACAAAGGCTTTTCCAAAATTCATCCTCACCCTCAAAGATATAATCATCATAGTGATTACAATTTGTGGGATCCCCTACTATGTGCTAGAAAATTACACATTATATATGACATCTTCACCACAACCCTGCAAGTTTGGTTGAATAGATATTCCCACTTCACAGATGAGAAACAGAGTCACAACATGGTTAAATAAATTTGATGCACTCACACAGCCAGAAAGTGGCTCAGCTGAAATTGCAACCCAAGGTTCTGTTCCCAGAACCTGCGTTTATTTGACAATGCCACCTCTCAAGAAATACAAGACCATGCTTCAGACTGAAGAGTGAATCACTAACAGCTCACTGTCCAATCCCCTTCTAGGTGAGGTGGGGGTTGAAGAATGCTGGGGATGGCACACCACCCAGGGCTCCTGGGACTTTTGTACTAGTCTTAGCCAAACTGCCCTGGGTTGTCAAAAAATACTGCCCTCGATGGGCCACTGTCCCTTGATGGGAGCACAGCTCTCTGGGATCCAACAAAGGGCTGATGGAGTCCAGGCATGCACAGAGCTGTTCTGGCCTTGAGCCTGAGAGCCACCACTGCCCTTGCTCAGTAGCCAGTTTGGAGAGAAAAAAGGAAATATGCAAGTTAAGACACTCTGGCCTTTGTCTCCATTAGATTCTGCCTTAACAGACAGGCTTTGGGAATCTGTAAGCCAATGGTGGGCAGAAGTTGCTGGAGGACTGAGAAAAGATAGTCAAAGGGGCTCATAAAGGCAGAAGATCCTTTAAAGAAATTATACATGATAAAACCAACATTAAATTAAGGACTATTTAAAAGAAAAAGGCAGTAGCTGTATCAGTCAGGTTCTCCAGAAAAACAGAACCAACAGAAGGTAAGTGTGTGTGTGTGTGTGTGTGTGTGTGTGTAATATATACATATACATATGAAATAAAGATGTTTATTTTAAGGAACTGGCTCACACAAGTCCAAAATCCAAAGACAGCCCAGGAGGCTGCAGCAGGAGCTGATGCTGTAGTCTTTGAAAAAAAATTTTAGATTCAGGGAGTACATGTGCAGGTTTGTTACAAGAGCATACTGCCTGATGCTGAAGTTTGGGCTTCTATTGGTCCCATCACTCAGATAGTGAACAGAGTACCCAATAGGGAGTTTTTCAACCCTTGTCCCCCTCCCTTCTTCCCCCTTTTGGAGTCCTATCTTTATGTCCATGTGTACTCAATGTTTAGCTCTCACTTATAGGTGAGAATATGTGATATTTTGTTTTCTGTTTCTGCATTAATTCACTTAGGAAAACGGCCTTCATCTGCATCCACGTCGATGCAAAAGACATGGTTTCATTCTTTTTTATGGCTGTGTAGTATTTTATGGTGTACATGTACCACATTTTCTTTATCCAATCCACCATTGGTAGGCACCTGGGTTCATTCTATGTCTTTGCTATTGTGACTAGTGCTGATGCTACAGCCTTCAGGGAGAATTTCTTATTCAGGAAACCTCAGTGTCTTCCCTTAAGGCCTTCCAGCTGATTGGATGAGGCCCACCCGCATTACCCAGGGACCTCTCCTTTACATAAGATCAACTGATGGAAGATGTCAACCACATCTACAAAATACCTGCACAGCAATATCTAGATTAATGTTTAACTAAATCATTGGGACTATAACCTGGCCAAGTTGAAATAAAACTGAATATCATATTAGGATTACCCTAACACAATTATTTTCACTCTTTTGTGTTCTCTACTAATAATTACGTATTTTACATAGTTATAAAAACTATATTACAAGAATTTACTACTTTTATTATACATATAATACATGTTCATTATAGAAAATTTGTATACATAAAAATTTGCCATTCTAATTTCTTAGGTAAGTTGTAAACCCTTTTTCATGTTTATAAGGCTATCTCCTCCATGGGATTACAGGAACCATAAGAACAGAGGCCAAGGTCCCATCTGTGTTTTTATGCCTGTCATTAATTATGGTGCCTGGCATATGTTAGGTGCTCAATATATATTGTTTAAAAGAATGGGTTTTCTTTTTTTAAATATATTTTCCACCTTTTATTTCCATCGGTATCATCCATTTAAAAAGAATAACAGGAAGATTCCCATCAGTCTAAACTGGACCACCCATGCTTTATGAAAAAGTTGGAGCATTTCAGCCGGCCCCACATGACCCACCCTGCCTTCAGTTAGAGGAGCTTCTAGTGCCTTCTGGAAGGGAGGAAAAGTCTCGGATCCACCTGGCACTCAATCCACTCAGCACTTGGCTGCTGCTGCCGTCCTGGGGCCGGAGGGAACTCCCACTGAATGCACTTCTACAGAGGAGTGTGTGGTGCAGTGAGGATGGTTACTGCTGGAGCCAACACACAGTGAACTACATACTTTTAGAAAGAGCCTCTGTCACATAGATAGAACCAAAAGAAAACCCAGAAAAAACCTTGAGAAAATATATTTAAATCTCTGATAGGTCTCTTAGCTAGCAGTGAGTTCAGTATGACAGCATAGAGTCTAAAAATATTAATTAAAAATAAGTTGCTTTGGTTAGCATTTAATCCTTCCCCAAGAATGGGTTTTCTTATGTAACACCAACACTAATTATTTGTGATAAATACATAAGAGTCTAAGTAATATACTAAAATTATCCTAGTTCATCACCTATTATTAAACATTCAGGTTCTTTTCAGGTGTGGTTTTGGGGGTTTTTTTCTGTGAAAAGTTTTACTGCTAGAGACTTCTTTTTCAAATAGAATTTTCTCTTATTTGAATAATTCAAAAAAACTTATTTACACGTTTTCCCTTGGGGCATGTTGGCCTTAAATGATCACACTGATTAGTCAAACTACTAATTAATTTAGAAGAGAGTATAAGTCAAAATGATTGTTTGGCAGATCCATTAAGACTTGAACAATAGCCTCATAATAATAGCTAGTAATATGTAGCTCTTTACAAAACTGCCCCAAGCCAAAACTGAGCTTTGTTAAGCATGGTCCCATAACTTCCCTCTATAATAATGGGGCTGGAAGTCTGAAAACTACATTTCCCAGATCTCTTTGGCAGTTGGCTTCCAGTTAAGTTTTGTCTAACTGGCAGGAAAATCAAGACAAGAGAGGAAGGGAGATGTCTTTGTTTCTCTCTCTCTCTCTCTCTCTCTTTCTCTCTCTGTCTCTCTCTCTTCTCCTGCTTCTCTCCTTTCTTCTTCTGATAGTGTTTCTTCCACCATCTCAGCTTTTTACTTCTTTTGAGACAGGGTCTTGGTCTGTCACTCAGGCTGGAGTGCAGTGGTGTGATCATGGCTCACTGAAGCCTCAACCTCCCCAGGCTCTAGTGATCTTCCCATCTCAGCCTCCCAAGTAGCTGGCACTACAGGCACACATCACCACCATCACGCTTTTGAGGCTGTAATCCACTTTCTGTGCTCTTAGGTTCTGGAAACCCCATCACCATTCTTTTGTTCCTCCAGCCCTAGATAATATCTGATTTACCTTAATTTCCCCTTTTTTGCTCTTTGACTGTCTAAGATCGTTGTAGCCTATTGCCTGTATTAAATATCCTCTGTATGAAATACATAGGTTGGTTTCTTTTTCTGACTAGACTGTGATTGATACAATAAAAACAAAATTTTTTAATGAGGAATTGCTCATCTTACTTGGTTTTTGCCCACTTTGGTCTCCAAAATCTAGACTTTTGAAGTCAATCAGGGTACACTCATCCAAAATATCCCTGTATCACTGTATTGATTGTGTTTTTGTATTTTTTACATTTTGTGATGTTTTGACATCTTAAAAAGCTTTCTGACCAAGGGGAGACTGTTCCTTCCTGGCCAGTCCCTTCTTAGTCTCAGTAAAAGACTCAGCAAGGAGTATGTTTCTTATGTACAAACAAACCAATCCCACATCTCTAGCCTCAACCACCTCCTTCTATAACTCTCACATATCAAGCCAATATTTCCTCTGTCCTAAATCATCCCAGTGCCAGGTACCAGGCAACTAGAGACCACTGCTATAGCTCAAAGCCCACCAGAATTATTCAAACTAGTCAGCCCTAATCTGTCCACTCTGCCCTGCCTTGCGTTTCCCGCAGAAACCCCAGCTCTATCTCAGGCTCTCCCCGCACTCTTGTCTTCTGCCACCTGACCCAAACCTGGTGCTTCTCCTGTGGCCCAGTATGGCATGTGGCGAATTCCTCTCTGGGATCTGTGAGTATAATCAACTTTTTCTTTTCAAGCTTTATTCTCATTCCCTCTTGCGGTCATGCCAACTTTACCACACCATAGCCCACATGAACATTCTTAGAATAATAACAGTGTTTCCTAAGCTCTATTCCTCATATTATTTGTGTCCAGAAGGATTTTAATAGGTGCTCATTAAAAAAAAAGGTTTCATAGTTAGGCCAGGCACAGTGGCTCACGCCTGTAATCCCAACACCTTGGGAGGCCAAGGAGGGTGGATCACTTGAGGTCAGGAGTTCAAGACCAGCCTGGCCAACATGGTGAAACCCCGTCTCTACTAAAAATACAAAAATTAGCTGGTCATGGTGGCAGGTGGCTATAATCCCAGCTACTTTGGAGGCTGAGGCAGGAGAGTCACTTGAACCCAGGAGGCAGATGTTGCAGTGAGCCAAGACCGCACCACTGCACTCCAGCATGGGCGAAAATAGTTAAATGAATTTGGGGCATGCTGGGTTAAAGTTCAACAAGCTTCTTCACTGAAGGACTTCTCAGAGCCTTTAATATACAAATGTGCATTTTGAATCTCCAAGAGTGTTTCCCAATTTTTTTAACCAACTAGTCTTTTATCACACAAAGTACAGTTATATATCTAGAGATGATAGCCTTTCAAGGAACACTATTTGGGAAGTGCTAGTCTACAGTAATATTTCAAAAATTATTTTAGTGTCTGTATGAAGAAGATATTAAGAGGTTAAGAATGGCTAAAGTCATATTTTGTATAAAAATCAAAGAGTACCAAAATATTGATATGCATCTGACTATACAGATTACAGAATTATTATATGTCTTCAGCTGCTCTTCTTTAGGGATGTGGCAATAACCTTTATTCCACCAGCTAAGGGAATGGTTATGGTCCAGGAAAAATGTTCTTCTGCTTTTATTCCTTGCTGTCAGGCTAGAATGTCAAGCCTCTTATTACAAGAACACTGTTACTAAATCTCAGCCTTTGCTTATTCCCTGTGAATATGGCAGTCTTTAAGTAGAAAATAGTTATCATTCTACTTCGTTTTCTTTCTTTTCTCAGGAGATTAAAAAGGGATTAGCTGTAAGAATATAAGCGGAACCTTAAAAGGAAGTTCATGGAAACCCACAAAGTAGAACACTAGCTCAGCAAGGCCTCATAAGAACTGGAATAGAGAACTCAAAGGCATCGTGAACTAAGTGTGTGCCCTCTTCTCCTCCTTCTCTCTGTCTCTGTCTCTATCTTCCTCTGTGCCTCTCTCCCTCCCTCCTCATGCCATATCTACTTCTTTCAGAGGTTGCTGCCTTGTTTTCCCCTCCCCACTGCCTGGGCTCTGTTTAACCTCAGCATGAACATGGATCACAGGGGCTGTCCCTGTCTCAACTGGCACAATTGCCACCTGCGGTCCCCAAGGGCCCCATCTCTCAGTTTTATCACTGCATGATTTCTATGGGCAGTTTCACTTCCTCCTGTGCTCAGCAAAACGCTGACTGTGAGCTGTGTGATAATAAAACTCTCCTTCTCGAACCTGAAGTTTGCATTTTCTCTCTGAGGAAAAGTATTCTGAATACTGGATAATGGGAGGAGGGTTTTAAATCTCTTTTTGCAAAAACAGAATTTTCCTTCCTTCCTAACAAAAGTTGGCTTAAAGTCCAAAATTATAAAGGCTTCTTGTTGACATGATCTGTCCCTGCTTCACCCCTTCCCCAACCTTAGACTCTCTAAGGCTCCCCCTCAGTCTTTCTGGCCCACCTACCACAGCCTTGCTGCATTCTCTTAGATTTGCACATTTACATATTCTGCCCTTTCTACCTGGAACTCACTCTCCCTTTTCACCTGGTTAATTCCGACTCATCCTTGAGATCTCAACTCTGTTGTCACTCCCCTAGGGAAGCTCTGCCTGACCCCCCTAATCATCTCATCATCAAACCCAGTCTGAAATTGGTTGGTGTGGTTATTGTACAAATTCCTTTCTTACTTATTAGTATGTGAGTCCAGAGGCCATGTCTGGTTTTGTCCATTATTGTATCCCCTGCATCAGATAGCAGAGAGCACCTGGTGGGCTTTAATAAAAATTTGATTGAATCCATTCTGTTCCTTAGTAATCATATGGTTCATCTTTAAGCTCTTTAACTAGTCTCATATAAAACAATTTTGGGCTGGGTACAGTGGCTCATGCCTGTAATCCCAGCACTTTGGGAAGCCGAGGCAGAAAGATCACTTGAAACCAGAAGTTTAAGACCAGCATGGGCAGCATAGCAAGATCCTATTTTTACACACACACACACACACACACACACACACACACACACACACATACACAATGTTAATTAGCTGAGCATCATAGCATGTGCCTGTACTCCTAGCTCTTTGGGAAGCTGAGGCGGGAGGATTGTCCAGGAGTTCAAGGCTGCAGTGAGCTATGATCACGCCATTCACTGCACTCCACACTAAGCAACAGAGTGAGACCCTATCAAAAAAAAAAAAAAAAAAAACTGTCCTTGTTTTATAATTTCCTATTCTTCTTTCATGCATATAATGCCCTCTTTTATCTATTTAAAGATATTAAATATAATTGCTTTTCTTTTAAAGGCCTGTGCTGATGGCTCTATTATCTATGTTTCCTTGATTATAAGAACTTGTCTTGTTTATTTCATTTTAATGGGTTTCCTCAGATGTTTGGCAATTTTTCATTGAGTGTTCATGTTCTCTGGCAGAAGATTTTCACATGTGGCCTGTGAGGCAGCTTTCCGCTGTAGTCTCAGGACAGAGTCACTGTTTACTCACTTCACGCTTAAAATTTTGTAACATTTTTCTCTAACACGGTTTACTTCAGTTTGTCTTGACAAAAACTCTAGATGGTAGACAGAGCATGTAATATCATTATCTTTATTTTACAACTAAATAAAATTCTGAGAAATTGTGTCTTCCCCAAAATGATGCGGTTGATATAATATCAGAGCCAAACTCAGACTCAACCATCTGAGTGCCTATCCCAGCATCATCACACCACACCACAGCTGCCCATGCAGTTGATATAATATCAGAGCCAAACTCAGACTCAACCATCTGAGTGCCTATCCCAGCATCATCACACCACACCACAGCTGCCCATGCAGTTGATATAATATCAGAGCCAAACTCAGACTCAACCATCTGAGTGCCTATCCCAGCATCATCACACCACACCACAGCTGCCCATGCAGTTGATATAATATCAGAGCCAAACTCAGACTCAACCATCTGAGTGCCTATCCCAGCATCATCACACCACACCACAGCTGCCCCTCACGTGGGTCTGCTCAGAGGTCAGCATTATCGTCAGCGTTTCCAGTTCCAAGCGACAAAAACCCAGCCCACGCTGTTCACTTGTGTTTAGGAACTTGTGTGTTTCGTTTATTTCATTTTGATGGCTTTCCTCAGATGTTTGGTGATTTTTCATTGAGTGTTCATCTTCTAACAGAAGCAAGCAAGAAAGAAAGGTAAACAACTTAAGGACGGTAGAACTCGGCCTTGACAATGGCTGGACCCAGGGACCTTCAGGCTCTCAGGATTCTCCTTCTCCATCTCCTGACTCTGCTTCTCTGTGTGCTGGCTCCCTTCTCTCCTTCTGCAGGATGTATTCTTTACATGGTGGAGGACAGGACTTCCAGAATCCCTGGATCCACATCCCAACAGCTCTGCCTACCCACCACCTTCATCCCGTTCCCCAGAAGAAAAGAGAGAATTTTTCTCTCCTACCTTCAGTTTCTAAAATCCTCAAGAAGGACTCAGGTTGGGCCAGCTTACCTGCCTGACCCTCCCCGCTGGACCAGCCACTACAGTCACGGAGATAATCATCATTGGCCTGATCTAGGTTATGGGATCCCCTCTGGGGCTGGAGAGCAGGGCCTAAATGTCAGCCCACCAACAAAATTACAAATAACTTCTCAAAAGGAGAGTACTACTGTTCTACCCTTATTACAGGAAGCCATCTAGTAGGGCTTGTGGTGAATGGCTGCCCTGTAAGGTATGCACATACAAGAACATTGGTTAGCAAAAGATATGGAGACATAGTTGTATGTTATGAACACTGGCCATGCTTCAACCTAATGTGGTGAACAGCATCTGGACTTAGGAGTCAGATAGATTCCAGGTTCAAATCCTGAAGCTGTTGTTTAAGAGCTGTGTGACCTTAGACAATATACTTAACAAGAACACTAGAATATTTGTTATTCCCTTGGGCAATATATTTAAGTTGGCAGATAATAAGCACTCAGTGGTTGCAACTATATCTCTCTAACAGCTGTACTAAGTGTATTTCCTTCTCAACTGTCCAGAAAGCAGGGATTCTCAGCCAGGATTTTGTAGAAGCTCCAGGAAAATCTTCACTTACTTCAAAATTTGTCACAAGCATCTCAAAATAATTTTTAATAAAAATCAGTTTTGTTCCTTTCACTTAGAAAGTAATTCTATTCATGAAGTTCTTTAGGAAAAGGAAGGCATGACACCAAATAAACAGAATCAAGCAACCAAAAAGGGATTTTATGGGCTGAACTGGATTGCCCCAAAATTTATATGTTGAAGCCCTAATACACAGTACCTCAGGATGTGACTGTATTTGAAGTTAGGGCCTTACAATATGTAATTAAGTTTAAATGAGGTCGTATGGGTACACTTCAATCCAATAGAACTAGTGTCACTATAAGATAAGAAAGAGTCCCCAGGGGCACACATGCAGAGGGACAGTCACATGAAGAGACAGCAAGAGGACACCCATCTGAAAACCAAGGAGAGAGGCTTCAGAGGAAACCCAACTCTGTCGTCACCTTGATCTTGGACTTCCAGCCTCCAGAATTACAGGAAAATGAATTTCTGTTGTTTAAGCCAACCAATGTGTGGTATTTTGTTATGATAGCCCAAGCTGACTAACTCATGGGTATCACAACTCTACAAAAAAAAAAAATGTAGGAGTCACTACCTTTGCTCAAGAAGGCCATCTCTATGCAAACTCTGTCACCTTGAAGCCAGATTCTGCCCTTCGCTACCCACCAAACCCATTTCGAATTCTTCAGTTGCAGAAAAAATTACAATAGCAGGCTACCTAAGCTACATGTGGCTTCCTCCATCCACAGCCAGGTGGCTTCAGAACAGCTCCTTTTCAACTCTTCTTGTCCTCGCCTTGTCTTTTCAACACCCATAGAGGTCTTTCCCTACAATGTCATGGCCAAGGAATTGCCCTTCAGGTACCAGGCCCAAGTCTCTTTACCAAGCTCTAGCAAGCTGCTGCTGTGCCATCAAGAGCCCCGGTGTCTTGAGAAATGTAACTCAGGGTTGCTGCTCTTCCGTTTGCTCATTTAATTCTCCTAGAGGTGAGTAATTTGAAAACAATGCAATTACTTGGTGCTTCTGTGTGTGTTTTACATCCATTCAACTTGAGTGACGTGAACTGAATTGACAGCTTCTGCCGGGTACATACAGATGAGTGGTGTACCCACTCACCATGCACCCCAGGAGGAGGAGCTGCCAGCCCTTGGGCAGGGGCAAAGCAGATTTGCTCCCCTGTCACATCCTACTTTCATTAGGATGGAACTCTGAAGTGTCAGCTTCTGTTTACAAATCTGTAAAATGGGGATAATAGTATTTCTTTTAGGCCGGGTGCAGTAGCGCATACCTTTAATCCCAATATTTTGGAAGTCCAAGGCAGGAGGATCACTTGAGCCCGGGAGTTCAAGACCAGCCTGGGCAACATAGCGAGACCCATCTTTACAAATAAATAAATGAATAAATAATATTTATTTTATACAATTGTTATGAGGACTAAATAAATATGTGAGAGACCTAGCAAACCTAATGTTTAATACAAACCAATTCACTTCCCATCAGTTTCTTCATCTGACAAAAAAAAGAAGAAAACAAAAAGGAAAAGAATAAACCCCCCACCATTGCAAAACGATCCAATGACGTCATATGCGGGAGATATGTATATGCATAATATCATCTGCATGGAAAGTCTAATGGTGATCACTTTTATTTATGTAATCAATAGACAGCACTTACCACATAGCACTTACCATGTGCCAAACGCTGTTCAAAGCACTTTATAAACATGAATTAATTTAATTCCTACAACAACCTTGAGGTGGCTCCTAATCTTAGACCATTTTTACAGATGAGGAATCCTGCACGGAGAAGTCAAGTGATTTTCCCAAGGTCACATGGCTAGTAAAAGGCAGAGCCAGGATCCAAGCACAGTCCCAGAAAGTTTCCACGTGCAGACATGTGACTGCCTAACCCCATTGTCTAAGTCCCGCTGGGAGGTCTGGAGGTGAAGGCTGCTTCTTTGAGGAGGGTCTTCTGCTTCCTCTCCTGGTCTTCTCCAGGCACTGCTGAGGAATCTGCAAGGAGAAACCATGACCCTGTCAGTGTCCTCAGCTGGGCTGCCATGAAACCACAGCAAGATGGGCTACTAGGGCCACAGCAGGGGAGAACAGGAGAGGGAAAAGTTGGGTGTGCCACCTGCCAACCCTGCCATCAGTCAGAGACCCTTTCTCTCTTCCCTTCTCAGCCCAAGCTCAGCTTTCAGGCACCCACTGGGGCCTCTCAGCCCCGAACCATAACTAAACAGCACCACATTTGTCACAGGCAGGGAGATCATTGCTTCTTGTTGTTGCTCAAGACTGTTTTCCCCAGGCCTTTTTTCTACCAGTCAGCATGCAAGAAAGAAGGGCAGAGTGGGAATAGCTGCTGTTATTCCACGTACTACTTCCCTCCCTCTGTGCAAAGGTGTGAGCACCCATATGCACAGAGGGCTTCACATCTGCAAGAAGAGAAACGAACACAAGAGGAGCACCAGGGCAGCACAACTGAAAGGGTGCTGGAGTTGAAGTCCGATTTCTTTTACTGGTTTGTTTATTCATTCACTCTGCAAAGATCTACTGAGTCTACGTAGTGCCAGGCCCTCCTCTCAACCTTACAAGTGTGGCAGTCAACAAGATACAGCCCTTGCCTTCCTAGAGTTTATCATTCTTAAACAAATAAGGGAATCTCAGAGAGCAATGAGCACTACACAGAAAATAAAGCAGGCCAGGTGTGAGTGGTGTCTCATGCCTGTAATCCCAGCTACTTAGGAGGCTGAGGCAGGAGGATCAATTGAACCCAGGAGTTCAAGGCCAGCCTAAGCAATACAGCAAGACTTCATCTCTAAAAGTAAAGTCTGTGTGTGTGTGTGTGTGTGTGTGTGTGTGTTTGTTTTGTTTTTTGTTATTTTTTTTTTAAAGGAAAGAAAAGAAAGCAGAGCATTGGCTAGGTGCGGTAGCTCATGCCTGTAATCCCAGCTCTTTGGGAGGCTGAGGCTGGTGGATCACTTGAGGTCAGGAGTTCAAAAGCCAGCCTGGCCAACATGGCAAAACCCTGTCTTTACTAAAATTACAAAAATAATTAGCCCGGCATGGTGATGGGTGCCTGTAATCCCAGCTACCCGGAAGGCTGAGACAGGAGAACTGTTTGAACCCGGGAGGCAGAGGTTGCAGGGAGCCAAGATCATGCCACTGTACTCCAGCCTGGGCAACAGAGCAAGACTCCTACAAAAAAAAAAAAAAAAAAAAAAAAAAAAAACAGAAAGCAGAACATTGAGACAGAGAGTGACTGAGGAGTTGCTAGGTGCAGCCACCTGAAGACCTAGAAAGAAGAGTGTGTCAGGCAGAGGTAACTCCAAGTGCAAAGACCCTGGGCTGGAAGCGCTAAGTATGTTCGAGAGATACTGTGGTTAGTGTAATTGTAGTTTAATAAACAACGGGGAAAGTCCTAGGAGATGAGGTCAAATGTCCATCTATAGAAGGCATCAAAGGCCTTTTGGTCAATAGATGTTTGCCAGTTGGTAAATTATTTACATTGAAAAATAATAGAAAACTGTTGTCCCCAGTCCTGGAGCCAGTGTGGTGGAGTGGGAAGAATTCCACACTGGGAGTCAGGAGGCTTCTAGTTAGTTATCTGGTCAGATCAATTAACATCATGAGCCTTCATCTTCTCATCAGAAAGTGGAAAAAAGACCCTGCTTTAGAGGTGCTGGTGAGAATCAACTGCAGCAGTGGCCAGGCGCGGTGGCTCATGCCTGTAATCCTACCACTTTGGGAGGCCGAAGCAGGTGGATTACCTGAGGTCAGGAGTTCAAGACCAGCCTGGCCAACATGGTGAAACCCTATCTCTACTAAAAATGCAAAAATTAGTTGGGCATGGTGGTGCAAGCCTGTAATTCCAGCTACTCAGGAGGCTGAGGCAGGAGAATCACTAGAACCTGGGAGGCGGAGGTTGCAGCGAGCTGAGATCCAACACTGCACTCCAGCCTGGGTGACAGAGTGAGACTCCATCTCAAAAAAAGAAAAAGAAAAAAATGCAGCAGTGTACACAAACAGTGGCAGCATATTATTTGGCACATGAGGTGGTCAAAAACTGAGGGGTGTTGGTATTTCTAGCCTGAGCATTATGGGACCTTGGGCAAGTTTCTTAAGAAAAAAAGGACCGATATCATCTATTGAGTAGCTACAAGGGGCAGGCCCCTGCACTGGGCAGTGTTCATGGGTTACACCTCCTTCCCGATTTATGCTGTGAGGAGGCAGGACCCAGTGATACCCAAGATTCCATAAGCTTAGACATTTTCCATGCGACCACCAATCCAGGAGAGACAAAGGATGTCATTCCAAGGAGAACTAGGACAAGAGCAGTGCCAGGCAAGGCCTGAGGAACAGGGATCTGCAAGAGTTTCCAGAAGTCCACAGGGCCTCCATGATGGTTAATATGAGGTGCTGGCTTAACTGAATTGAGGGATGCCTAGATGGCCGGTGAGGCATCGTTTCCAGGCACCTCTATGAGGGTGTTTGGGAGGAGATTGGTGGGCGAGTCAGTGGACTGAGAGACAAAGACCTGCCCTCAGTGTGGGGGGCAGCATCCCATAGGCTGTGGGTCCCAGCTGGTAGATCACAGGTGAAAGAGAGGGGATACTCAGCTCCCTCTTGCTTCCTCTCTGTGTCTCAGAGCAGGATGTCTTTTTCTCCTCCTGCCTTTGGACATCACACTCCAGGTTCTCAAGGGGATTCAGTGCATCCTGAGCTTAGGACAAGAAAAGACCTTCACCTTCCCCTCCTAGCAAAATATTTTCTTGTTTGTGAAAAAAATGTTACAAACTCAGCCCAAGTCATTAGCCTTCATTCTGTCTTTGTCTTTCCCACTGAAGACAATGCTCCTGCCCCTGCTGGAAGTTCTGAAACTTTCTCACCAGAAGAAATCATTCCCTTCTTTCTTCCCCGCCTCTTTCCTTCTTCTTTCCCTCCCTCCCTCTCTTTCTTTCTTCCTCCCAGGCTCCCTCCCTGTCCTCCCACCGCCAGAACTCTCCTTGGCTTCATCTCTACAGGAAACCTGGAGACCACGGCAGGGAAATTCTTCCAGCAGCTCTGCTCTCCTCAAACCTGGGGAGACTGATTTTCCTCCTCACCCCTCGAGGGCTTCTCTCCTGCTCTGGCACTTCCCCAGCCTTCACAAAAGAGGCTGCGGGTGAGGGTTTTTCCATTTAATTTCATTTTTCATCATTTTTACCCTTTTTGGATGGTTCACATTTGAGGGTCTTGGTGGATTAACTGGCCAATCAGATTTCATTATGAGCCCAAGTAGTTCTTATCATTAAACCTGTAATTTATTTCTTCTGTGTTTCATAAAATGTGAAATATTACCATTCTCCAGCAGCTTGAAGAGTGCAGAGATGCTCCATTAAGTTCAACACTGCTCCTCCATAAGAGGCTGTAATTATATGCGGATTTTTTTTTAACAGCTAAGTTTCTACTTGCAGATGCTAACAAAAGAAATAAGCTTTTAATCCAAACATAATTAATATGAATTACCTCCCTGGTACACCCTGGCTTTGCACCATTAAGCTTAATTTTTGTTTTGCATGATAATTGTGTTATCATTACCGTTTATAGGAGAACTCAGGGACCCTCACTTTGTTTTCAGTCAAGACCAATGGGACTGGGAATGACTTCCCTCCCCTCTGCCAGCCAGACGCCTGTCCGCCAGCCTTCCTGAGCCATCCCTCCCAGCCCCTGTGGCCTAGGGAGGCTGGGGTCACGGGCTGCATTGCCAGCCAGAGACCTTACTCCAATGAAAAAAGGAAACAGATTCCTACTTACACATTGGAGGATTTGCCACCCTAGAGACAGGCTCAGCCAGAGCTGCTGCTTAATCATCAGCATCAGCATCATCATCATCATCATCATCATCATCATTATTATCATAATTGCTATTATTGTTCCTAACAGTAATGAGTACTACACAATTTCTCTGCAGCATGCTCCAGCTACCCTGCTAGTGGTTATTTCTCACAACTATCTGGGGATCCTGGACTCTGGATTAGTTAAGCAAAGCCCCAGAAAATCTTAGATTGAGGTCCAAACCCTGGGTCTTATTAAGGATTCTGTTCAGGACTCTGTTCAAGACCAGTTGATTCTCTCTCGCCTCTGTGTGCCTCAGTCTACCTCTTTGCCTCCCACTCCATGAAAAACATTTATGGTTTTTGAATCTGAGAAGGAAACTGAAAATGATACTCTTTCTTTAATCAAAGAGTTACTAAATACCTATGGACTAGACAGTAGGTAGATAGATGGATAAATAGATAGATAATAGATATAGATAGATAGGTGATAGATGATAGACAGACAGATGATAGATTAAAGATTGATAGATAGCTATAGATGGATAGACATCCCATGACCCCTGTCATCTAGGAATTTACAATCTAGTCGAAGGAGGAATATAGACACTCAAATGTTTAAGAAAAGGAGGAATTAAATGACAACACAAAACAATACCAAAAATGACAAATGGAGCTCCTGAGAGTGTGAGCACTCATGGAAGAGGAGATTGCAAAAGTGCTCAGGGAAGACTTGGAATAGGAGCAAGAGCTTGGGCTGGACTCTGTGCATGGGGAGAATTTATGGAGGTGACTCCGTGGAGCAGAAGCTGCAGGGAGGGTGAGCACAGGCCTGGAAGAGGGAACACTCTGGGCACGGCCTTGAGGGAACCAACCCGGCTACAGCAAGATCTCCCAGCAGAGGCACAGGAGATGGGCTGGAAAGGTAACCTGGAATCAGAACATGAAGAGCGCTGAGTGCCAGACCAGGTCATGGAGAGACATGGAATAATCTCAAATGACAGGGAGGCCTTCGTGGAAGTGGTGTCATCCACTGGTCAGCCTGGGGCACGTGGCAGGTGGGTTAGACAAGGAAGAGGCCTAGGCCAGGAAGGCAGGAAACCATGGCAACCGTGGGCAGCAATGAGAGCTCAACTTGTGTGGGAGAAGAGGACTAAAAAAAAGAAATAGCTAAAAGAGAGTCCATGGTACTTACTAAGGGAAAGCAAAGAGAGAACAGAGGATGGAATGCCTGGTAACTCACATTATTTAACAGAAATGATCACTCTAGGTGCTCTGCGGTACAGAACACTCAAAACATAACACTAGGTGCCTAACACAAAGTTAGCACTCATGACTACTGGCTCCTGCTACCTATTAGTATTAGTATTAGTATTAATAATAATTAGTATTAATTTGTATTATAATAATTCAAATGCTATACTATTTTGTCCTCCCAGTGTCTCTGTACAATTGTACAGGATACTGTCTTACATACATTATATATTTGGGTAAAGGAAATTCACTAAGAAATTAAGGAATTATCAAAATGTGATTTATTTTTCAGTGGCCAAGCGACAACCATGGGTCTTCAGATTCTTTCCTCAACAATGTCACTTAAAAAATTAGATGATAATAATAAGCAGTGCCCAGCCCAGGCCCCCACATCAGTCACAAAGCCAAGAGAGTTCTCCTACATGGGAATTACATCACTCAAGGGCCGTTTGTTCACAACCCTCTCTCCCTCCTCTAGGGGGTGAAAGGAGGAATTAAAATATTTATCATTTTTCAAGCACGCTGGACCCTGAGGAGCTGAAGGCTACTGTTGAAGATCCTTTACCATGATATTGGCCCCATTTTTCTGGTCAATCTAGCCTCCAGCAGCTTGAATAGTGTATTGCTTGAAGAGAGGTTTTGCTGTAGCAAAGACTCTTCTATGAAATCCAGTCTCACCAATGACCCAGAAACTGTAAATAGGGAATAAATTTTAATTAGAAGATCAATTCGGCAAACTGGGCTCTTGGTCCAAAATAGACCAAATGAAATTTAGTGATACAATCAGTATAAAGTTTTAACCCATGAGGAAGGGAGATATGATACCATTAAGTAAATGGATAAGAATAAAAAAGTAGAAAAGCATGAAAGAATAAAATCTAACAGGAAGAGACCCACAAAGGCAGAGTGAATCACAAGGTAAACATGAAGGAGCAGGAAGAGCCGAATGCTTTGCAGTGTGGTGGGACTGTGCCTGCTATGTGTTGTGTCTTTTGAAAACAGTCAGCATGAGGGTAGAATGAGAAACTATGGGCAAGCAACACAACAGAGACCCAGCAAGGAACCATCCCATGAGATTCGAGAGTTGACCCCAACTCGGCACTGCACCCTCTTTGGAGCCAAACAGCTAACTTGGAAATGTGAATGGAGAAGTGATACAAAGAGTTGGAGAGGAGGGCCTATGAAACAACTGCAGGGCCCAGAATTAATTAGTCCAGAGTGGGAAAGTCTAGGAGAGAGGATGAATTGATTTAACTGTAGGCTTCAAGCCAATGGTAGGCTGTCTTGACCTCCAAGAATGGTGCCAACTGGTCCTCTCCAAGTCACTTGAGGATAAAAGAGCAAGGAATGGACATGCCAAACCCAGATTTATCTCTTTGTAATCCTTGGCTTTAAAACCTATGATGGTGGATGATGGGAGATTGCTTGGTGGGTACAATGTGCGTTGCTCCAGTGATGGAGGCACTGAAGGCCCTGACTTTACCACAATGCAACATACGTGTTATGGTTTGGATGTGTGTCCCCTCCAAATCTCATGTGAAATGTGACCTCCAATGTTGCATTGAAGAAGAGTGGGCTCAGCAGGAGGTGGGCCTAGTGGGAGGTGTTTGGTTCTCGGGGGCAGATTCCCCATGAATGGCTTGGTGTCCTCCCCATGGTAATGAGTGGTAATGGATGATTAATGAGTTCACAGGGGTGCCGGTTGTTTAAGAGAGGCTCGGACCTCCCTCCCCTCTCTCTTGCTCCCTGACTCACCATGTGACACGTCCACTCCCCCTTCACCTTCTGCCATGAGTAAAAGCATCCTGAGGCTTCCCTGGAAGTCAAGCAGATGCTGGTGCCCTGCTTCCTGTACAGCCTGCAGAACTGTGAGCCAAATAAACCTCTTTTCTGTGTAAATTACCCAGCCTCAGGTATTTCTTTATAGCAGCACAAGAACAGACTAACACAATATCAATGTAGCAAAGTTACAGTTGTACCCCATAAATATATACTAATTTTAAAAAAGAAAAAACAAAATAAAATAAAACCTATGAAGAGCAGCTTCTTTGCTCCTGTTTCCTTAGCCTTCCTGCCTCTGTCTCTCACACCCAGGAGTAGCCCATTTCTAGATGGTAATTTGGCTAGCCACATTCTTCCGACACCTGATATCCAAAACATCCCAGAGTACAGAGGATGGAAGTGACCTTGAGTGGCCCTTTAGCTCATCCTCTGCCTCTGGGTACCTCAAGTGTATAAGCAGGTTTCTAAACTTACTTGATATTACCAGGTAAGCATCACAGCCCATCTAAAGTATAATCTGGTCCAAAAACATCATTGTGAAAGACACCCTACAATGGCCTCTTATAACAACCTCTTAAAGAAAAATTTAAAACTAAAAGGTGTATAAAGAAACATTTAAAAAAAAAGAAAAAAGAAGATGTTCTGGAAGAAATACACAGGATTCCTCACCAGAGTCCACAGAAACAGCTAGAGAAGCAAGGCTACCTCTTGGGCCCTTGGAGGCCAGAAGTGGGACTCATACCCCCTCCTCCTCTAGTCTGCACCCTCTTTACCTTCTCACCTACTAGAGGATATGGCCAGAGGACATGAGGGGCCTGTGTGGTTCCAGCTTACCAACCCCAGAGGAAAGGGCTCTGTCACTCTCACAGGCAAGAATGGTTTGGGATCTAGGTTAAATCAGCAGCTGTGAAATCCTGCCTGCTGATGTGGTGGAATCACTGGCTCCCTAAGTAGGAGGCAGCACTGGGTACTCATCAGAATCTGGTCTCTAGAGATGGAGGACTTGGAACTGAGCATGTCACCTAACCTCCCTGTGGCTAAGTTTACTCATCTGTAAAATGACAGTGATCATACTACCTACCTACCTCATGCAGTTGCTGAGAGGATTAAATAAGTTAATGTGTATAAAGTGATCTGTATAGTGCCTGGCACACCTTTAACTATTAGTTGTTTACTAGTTCTTAAAAGACTCTTTCTTTTTGGTTGTCATGAAGTAGGCTGTTCCCAAGTCCAAATTCACACTCTGAAATTGTCATCATGGTAGAATAAATACTATTATTTATTACATAGTATTAACAGGCCATCAGACTCTTATCAAATATCCTACTGGGTTATATGGATATTTTATCCATTAGGCAGAAAGCGCAAATTCTGAAACTTATATGTTATAAACTGAATAAAAATACAAACTTATTTAGACCAAGACCTTTATAAAATTATTTAATAAAATAATCTATGCATATCAAATAATTTCTGGCAGATGCATGAAAAAAGAAAGATTTATTAAATAATCTTTTTACGTCATTGCTACCCATGGTCTCTACTTGAATTTTGTTATATTTTTCTTCCAGCTATTTCTCTATATTCTAGTGGAATTTTAACCTAATTATAACCATTCTATGTGTCATCATTTCCCAAAACATTCTCCCGCAGAACACCAATGTTCAAAGATAGTAATAGATGTTGGTTGGATAAAGGACTCCAGAGTGAAACAAGTTCAAGAAGCAATAGGTTAAGCCACAACACTTCTCAGAACCTTCAGTGCTGATGAGCATCATGAAGTCTTGAGAGGGGCGTGTGATACCAAGTATTTCCAAATATATTTGACATGGGAGTAGTGTTCCAAAAAACATGCTTGGAAAAATGCTACTCTACAATTTTGTATTCTTCTTATCACAAACATTTCTATATTTTTTCATAAACTTCCTTCACTTCTATATTAGTCCATTCTCAAGCTGCTAATAAAGACATATTCAAGACTAGGTACTTTATAAAGGAAAGAGGTTTAATTGACTCACAATTCAGCATGGCTGGGGAGGCTTCAGGAAACTTACAATCATGGTGGAAGGGGAGGCAAACACATCCTTCTTCATATGGAGGCAAGAAGGAGAAGTGCCGAGCAAAGAGGGAAAAGCCCCTTATAAAATCATTAGACCTTGTGAGAACTCACTCAGTATCTGGAGAACAGCAGCATGGGGGTAACCACCTTTATGATTTAATTACCACCCACCGAGTCCCTCCCACGACAAGTGGGGATTATGGGAACTACAATCCAAGATGAGATTTGGGTGGGGACACAGCCAAACTGTATCAACATCCTTTTAAATCACTGCATAATAATCTACTAAGAAGATATGCCATTAGTTATTTAACCATTCCGCTATACTTAGACATTTCAATTAATTTCAACTTTTGGCTAATATAAATAAAACTGCAGCTAACATCTTTTGGCATTGTAGTTTTAAAAAAAATAGACACGTGTTTAGGTTTGATTTCTTAAGACAGACTCCCAGAAGGAGAATTACTGGGTCAAAGGGTACAAATGTTTTAAGTTCATGGAACATGATTCCAATTTGTTTTTCAGCAGGTCCATATCCATTTTCACTACCCGGCAGCATGTGACAGAGCCCACATGACACACCCAGAGCAAGGCAAGTGGGCAGAAGGCTAAGAGTGGGGCCCCTGATGGCTAGTTTCAGCAGCCTGTGCAGCTGTCAGAGCAAGTGCCAACCCTCTCCTCTCTTTCACCTGCGTCTCTCTCCCTCAGTTCTTAAAACACAGACTCATCAGGGGCTCCAGTTTGTGCAATTTCTGAGCTAATCCCACAGAGTAAAGCACACACCAGTGTCCCTTGTCACTAAATCTACAGGCCACAAAAAGAGGTCCTGCTCCCAGTGGAGCACTGGTAAATGTTTAACACCCAGCAACTCAAGGGGAAAAACACCCTGATTTGTAGCATTTGCCACTTCCTGTGGTGTAAATACTCTCATCACAGCTGGTTTCTAGCTAACAACTTACCAGCATAATGTCACAGAACTTGGAACTGGACAGACATGTGCATAACAGGCTCTTGTAAGCTAGTGGGGTCAGCCTCAGACATCACTGCCTGTTTGTCTCTGGACCATTGAATTTTTCTCTCTTCTCCTCCATACTTGATTCCCCCCACCCCCCATATGTATTCTCCTCCACATCTGACCACATGCAAGATCCAGAATAGCAGAGGCCTGCTCTGGGTGCTCCCATATCCCTGAACCACAATACTGTCACACTCATACGACACTTTCGCTGCAGCTCGATTCACTAGAGAGGTCAGTGGGATTGAAATGCCAAATACCCTCGCCCACAGACAACTGAACCCTGTGGCATCAACTCAGGCTGCCCTGCTGTGCAGCTGTTCCCCCTCCTCCAGCCTCTCTGTTCTCACTACAGAGTCTTAGACTGTCTTTCTTCACACCCCTGCTCGCTGGCTCCTCACCTTCCACTCCACTTTGAGATTTACCAAGCTCCTGATCTTTCCTTTGCCTCCAGTTTCCCAGCCAGCATTCACCCCATGGATCTGATGACAAATTCCATTTTCACATGAGTGAACAAAATCGGGTGAGATTTTAAAATTACTCTTTTTCTCTCTGGCTATTCCAGAAACTCCCTTTGCCAACCCCCTGAAACCCCATGAACATGTATTCACCCACGGAGGATTGAACAGCCCCTCCACTCTGTGAGTGAGTGGACCCTGCTACCCTGCCAGCCCCCAACCCCAATACCAGATACTATTCCTGTATAGTATAGATACTATACTACCAGATCTTGCTGGGTGTTCCATCCATCTGACTCGATCACCCATGCCACCTATTCCAAAATCACAGCTGGGAATCACTCTGGCCCCTTGAGAAATCCCAGCTGTCACCCAAGCCATGCCCTGTGGGACAAGTGGAGCCTGCCATTCCTAGTGTCAGGAATCTCCATGAGAAAGCACCCTCCCCACTGCATACACACAATGTTGTCCTGAGTGCAGCTTATCTGTCCCTACTGCCTCCTTTCCCTCTCACAGTCAGTAGGGACAGCCTTATTGTTCTCTTGTGTCGGTCTCAGCTGGGAAGAGGAAGCTGGGATTGCAGAAGAGGGCAGAAGCGAAAAATGCAAGAGGAAAAGGAAAAGGAGAAAATGCTATGGCCAAATGGAAAGGAACCATCGAAGGTACTGGGATGATGGAATGTGCTATGGTCTCCAACATTCCATTGGGAGTTGCAGACCCTAAAGAACATAAATGATGTCTTTTACCTAAAAATAGAGAAATCAACGGATCACTTTTAAGATCCCTACCAGGATCTTAAGATTCCATTCCAGCTAAGAGCGTTGTTGCCCCATCCAAACACGTGTATGAAATAGTTAACAGCAATATTCTCGAGTTAAATCAGGGAGGATGCCTCACAGTGTTACAGGGAAGCATATGGATCCCCATATTTTTTACCCAAGGCATTCTATTCTAAGCTTGGGCTCAATCTGGAAGTTACTCTTCCCCCAAAATGAGTCTAGCTCAAACACCTTCACCCTATCAGAGTGTAGGGCACTGTGGTGAATATGGGGCAGCTGTCAGGGAGTAGGCATCAAGAAACAGAAAGCCAGGATCATTCAAATCCAAATCCCATGGAAAGTAAAGCTGGCAGTCGGGATTTGACTGATCAGATTAGAGGAAGCCCTTTCCTACGTATCCCAGGTAAAGATTGTTTACTTCAAGAAACCTAGAGGATTTACTTAAACACAGATAATTTTCTGTGGTTAGTAAGGAGGACCTTGATGCAAGGAACGCCATATCCCAACCAGAACCACTGGAGGAAAAAATACATCTTGCTCATCCTGTGCACAAAGCACAGAGAAAAAAATAGCCTAACGTGGAAGAAGAAAAATACAGAGTAAATCATAATAAAAATGACCCCCTCCTCCTCCTCACCCCAGCCACACATGGTTTGGTTAATTCCTTAATGAGGATGGAGTGTAATTAATATCGGAACTCCACTGTATAATTACTGCATATAATTATGCTTGAGTTAACTGTAAAGCAAATCATATATAGTTTGCATTCTATAAGTTTTCAATTCATCTTTTTGGGGGGAAGCTGGGGGGGATTTTATAATATTCTTCAATAAAGAACACCTCTAGGAATAGATATATCAGACGAATCCCTTTGGACATTTCATTCTAGACTGAGATGCCCAGAATTGCCTAATCTAGCAGCTGCACAACCTACAGAATTCTGCCTTTAAAGGCTTATTCCTGCCTGGTAGACCAGCCCAGGGAATGAGCAGCTCACAGGGACACATAAGCGACGACAGGCTAATCGGAACCTGCCTCAGAATTAAGGTCCCCTCATGGTGGCCCAGCTGCTGAGTTCTTGTGTGGCCTCTGCAGGCTGTGTCTGTGTATCCCTGGCCCTTCACCTCAAAACAGTGCATGTCCTCAACCTGGGTGTTTCTCTGTTGTCCCAGGCTCTCCACCCATCCCCAAGGACCTGAACGCTCTTTCTACTGCCTTCCTGGTTCTCAGAGTATAATCTATTACATTCAATAGAGGAAGGAATACAGCCCTCCAACTGCTCTAAAATGCAAACCACATGTGGTTAATGAAACTAGGCCTCCATATGATGATGCACTTTTCGTTTTGTGCAAGCGAGTGAGAGAGACAGAGAGACGAAGAGATCTGGATGGTGGTCTATAGAAGAATCCTAGAGAATTTGGGATGGAGAGAGTTAGCCAAATTGCAGGAGACATTTTCCCCGGCTCCCACTTTCTTCCCACTAACCACCCCCACCACGCAGGTGCTTCTTATGTGGGCCCTTTCCACAGTCTTGGAATATCTGCTCACTCCACCAGGTGCTGCTCTCACTCCCAGCACCACCCTCCCCTCACCCCCACATTCCATTCCCTGGAGTGGCTGCAAGAATCTTTTCCAGGAGCATAAGCCTTTATCTCAGGTGAGAAGACTGCTTGAAAGCTAAACTAATTAATTAATGTTGAAGAAACCTCTAATTCTCCCTTATCAACTCAACTCAATGTCTGAGGGCCCTTCCTTTCTTTGCCCTCGGAAGTGCCTCTCCCCTGTCCATCATTGGACCCTTCATCCATGAGCTTTCTTGCCCCAAATCCCTCCCTCCACTCCTGGGCTTCCTACAGCACTGGGTCTGAGTGGCTGAGCCTTTAAGCTCAGATGTCCAGGCCTGCGTCTTCTGCTGCTGATCAGGAACCCAAGCAGTGAACTCCTGACACCTTCCCTCTAGCCTCCTCACCTCTAGAACAGGGTCTAAAGATTTGACCTCCTTCAAGAATCTCTCAGGCAAGCAGTGCCCCCTCCCACACCTCAAACTCTGCAGGGAGTCAAGAGGGCTTGGAGGGCAGCCAGGTACACTGCTCACCTGTGCAGCCACCACTCCCTCCCCTCCAGCAGCCCCTAGCACCTCCATGAGGACTTACCAGATCCAGAGAAAGGGACAGAACCATCCCCATATGCCCCGCAGTCCCCCCGCCTCCTGTCCCCGCAGTCAGCCTTCAAAGGCCACCCTTAGCCAGAGTAAGTGACACTAAAAACAACGATCCCCCAGCTTCCACACGCCCCCCCTCCCCCGCCTGCCCACTGATAATAATGGGCCAAGACACTTTTATTATCATTATTAATTAGCACTTTCAAGCAATGGAATTAAATCAATATGGTGGACTGAAACTAATTTTAACAAGCCATTGAGATCAATCATTGGGACTTTTATCTACATAAATGCCACTAAACTCAGCTCGTTAGTGTAACATTAGCTGGGAAGAAAAAGAAGGGAGACTGGCGGGGTTTTAATTAGGAAGACATAAACTGAGCCACAATTTTCCTTCTTTGATTTGCTTTTAATCTCGTCTGCAAAGCTCTTCTGGTGCTGCCCAGGCTGATTCTCAGTCCCAGGCCACTTGGGCAGAAAGAGGAGGGGATGAAGTGATGAGAGTTGAGGGGTGAGTGGCTGGGAACACCCCAACATGAGTGGGGCTATCACCCTGCTGATCCTGAGCCCTGGATCCTCACAGTCAGCGCTGACCACTGCTTCCTTTATATTCACCTTTGTTTAGCATTTATTCATTTATGCATTACATGAAATTTATTTATGTTTATTGATTCATTCAATGAACAACAGACGAGCACTTAATATGTGCCAGTCACCCGCTCACTGTTCTCAGAGAATTAAAGTTAAAATGAGCAAGACGTGGTTCTACTCCCACAAAAAAACCTGCAGTCTAGTCTTATTTGCTCCTAGATTGACAGGCTGGAGAGCAAGGACAATGACTCATCTGTCTGTGTGCCCCTCCCCATCTGGCTCTGCAGAAGCCCAGAAATGCTTGGGGTGTGTGGTTAAGAAACCTCCTTCCCTCCCCACCCTTCATTTCTCTCTGTGCCCAGCACCCTGCTCCCTGCTGCCACACCTTCCCTGTTTTGTGGGTACCCAAGCCTACCTACCTCTGGTCTTACTCAGTCTCATAACATTTTTCCAGCCTGATTCCCTGACAAGCTGTGGCTTCTTATTCTTCAAGACTCCGTTCTAGGGCCACGATGTGGAGGGAGCTGGGTGGCTGGCTGCCTGGGCTTCCTCCCGGCTGCTCATTTCTGCCTGTGGGACAGCCATCCCCATGTGTCGCTGTGGTCTTCTCTCTGGTCCTGCTGGCCTCCTGGACCAAGCTGCAAGCATCTGGAAGGCAGAGACTGAACGTGAGCCACATTTCTGTCCTCAACATCTCCTAGGATGCCTGGTGCAGAGCTGGCACTCAATTCAGACCTGTAGACAAGCATGACACCATCTATGTTTACCAAAGACTGGGATAAAACCGCAACTCAGCATTTGAGGTCCACCCTGAGCACTGGAGGTTCTCCAAGTACTTCCTCCTTCTGCCTCTCAGTACAGATCGCGTCTTCTAGGTGTGCTGTGCACATTCCATCACCCACCTTCTGGCTCATCGCACTTGCTCTGCTTCCAGTGAGTCTCACCTTCCCAAATCCTACTCATGCATCCAGGCCTATCTCAAGCCTTCCTCATCCACTAATGCAGACTTCTCTGATTCCGTGAGCCTTTCCTGCCCTCTTCTTGCTTGGCCACCCATAGGGGCCTTATCACAAACTACTTTCTGCTGCTAGCTATATGCTGCACCCTGACTTTTCCCTCTGAATTTGGAATCGAAATCTTCCTATGTGGTGCTGCCTATGGGAAGCAAATCAACCCTCAGTGGAGCAGAGTGCCTGGGGTCAAATTCCAGCTCTACTGCTTATTACATTCACCGCCTTGGGTAAGTTGCTTAACCTTGCTATATCTCCGTTTCCTCACCCGTAACATGGGAACAAAACAGTACCTGCTAGGATTACTGTAGAAATTAGATGCAATAGTTCACATAAATCATTATGCCTGGCACTTAGTAGTTGGTCAGTGTGTTGGTCATTACTACTATCATAGCTGTAATTGTTACTACTATTACCAATTCGTGTGCTCTGATTTCATCTCCATCAAGCAAGCTATTGATTATAATTTGGCTTCCCTACAAGAAAAGACCCTGCTGATCTGTTAAAAGGAGGTTCAATCTACTTATTAGATGTTTCTCATTATAAATTCATAAATTGACATCCTAGATTGCATCTATCAGTCTCTTATAAGTTAGATTTAGATTAAATTAACTCATAAGTCCAGTTCACACTTGTGTATACTAGCAATCAAATTTCTGAGGCTGAGGTCCTAGATCTTGGCAACCAAACCAAGGTACCGCCAACTTGGGGCTTTGTCTGTGCAGCCAGTGTGGCTTCAGGGGCCATATGTCCTTTAGTCTCATTGTTTCACCTCTGTAAGCAAGTTACTGAAAACCTCCAAGCTTCAGTTTCCTCATCTGTAAAACATAGAAAATAGAAAAACATCTGCATCCAATGGGTGCAGTTAACGGTTAGACGAACCAATGAATGGAAAGCACTTGACCATTGCCTTCACAGCTAGGTGCTCAATAAGCATGAACTCTAGGCGCACTTAATTATCCTACTGCCTCACCATACATTTTTTATGCTTACAGTTTAAACAGTACTTTCTATTTACAAAGCCCTTTCATAGGTGTTATCTTACTTCTCATGACAACCACTCCCACCTAATAATAGAGAAGGAACTAGGAACAAACTAAGTCACTTTCCTGAATGGTGGCTGCCAGGGACTGGGGGCAGGGGAAGGGGAGATGTTGGTCAAAAGGTACAGAATTTCAGTTAGATAGGGTAAGTTCTGGAGATCTATTGTACAGCATTGTGACTATAGTTAATAATAATATAGTGTATACTTGAAAATCCCTAAGAGAGTAGATCTTAAATATTCACATCAAAAAACAAAAATAACTACATGAGGTGTTAGGTATGTAAATTAGCTTGATTGCAGTAATCATTTTACTATGTACACTTACATTAAAGCAACATGTTATACATTATAAATACATAAAATTTTTATTTGTCAATTATACCACAATAAAGCCGGAAAAAATTAAATAAAGTCACTTTGTTAAGATCACAGTTTGTAAGTTATGAGACCAGGACTCACACCCAGCTCTTCCAGGTCTTCTTCCCCTGTCTAGTGTCCTCTCTTTATAAAATATCTGCCTATTCAATAAATGAACAACAACAAAACCCCTCTGTTTTGTTTAATTACACTTTAAAACTAGTTTGAAATTTTGGCATTACTCTAAAGTCCCTTCCATGTCCTGGCATCTGTGGCCTTATTAGTCATACTAACAAGCTACCCTAGTTCTAGAGGCCGTGGACAAAAAAAAAACTGATTCACTTGCACTGTGATGACTGTGAAATGTGGGCCATGAATCTGAGAACAGACCAGATTTTCTACATCCTTTGGGCATTTTGCTGGGTGCCTCGCCTTGGGGTCATCCATCACTACAGCATCTCCTGACAAACAGCGAGACAGGTTGTGGGAGAACAGAGGAGCCCCAGGCCCCAAAGGGAGCATCTGGGATGCCTCCCTTTGTCTTTGCGGCTGCTTGTCTGTCTCGTGTAGTTAGACAAGTTCTCCAGCCACAGAAGCTTGGGGGAAAGCAAGTTTACTTCATATTTCATAGTCACAGATCTGGTAGCCTATGTACTGTGAAGTAGCTTAAACTAGAGAATTTCCTTTCTGGAGAGTCCCTACATCTGGCAGCCCCCGAAAACACATGGTGGATGGTGCAGGCCTTGATGGTAGAATCCTTGAGACAGGTGGGACTGCAGCCCCTCAGTGCTCCAGCAAGCTGTCCAGGCACATAGATCCATGGGAAGTCCCATCACTGCCTTGCAGTTCCAACTTTCATCCCAGCACTGTATTTTTACTTAGAAACTAGACGTTTCAATTGCTCTCAAGACTCAAGACTTCTTCTTAAACCAAATTTCTCACCATCCCAATCCCTCATCATCTCCCGGCCCCAAACAAAAATGTCCTGACTTCTTAGTGTCTAACAATGAAACCACCATTCTCAGGGTCGCTCAGACTCAAGACCCTGCCATTGTTTTTTTAAATTCCTTTACCATAATTCTCTAAACTCAAAAAAATAGCTGTAGATGTAGACTAGGTACTAGGTATAGACCTCAGTCACGGCTCCTCTCATCTCAGATTTGGAAATCTACAGCAGTTCCCAAATTTGTCTCCTCGATAATAGGGTCCTTCCCGATCAGTTCTACTAAATCAGGGGATGGCAAACTTCTGGAAAGGGAAAGATAGTAAATATTTTAGGCTTTGTGTCTGTACTACAAATATTACAGGCTCTGTTGCAACTACTCGGTCAGGTGTTGCAGTATAATAGCAGCCAGAGACATAAATGAATGTGCGTGGCTGTAGTATAATAAAGCTTTATTTACAAAAACAGGTGGCAGGCTGGATTTAGCCCAGGGGTTATTATATGCCAACTTCTGTTCTATATTATTCTCATATTAATCTTAAACACCATAGTCCCTATCATTTTGTAGTGTTTGCATAAGTGTAATTAGGTCAAGAAATAAGACACAAACTCCAGTCTACAGCAGACATTGTTGACACCTTGCCTCATAGTCCTTAGTCCACTGCTGAGTTTACCTGTAGCCTCAGGGTGCAGCTCCCAGGAGCACTGAGAGCTTCTGAGCTATACCCACACTCTCTGTTTCACTGCCTGAGGGCTTTCTCTAATACCTTGGAAACTGCTCAGCTCCTGTGCAAGGCAGGCCAGAAATAACCAGGAATTCAACACCATCAAGAACATCCCTCACCAGTAGGAAATGTGAACTGATGTATACATATTACACTTCCCCATCCCTTAGGAAGACAATTCTACTTTTTAAATTTTTTTTAGTTTATTTATTTATTTATTTATTTATTTATTTTTGAGATGGAGTCTCGCTCTGTCACCCAGGCTGGAGTCAGTGGCGCGATCTCAGCTCACTGCAACCTCTGCCTCCCGGGTTCAAGTAATTCTCCTGCCTCAGCCTCCTGAGTAGCTGGGTCTACAGGCACGTGCCACCATGCCCGGCTAATTTTTTTGTATTTTTAGTAGGGACAGTGTTTCATCATATTGGCCAGGCTGGTCTCAAGCTCCTGACCTCATGATCCACCCACCTTGGCCTCCCAAAGTCCTGGGATTACAGGTATGAGCCACCGTGCCCGGCCCAAGGAAGACAATTCTGAGGCACATTCTAGATGGATCCACAGAGAGTCCCAGCAGGGTTGAGAATCAATCCCAAAGCAGAAACCTGTTGGTTCAGGTATCCTCCTCAGCTTCTCTTCCACAGCTGTCACATTTTCTCACCCCCTCACATGCTTCCTAACAACGAAACCATCATTCTCAGGGTATCTAGGAGATTTGTCTCTGAGTCTGAATTCAGGGTAACTAAACTAAGACCTCTTCTGACTCTTAATTCAGGACTCCTTTTTTCCCTGTTAACTTCCTTCAAAGAGTCTACAATGGCACTTTTACTTCTGATAATATAGCAGGCTGAGCATTCTGAAAATATCTTCTGATCCTAACATTTAGGTACTGGATAAATCATGCAAACACTTTTAAATACATTTCTGTGTTTTCAAGGAAGTAAGGAAAGTCAACAAGGGCCACATACTTACATACACAAGCAAAGAGTGAGTGGAAACAGGAGTGGTAAGTGATACCCTGGAAGCAAATGTCAAAAACCCAGAGTTTTGGAGATTAATGTGTGTGATGGTTAGTGCCGAGTGTCAACCTGATTGGATTGAAGGCTGCAAAGTATTGTTCCTGGGTAGGTCTGTGAGGATGTTGCCAAAGGAGATTAACATTTGAGTCAGTAGACTGGGAAAGGCAGACCCACCCTCAATCTGGGTGGGCACAATCTACTCAGCTGCCACCATGGCCAGAATAAAAGCAGGCAGAAGAACGTGGAAAGACTAGACTGGCTAAGTCTTCTGGCCTCTGTCTTTCTTTTGTGCTGGATGCCTCCTGACCTCAAACATCAGACTTCAAGCTCTTCAGCTTTTGGACTCTTGGACCTACACCAGTGGTTTGCCAGGGGCTTTCAGGCCTTTGGCCACAGACTGAAGGCTGCACTGTCAGCTTCCCTACTTTCGAGGTTTTGGGACTTGGACTGACTTCCTTGCTCCTCAGCCTGCAGACGACCTATTGTGGGACTTCACCTTGTGATCGTGTGAGTCAATACTCCTTAATAAACTCCCTTTCATATACACATCTATCCTATTAGTCCTGTCCCTCTAGAGAACCCTGATACAATGTGGCTTTGATGTGAATGGGAAATGGGAGGCCAGGCTTTGGCCTCATGCAAGGTCAAGGAACTAAACTTACTAAGTCCTCCGCATAAATATATATCCTCATTGAAAGGGCTAACTGAAAAAAAGCAGCCTTCTAGCAAAGGAAAACTGTCTCTGTGGTAGCTCTAGATGGAAATATATATAAATAGTCTTCCCTTATAATGTGTAACCTAGATCTGTTCTCACTGGGACATCAGAAGTTTGAATTTGTACTGCTCATATGGAAAAAAATGCCAATCTGAGAAATTGAAGTCTACCTGGTTTAATAGTGCTCCCAATTTCAAACAGAAGCAGATTTTTTAAGGGGAAAAATAAAAACCACAAAGTCCTCAAATCAGATCCCACAAATTACGTTCAATCAAACAAGAGCCCAAGTAAAAATTTAAGAAGTGAAAAAAGTAACAAGCTAACAGAAGCCAGCATCAGTAGAAATGGCAAAGATCAAAGTTATGCCCACCAACAGATTTGAATACTGGGTTATCAGAGAGTGAATACAACTAATTATTAAATTATTTAAAGAAAAGAGATAAAATTGGGAAAATGGACAAAGTGCCAGAGAGTATCAAAACATGGCAAGACAAATTTTTTAATTAAAATGAAAGATACAATCATTGAAATTAAAAACTTCAAGAAAGGTTTTAACATCATTTTAGACACCATTGAGAAATAAATTTATGAAGTGGAAAAGAGCTGACAAGTTATATAGAACTCAGCATAGAGAGGAGGGGGTAGAAAATAGGAAGGAAGGTGAAGTCAAGAAACATGAAGGATAGAATTAGAATTTATATAGCACATATGTAACTGAAGTTACAGAAATAGTCAATGGGATAGAGGCAATATTCAAAGGAATAATTGAAAGAAAAATAATAAGAAATTGCCAAAATTTGTGAAAGATATGCATTCATATAAAAAACAAAATTATATGAAGTAGTATAAATAAAATATAATGCACTCCTATAAACTTTGTAGTTAAACTGCAGAAGAGCAAAGAAAATAAGAATATTTTTAAACACACAAAAGACTGATTGCCAAAAATAAAAATGCAAAAAAGAAATCAATAACTAGACTAACAACAGACTTCTCACTTGTGACAATGGAAGTCAGAATATAATGGAATAATATCTACGATGTGCCAGGAAAAAGGAACTGTCAACTATGGACAGTCTATCCAGAAAACCCACATTTCAAGTTCCTATCAGATTAAAAAATAAAATAAAATAGTTTACCACAAAGATATCCTCACTAAGGAATTTAGCAGAAGATTAGCAATGCAGGAAGAAACTATGAACAATGAAAATGTAACATGTATACAAATCTAACAAATATTGACAAAGTAAAACAAAAGTAATAATATCTATTTTGTGTATTTTAAAACAAAATAACTGGACAATGCTGAAGAGGACAGGGGTAATACAAAATAAAGCATTCCAAGATCCTTGTACTTGAGAAAATTGTAGTTAAGATTCTAATAGATTTTAGACTGTTAAAGTGCACATAATAAAATGTAAATGTTTATCTTTAAATAAATATTAATGGAGTGAATAATTTCCAAGCCAGTAAAAGGAAACCAAAATGAACAACAAACAACCCCAAAGAAGGCAAGAAGGGTGGCGGAGAAATAAAACATAGAAAAAGTAAGGTTAATAGCCTGAAACAACAGGAAGAAATTAATCTATATATAATTTAAAATTATATGAAACTTAGTATATACATAGTAAAATTAAACCTAAAGGCAAGAGAATAATGAATATATAATTCAGAACAATGATCACTCTTGGGGAATAGGAAACACAGAATTGGAAACATATGGAAGAGGAACACAAAAGGAATTCAAAAGTATTGGCTATGTTCTAATTCTTAAGTGGAATAGAGAGCACACAGGTGTTTGTTTTATTCTTCATTTGTTATATTCACATATATATGTATGTTTGCATAAATGAAATATTTCACTAGAAGGTTTTACATTTTAAACAATATCTGCAGTATTTCCATGTTGCCCTATGAAGCTTAAACTCATGGGCCTGGCAATTTAAGTCCTCCACCAGCTGGGCACACCTTCTTGCTCACTTCTGCCCAGCACAGAACATTCCCTCTCATGGGAATTCTTTGTTGTCATTTCTTTGCTCTGCATTTCCACTACCAGATTCACTCACATTTCCAATATTTTATTCATTCTGTTCCCCTCATCTTTCCTTCAATCTACAAAGCAAACGCTATAGTTCCTAGAAGGAAAAAAATAATAAAACATTATTCTCTCTTGGATGAAGACTACCTGAGTTTACCTCAGGGCACAGTTATGTCACAATGATGTGAAATAGTCCCAGGACTAGTGAACTCAGTCAGCTACTGGTGTTCACTGGAGGAGGTGTTCATTGCAGGGGGAGAGGGAGAGTCTTGTCCCTCAACTAGGCAATAAGCTCTTTGAGAACAAAGGCAGTGTCTAAGCTTCTCTTTATCTCTCACTACCTCTTTCCTAGCACCGAAGTCATAAAATGCACTCAAACAACAGCCACTGAAGAAAGGATGGCATGAGAAGAATTCTAAATTCTCATTAACAGACCTTGAGAACCTGGATCTTGAGTCTTTCAGTTGTATCCAGCCATGCATACCTTTCCTACTTAAGCCATTTCTTAAGCCTGTTCAAATTGCTTCCTGCTACTTTTTAGCCATACAGTTCTCATTAAGAAATGTGTATCCAAGACTCAAGGCAGCTCAAATTCAAGCCTCAACAAAAATGACAAATTATATCACACACCATGCACCTTCAAAGTTGTTCACAAACAATAAATTTGTGAATGGCAAAGATGTACTGGGTTGAATTAGGTACTCAAGGCCCACAATTAGATCTCTGCATGGTCAAAACTGGGATCTAAGTCTCTTGACACTCCAGGGTTCTTCTCACTCCCCGACATGCTCAGGGATGTTGCTATATAGAGGTTATAAGGTTATCTTCTCTGCTGGAACCTCATAAAGAGGCTCCTGATAACATAGAAAGAGTTTACACAGAACATGGTGGGAAGAGGCTGTTGTCCTAAAACACCAAATTGGTGGGAACTGAAAAGAAGAAGGTGAGTGTGAACTTGAGGTGGAGGAAGATCTAAAAATTCTTACCATGGCCCACTCCAAGGAGAAAGTGGGAATTATTCTCTGCTAACTCTAGATGTCCATGTGGTCCTAATGACCAGATTATCCATTAAACAATACCTTTTGCCAATAGATAGCTGGAAACCATGGCATTCGATGAAAATTTATTGAGTGTCTACTATGTGTCAGGCATTGTCCTAGGTACTAGGGTCATATCAGTAAACAAAACAGACAAAATCTGCCCTTATAGGGTTTACATTCTAGTAAGGAGATACTTGACAATGAAGTAAACAGGTCAAATGTGTGTTTTTTATTTGCTTGTTTGTTTTCTATTTTTTTGGTTTTTTTTTTTTTGAGACAGAGTCTCATTCTGTCACCCATGCTGGAGTGCAGTGGTGTGATCTTGGCTCACTGCAATCTCCGCCTCCTGGGTTCAAGTGATTCTCCTGCCTCAGACTCCCAGGTAGCTGGGATTACAGGTGTGCACCACTTCGCCTGGCTAATTTTTGTGTTTTTAGTAGAGACAAGGTTTCACCATGTTGGCCAGGCTGGTCTTGAACTCCTCAGGTGATTCACCCACCTCAGCCTCCCAAAGTGCTGGGATTATAGGAGTGAACCACCGCACCCAGCCCAAATGTGTTTTATATCAAAAGTTGATACATGCTATGGAGAAGAATATGGAAGAAAGGACATTAGGAGTGTTAGGAGGTCAGGGTAGACAAATAAGCCTTCCTTAATAAGACAATACTTGAGCACAGGCTGAAATAAAAGAAACAATAAAGAACAAATGCAAAGCAAGTTTCCAGTAGCTCCTAGACGGCCCTCCAGGCCTGATTTGTTGAGCTTTTCCTTAAACCAAGAAGATAACAAAAATGAAGAGCTGGCAAGGCTCTCTACCAAGGCAAAGTCACAGGACTGGCAGAACCTGGCATTAGCAGGCTAAAATGGTAGCTAACAAATCCTGCCTCTCAGGAAGGATAAAGGCCTCCAGGGCCAGAACTCCCCACTTTTATAGCAGAACTTTAAATTCCTTTGCTTCTTTCTTTCTCATATAGATATCACACACTACATAACACACACACACACACACCAGTTTTTAATGGAATAACTGACAACAAAACACTTCCTCACTCCTTTTGGAAGCTTGGAGGCAAACTCTTAGAATGTCTATGATTTCACCAAGTTACTCATGGGATAAATCTATCAAAGCCAAAGAAATTGGTTGGAAAGTGAAGGTTTGAACATAAGCAGTATAACACTCTCTTCTACTGAAACAAAAGGTTAAAAAAATAGTCCCATCAAATTAGCTAGCCATTCTCAGAGTTAAGTCTGTTTCTGGAAGTAAGCCAGATCCCTGTGATGCCCTTAGGAAGTTCGAGACACTAATGTGACTGTGATATCTCACCTCTCATTCATCCTCTGAATCAACATGGGCCTCCTCTTGTATGTTCTATGGAAAAAGCAAGGGGTTTTGGGGTTAGATATGGGTTCTGGGTTCAAATTATCCCAGCTCCGTGTTTTACAGAAACTTGCTTTTTGGCTTAATTTTCTTATTTTTTCTTTCTTCACTCACAATCTCCCCCACCTAGTGCATATCCCCAAGAAAAGATCTGTTTTTCTTGAATGTATTATTGTATTAACCTCCTCATGAGACCTCCAAGGGACATTCTGGAGTAACAGTGGACGGGCCCACACTGTTTTATAAGAGCTTTCTGTTCCTCTGTCTACCCTTCCTTTACACAGCTTTTAAAACCCTGTCCTCCCACGAAATTCAGCTCTGCCTCAACTTGTATAGCATGTTCAGCAAAACAGAAGACTCAATAATTCTACTTCCATATCCTAGCTAATGATGTCCACTCTCCAGGCCATCTCAGGATCCAAGACAGCTGTGGAGCTCAAGCCATCACATCTGTATTCTAGGCCAGGAAGAGAAGAGGCAGCAAGACAAGAAGAGTGCCTCCAAGCTGACCCACCTCCCTTCAAGAAGCCTGCCCAGAAGCCCCACACAATATTTCCACTTACCTCTCACTGGCTAACACTTAGTAACAAGACCACACATGGCTGCAAGAGAGACAACAAAAGTGCCTTGTAAAACATGAGGACCTGTTATTACAAAGGAAGGCAAGAACAGATGTTTGGGTGGGCCACAAATGATCTCTACCAAAAGAGTATAACAAAGAGAACAGGCATGGACATGGGAGGTCATCCAGATGTGGATCCCACACAGAATGAGGATCTCACCCCCTCCTGCTCTCATGGCTTTTCACCTTTGCCCATGCCCACCACCAGCCTGGAGGCTCTTCTGCCCTTCTTTATACTTTTTTTTAAGATGCAACTAATATGACAACTCCAGGAAATCATCCTTCACCATCACCCAGTGCCCTACCCCTCAAACCTCTGTGTTTTTGCATATTATTGTGCTTTTCTCACTTCTTATAATTAGGTCTTTACTGATTTATCAGAATAAGATCCAGAATAAGAATACATCCTTGCACTTTATTAAGTGCTACTCATTTATTCCTATTATTTCTCTTTTTTTCCTTTGTCTTTCTTACTGTCACTTTTCCATATTTTTCTTTCTCTCATTCCCTCACCTGTTCATTGGACCTAACAGGAACATTTAAGGTAGGTCACCATTCAGCTCCACTGATGGTCTATAAAGTCAAAGAGGATTCTGATCTTGAATCTATTATATTAAAGGTTCAAAGTTAAATGGGTCGTTTAGGTCCATTACACCTAAAAAGTCAATACCGCTCCAAGCTGTCTTAAGATACTCTTAGGAAATAGTTAATGCTCTAGGAGAATCTGGTCCAAATTAAGCCATTTCAGTGTCCTTGACCCTAAGAAATGACAGAGCTCCCCTTATAGAATACCATGACAAAGAGTGTGGCAAGGCACAAAAACATCTTTTGCAGGGTGTGTGTAGATTTATGTGAGTTGTGTGAGTTCTCGAGTTACATTAAGATAGCTTTTCCTAACCGAGTCTTCGAGATCACACCCCCATGGTTGGGGAAGATTGAGGAACTGGGAAGACCCTAGTCAGGAGGGAGCAGGTGGGATGCAGGCTTCCTTTCCATAAGCCCTTTGTATCCAAAGGTCTCTGCTTGTCTCTCAGCTTCATATCTTGGAGGTGGGCTACAACAGGGATTGTGGCAGAGGTGGTAAATGCATGGATGAGCTTTCTAGGAGATGAGAGCTAGCTTCAGGCATTCCACAAAAAGGGCCAAGAAGCATGAGGGAGAAATTCCCCAAGAGCAAGGCCTAAAGCCATGGAGTGCAAGCCATTTCTTACAAAGCAAATTATCAAATTTCTTATAAACTTTTAGATTGATCTCCTTTTTACGATCTTCTGTTTTTTAGTAAAGACATGTTTAAATGTCCCATATGTACCTTTATGGGCTACACAGTATAAAGAGAGACATCGCAGGTCAACACTTGCCCTAGGGGTTAAAAAGAAAAAAATTTATTCTTCCTCCTTCTCATCCTTCCTGTTCTCAGTAGTAGCTGAAATTATAATTGCCAAAGAGACAAAAATAATTTACTTTTTCTAAGAAAAGGTAATATTTAAAGTATAAGAAAAATTTTTAAATTTCCTGCCAAAAAAAAAAACTAACCAGGGCAAAATGGGAAACATCTAACATTTCGGGCTTGGACTCCTGTTCTGCCAAGTACTGAGTGACCCCAAACCAGCCACTTAACGTTCCCAAACGTCAGTTTCCTCAGCTATAAAAGAGAGATCTTAAAATCTACTTCACAGTAATGTCATGAAGATTGAAGATTTTAGACTATAAATATAAATTGCATGTCTTGCATTAAGAGTAGATTTCAATAAACGCTTTTCTGAATTTGGCAGACCCTAGAAGGCAAATATCAGAGATTTATGTTTCTTTCCCATAGCCAGATACCTTTCCCTCTATCTAAAAGAGCAGTCTGTCTTCCACTCACCCCACAAGTTAGTTACTTCTCCTAAATGCTTCAAGAAATTGGCATGGTTCACAAAATTACTACCAATAAATTTGTATTGAATAACTAATACTAAAGCACTCCCCCAAAGGTTAGGGAAAAATGGAGTCAGCTAAGTGAGGTTTACCATTCTCTGGAGCTTCCAGTTTATTTGAGGAGACAAGACCAAACCACAGAGATGGTTGGCAAACAATAGCCCTCATTCCAAGTCACTGGATATATCTATGCCATTTATATATTCTGGAGCTGGATGGGGAAGGACTACAGGGAGGGTCTATGGATCCACTGAGTCCTGTAGGAGATGAATTTGTTCCAACACTTCATTTATCACCTGATCACCAGAAGTTCCCACTTTGATTAGTGGGTCACAGTAGCATTTGGGGTCCCTAATGTCAATTCAGAGCCAATTCAGTATCTAGTAAATCCCTGAAAAGTCTGAAGATTTCCTTTCCCCCAGTGCACAGTAACCCTAGTAAATAGCTAAAGGCAACTTTGGGGAAGACTCGAAGGAATATTTACAGAATATAGTTATAGCAGTGTTGCACGTTCTTACTCAAGGGAGCCAGCCTCCCCTTCAATCAAGGGCCTCAGGTCTATGATCTGGCTTATGCCTGGACATTAATTAGGAAGCTAAGACACTCCACTGTGTCCACTCAAATTAAGATCCTAGACATCAGACCTAGAGTATTTCTGTCATGCAAAAGAAGTAATATTGTAATAGGCTGCATATTTATTTCATTCCCAATAATACAGTAATCAATTAGGCACTGCCAAAGATCCCAGCAGGTCATTCCACTTACCTCTTCTTCCTTGCTGTCCATTACAGTAATTGTGTTGACCTTGCCTCTAGTGGTAAAGAACTACTCTTAGCCACTAACTTTCCAGGATCCCCATGGAAATCAGGAAGCACAACTAGTAGCTGCGTCTCTCTGTGTGTACAAAGGAAGTCACCATAATGCTTTTCAAAGATGTTGATGCTCCCTAACATGGTTTGACTCTATGTCCCCACCCAAATCTCATCTTGAATTGTACTCCCATAATTCCCACATGTTGTGGGAAGGACCCAGTGAAAGATAATTTGAATCATGGAGGTGGTTTCCCCCATACTGTTCTCATAGTAGTGAATAAGTTTCACGATATCTGATGGGTTTATCAGGGGATTCCACTTTTGCTTCTTTCTCATTTTCTCTTGCTGCCACCATGAAAGAAGTGCCTTTCACCTTCTGCCATGATTCTGAGGTCTCCCCAGCCATGTGGAACTGTAAGTCCAATTAAACCTCTTTTTCTTCCCAATCTTGGGTATATCTTTATCAACAGCAGGAAATGGACTAATATACTCCCATCACTAATACATACTATTTCCCAATTTTTCCTCTTAAAAAAGGTACTATGTTCTAGGGCTTTTTGGTGTATATAAAGGGGATGGGGAAGAAGGGTATACAATTTGCATATGATAATTCCATCCCAATATTCCTATCTTGTCAAGTCTTGGAGTTAATCTTGAACATTGTGCCTCAACCTCACTGAATTCATGAATTCAGGCCATGTGGAGTCCAAGTTTCAATCAAGCAACCAGGCAAACTAATTTTCAGAACCACTTCTAGCATTAGATCCACCATCTCTGGTAAGTACACATATAAAATCAGCTTGGCTCAATCCAGTTTTATATTCTGTCCTTTTTGTTCTAACAGCCTTAGAATCCAATCCCACACGTTTCCCCCATATTTGTACTGAAAAAAATTAGCAACATCTTGCATTTATTTTGAAGTATAAACTTTTTTTTATTCAGGTCAGACAGAGACAACCAAGGATGGGGACTTAGAAGCTTGAGAAAAATAGGCATCCCTTCACAAGGGAGCTGGTCTAGGTGGGGTTGTTACTGGGAAATAACAGAAAGAGAAAACTAATATCATAATATCATCAGTTAGAGGGGTTGCTTCCTCTAGCAAGGGAGGCTTTAGGCTTTGGAGTTCAAGATGCTCAGTTTCAAACAAGTCAAGGTGAAGATGTGGTATGTCTGTGAATTTAAATTGTTGTCATTCTGCAACCCACACACTGAATTCCAGGTTTAATTTTCTTTTTTAATTTTTTACTTTTAATTTCTGTGGGTACATGGTAGGTGTATATATTTATGGGGTACATGAGATGTTTTGATACAGATATGCAATGCA